>NC_000003.12:121887392-122190422 GCF_000001405.40 Homo sapiens | reverse complement strand
GGCTATTACCACTGCAGTGTACTGCCTCTCAAAAGATGAGGATGAATGGAAATTGGTTGATAATTGCATGGAGTATAAACTTTACTTGGACTATTTTCATTTTTAAGAGTGTGAAAAGAGAAGATCACCTAGCCTCCTCACTACCTTTCCCCGAATCTCTTAATCGACAAGCACTTAGCACATAAGGGCTCTAACTGGCAGGGGCTTGGGGCACTGGGATGAGTAGACCCAGATCCTGACCCAAAGGAGTGCATGATTGGATGGACTGGAAGCCTGAAGCTGTGGTAGAGAGCCTCAGCCTGAGTGTCACTCCCACCACCATCAGCTGTTTAAGATCAGCTTGCACCCTCCACCCCACTTCTCTTCCTACCCAGTCTCTCTCACAAGGGCTACCAGACTGGAGATCTGGGCACCACAGCTGGCGTCTCTGAGTACACAGTGCCAACTCAACATCTGACATGCAGTTGGGACCCAACTGGTGAACAAAACTAAACTAAAAGCTTATGTCAAATTATAGAATATTTAGAAAAACTATATGAAAGATATGATAATTCTTTCAACCATCAACTTCTGTTAAGAGGAGAAAAGCAAAACTTTGTTCCTAAGGACAAACAATTATTGAGGGGTACAACTGCAATTTCTTTGAGCCTGCTTCTTTCTACCTACATGAAAAACAAAAGATAAACAAAAAATATGCTTAATAGGAACTCTACCAACAGAAAATATGGGAGGAAGAAGTCAAATTACTCAATTTTTCTATTTGTTAGTAATTTTACTTGCATGTGTGTGACAGACTTGTTGAAGGAAGAATGGCTAAAATTAGTTTCCTCTCTGCAGGTATCATATTACCTTTGCCCCCATCATCACTGATAAGCATTCACTGAGGGTGGAGGAAAACAGGTTTCCACCCTGGTTCCCAGGGAAAAAAAATCAATCATAGATGAAAAACACATTAAAACAAATTAATTCAGGTTACTTAACCCAAGAAATCTGCATGCTTCCTGCTTTTTCAATGTGAGGAAAGACCCTGGGGATTAACTGAGCCAAAGGATATCAGCTAGTTAAGCACCCACCATACGCCACACATTGTGTTTAGCACATTTAACTCATTTAAACTTCACAACCGCCCTGTGAAGGAGACATTACCTTAGCTTCACAGATCTCAAAGGAAGGTCCACCACTAAAAACTGAGGCTCAGCTAGGTTAATGTCATGCTGAAGGTCAGAGATAGAAAGCCCACCTTCCACCAAACTAGACTGTCCACGGCAGAGGCTGATCTTGTTTTCCTCATTTCATATTTGACCATCTCACTCATTTGGCTCTGCCTAATTATAATGTTCATTTCTGTGGCTTTGAGTAATAATACAGTTGTTTGAGCAACTGAATCCAAAAGCACACCCTTAATCAGCACTTCCTAGTATCCACCTTTGGTGGAAACAGTAATAAAGCTCTCGGCAGCTTTTCAACAAACACTATCACACATGTCTGTATTGTTTCCTGCCTTATGAATGGATACTGTGGTTACCAAGACTGCATTGCATGATGAAATAGGAACTACCTGAATCCTCTAATTCTCATGGACTTTAATAAAGTCCATGTGGACACCTCAGTTAGTGCTTATTGTATATGAGAAGACATGAGAAAAAGGAGAAAAAAGTGAATCAGGCTGGTGTCAGGCAAGAGTTGAACCAACAGTACCAGGCATGGAGTGAGGGTACATCTGTCACTTCAAGGCAATGACAAATAGGTGAAGTCTAATGTCCACCCACTTTGAACTGAAAGCCTCCCAGAAATAGAGAGAGAGAAAAAGAGAGAGAGAGAAGATGGATATTATATTTGGTATGGATTAACTGATCCTATTTTATGTTCAGACACAGAAATGGTCAAGGGCTCTTCTGAATCAGAGATAGCATTTTTTTTGGTACCGATCATGAAGTTCTCTGTATACAAGCACTTCCCAGATTCCTGATCCCCAGTCCTGGTTGATACTCACTTCTTCTTTTCTATCCCAAGATCACTTGAATGACAGAGTCAAAGGATAACAGACCAGAATCTCAGGCTTCACCTCTTCAAATCCTCTCCCTCACTGACCACATCTAATGAGTAACTTAGTTCTGTGGTGGAGTCTACTTTGACGATATCTCAAGCATTTAGCTAGTTTTCTCCATGGCTGCTGCCATGACCGCCATGGTTCAGGCCATCATTACCATTATCTAAATGGTTATAATGTCTCTAAATATTTACTTTGTTCCAAATGAGCCCCCTTCAACTCAGCATCCACATGCAGCCAGAGTGATTGCAAAAATGCTCACGAGTCACTCCTCTATGTAAAACCCTCCAGCAGCTTCCTTTGCCCTAGAATAAATAATGAATAGCCAACAATTCCTGAGTACATAATCTGTGCATATCTTATCTGAATCTTTGCAGCAATCCTATGAGGAAAGTATTACCTTTATTACCATTAATTACTGTGGCTAAATTACTTAACTGAGGTCCCACAGCTAGAAAGTGGCAGAACCACGACTCAAATCTTTGTTTCTGTGACCCCATCATGCATACTTTAGCCACTTTGCTAGCCTCCCTACCTCTTGGCTCCTTATGCTTCAGCTCCTTGAACCACTTGCAGGTCCTAGAACTTGACATGATGTTTCATGCCTCTGGTTTAGTTGTTGTTAATTGCTTGTTTTTGCACATGAATCTCTCTCCCATTATACCTTCTTCTTTTGTCTACCTGGTGTCACTCCTCATCTTTCAAGATTCAACTCAAGCGTTACCTCCTCCAAGAACCTTTCCCTGACCCTTCCTCCTTTGGTAGAATTGACCACTCCCTTCCCTTATACATGAACGTACCCTGATTATGCTTTAATTGTAATGAACACAATACTACCTGCACATGGATGAGCATGACTCCCTCTCAGACTTCTATGAACTCCTTAAATGTTGGGACTCTGTCCTAGTAATCAGTTTTAATTATACTGTCTAGCACAGCTCTGAGCACATACAAGGTTTACTGTAAACACTGTCGAATGAATAAAAATATTTGTTTGAATGTTAAATATGTTGCTTCAGTGCAATTGGTGATTTTTTTTCTTTACTAAAGAGCTATATATGAATCTTTGAAAAGGATCATGCAGCTTTAGAATAATTGAAAAATTCTGGCATCCTCCCAATTAGAGCAGTGGCTAGGGATGGAAGGAAGATATTACAGCCCACCTGCCACACCTATTTTCACCTAAAGAATCTATTTAGTGATAACATTGAACAGTCAGTGTATAAACCACATTTGGTATCAGGGTTATATATATATTTACCTTATTAATGGGAATATGGATGATTCACATTTGAACTGCAATGCACACATTTTATTGTACACAATAAAATAAGTGGATAAGCATAAAGTTAATTGAAACATTTAATTATAAAGCAAGAATACAGCAATGGCAAACCATGACCAACTGAAGACAATGCAACTGATACTGTGATAACAAAGCATTCTTTCCCAAAGTGCCAAAAATGCCAAGTTGGCACATGTGCTCATGTAGTACAGCAAATGTCACATGGCAGTTAGTCTTCTTAATGACTAGCAGCCAAACACCATTCCTAGTGGATACATTCTGGTCCTACGTAAACAACAAATATATCCTCAACCTTCCTCTCCATCTTTGAATCTTGGCTCAAGGGAGATCTCCTTGAGAAAGGCTTCCCTGGTCTCACAGTTCAGTCTGTATACACCCTCAAAGAACTTCGTTTCTTTCCTTCAGACAGTTTATCTTAGTTTGTAATAACATATAGTCAATATTTATTTTCCTAACAGCTGCCACCCCAAAGCATCTGTAAGCTCCAGGAGAGCAGGGACCTCACCTGGTTTTATATACCAGTTAGTTCCCAGTGACTGGCACATAGCCAGGCACTCTATAAACATTTTGAATGATGAATGATGAATGATTTTTTTACCTCTTACTTACTTATTGCCGTGTTATCTTAAGAATTATATGCAACTCCTCACCAGTCTCAAACTTGTAGTTAACTTCTTCCTCTTCATTATACCCCTACCCTATCACAAGGATCAGTCATTATTTTCTCACCCTCTCCTCCCCACTCTCTTCCACCAAAAAGTCTTAGAAGTGGCAGCTTCTAATCAGCCTGAACTTTCTGACATGGTTGGGATCCAGTTCAAGGTTATGCAATATGAAAAGATAAACAAAATAAAGGAAAAATGTGGAGACTGGAGTACCTATTAGGTGATTTTAAACAATGGACACAGCTCCTAAAGAACCTGCTAATTCAGTAAAAAAGAAAATTTTTAACTAATTTAATTTCAACCACTCTGTTTTATCATAGAGACAAAAACTGGTTGATTTGCTGATTTTTTTTTTTCACTTACTATGTTTTGGTCTAGCATAGAAGTCTTGGAACAGAGCTGACTGTGCTGTATTGGCAGGAAGTAACTCGCATGTGTGGTCTCTTAGAAATTATATGGAGACTGTTCCCAAATGACAGGGCTCTGTGCTTGAGGAGTCTTCTCTACTCAAGGGTCTTGGCCTGCTTCTTCCTTCCTACTTCCCCTCCAACTTCTCCTACATCTTCCCCTCCCCTTTTGTCCACCACAAAGCTTTGTCCCTCAGCCCCTTCATTGGACACCTGGGAGGCAGGTATAAAGCACCCGCTCTCCCAGGTTCCTACAGAGGAAAAATCCTAGGCATGCCAGTTAGGGAATCCTGGAGTGGAGATGGGAAAAGCAACAGCAAGGTGTGACTGATGAAGTTCTGTTTTAAGGAATAGGAACTACTGTGGTGTTAAGTTCTGGAAATCCAGAGCATTTCAGAAAACAGCCTGCATTATTTCTCTCAGTAACAGACTACCTAAACTGCACTTGGAAGATCCAGTTTAAGGGGAAAGATAAGTGTGTTTAGAACTTGACATGGACTCTTCCCCAATGTGCCTTTTCTTCAAATCTCTGGGATAATTGAAGCAAGTAAACGAAATGTCTTCTCGTTAGTAGGCTCCCTACCCTGAGGACCACCTTGTGAAAAATATTTGAGGACAAGAGAGGCGTTGCAAGGAGGAACACTGGAGATTAAGGGATGTGGGCAGTGGTGGTGACATCATTTTCTGGATAAAGAATCAAAAGACGGCGACAGAACACGTAGAGTGGGAAAGGCTATGGGTGTAGAAAGGAGACAGCAATAGACACACATGCTAGTGCACGCATTGCCTGTAGAAGATAAATGTTTGTATTATTTGACTTAAAAAAAGAAACATATGCATGTTATCTATTGAAAGCTATAATGTTAAAATAATGATAAGACTCCATCAGTCTGGTATGCCTTTTTTTTTTCTCCCCAGGAAATACACATGGAGGCTGGTGCTCAGGCCCCGGGAACTGACAATCTAATTTGATGCCACTGAAGCAAAGTTCCCAAGACAGCTGGTAGCTTGGACCAGGAATCCTGTGGGGGCACTGACGGCCCCTGGGGCCAGAGCTGACTCTGTGGCCCTCCCCTCCATATTCATACACTCTGTAAAAGCTACCTGTCCCCTTGTTAACACGTGGCAAGCGAGTCCTTTCTGACTATATCACAGGCAGAAACAAGGCAGAGGCACAAGAAACTACCAACAGCAGGCGTTTTGGTGCGCGCTCCCGTTCATTCGCGTGGGCGACCCGCTGCCCCTTCTAGGGGCACTGAACAATCCAGTTCTGAGCCGGGGAAAGCCTTGATCCTGTAATCTGGTCCCTACTTTCCCCCACGTTCACGCCCAATGCTCCCAGGCTGGAGCTGCTCCGGCGTGTGCCCCTCGTTCGGCCCGGAGCCCTTGGCCCCCAGACCCCGCCACGGCCCCTCCCCCACCAGGGGCGCTTTCCTCCCGCCCTCCTTGGGTTCCCCGGTCCTACCTGCGCCGCGGCCAGGGCTCCCTCGCACAGAGGCAGCTCCGGCCCCTCGGCCGTGGGTCTCCACGAGGATGAGCTCTGGTCTGATCTCAGGACTGCGCGCAGCCCCGCTCCCTATGCCAAGGTCACGGTCTTGGAGAGGCGCGTCTGGCTCGCTGCGCTCCCGGCGCCCGCCTTCGGGTCCGGCCACAGCAGCCCCCGCAGACCCTCTGGGCGGCCGCTGCGGCCCCGGCCCCGGCCCCGGAGCTCCGCCCCTCTCCTGCTCCCCGCCCGCTTGCCCCCTCGGGGTCCCCAACTGCCGAGCCCAGCTCCCCTCGTAGCCCACTCGCGGGCTGCCTTCTAACCCCTACCCCAGTTAGTCCCGGTTCCTTCACCGTCTCCTTAGCCCGCAGAGAGCTTAGCTGACTCTTCAGGGTCGCTGAGGGCGCGTCTTCGGTTCCCCGAGGGCCACAGGCCGGCTCGGGTCCCCAGCAGACGGCGAGCCCCGCGCTTAGGTCCTCTCCTGCCCTCTCCCGTGCCGAGCCAGGGGTTCCCGGCTCTCAAATCCTGTTCCCGCTGTCCTCTTCCCTGACCCCTACTCCTTGGCGATGGAAAGAAGCTTAGGGCGCTTACGACGCCACCAACGTTCTCTGTGCCGAGGGTGGCACAATTTTTTTTTTTCTGATATAAGGCCAGAGATTCACAGTAAAATAAATACAAATCGCGTGCCCAAACTCTTACTCATTCTGCAAGACTCAGGTCAAGCGTTGCCTGTGCCGCAAGACCTCGGTGCTGGCAAACAGCTCCCTCCTTCCACTCTCCTGCGCGAAAGGGCGTGCGGTCCTTCCTGGCTGCAGCCAGGTGCCTGTTGCACTTGGTCTACTCTACCCGACTCCACAGCGCGCTGCTTGGAGGCCCGGACCTGGCCTTGCTTATCCTTGTCCCTAGCCCCTGGCACGGTGCCTGCCACCCATCACAGCACTAGAATATTTTATGAATAAGTGGAAAATTAATTTCTTTTGTAGAAAACCAGTTTTTTTGTATGTGTTTGTTTGTTTTTGGCTTTTTACTCTCAAATAAAGCATACTCCTTTGGGTGGGCAATTTGCTAGGCTCTATAAAGAAACACCAAAAATATTATCCCCTTTAATGCAGTATTCCACCCTTGCGGAAATTTCCAGAACAAAATAATATTCGTGCGGAGATTTTTTTTTTAGCAGGATCATTTGTTACAGAAAATAATTTTAAAAACCACAAAAAGCAAACAGAGCCAAACTGTCAACAGTAGGAAATTTGTTGAATAAATTAGGGTGACTTAATGGGACATTATACAACCATTAAAATGATAAACATCAAGACAGAAGTGCTTCAAATTCTTTTTAGAATAAGGAGGGAGTATGTATTTATTTATAAAGCAAAAAAAAAATAGGAAAACATGAAGTAACATGATAAAATGTTTGCAAAATACTGTTAAGCAAAAAGCAGAAAATTGGGTCGTTTACCATGTTTAAGAACTTCAAATAAAAATGCAGATTTCTTCTCTGCAAAATGGCGATAACATCTACCTCAGGGGGTCCTTGGAGTGTTAAATGAAATAGTCAAGGAAAGTGCCCTGTATAGAATGGATACTCAACAAAGTTTCCATTTCTTTTCTTCAATGGAACACAGACTCAAATCCAGCATGTCAAACACATCCTCATTATGGCCAAGTTCTGCCCATTTGGCTTCCTTTCCCTCAAATACAGGGTAGGAGAAGGAGCTGAGCAAATGCTAAAGCACCAGTGAAGGGGGCAAAATCTGGTTAATAGGAATAAATGTGAAGTCCTCCCTCAGGCCGAAACACCCAGCAATGTAAGTAATGGAGGATGTGGCTCAGTAGTGGTGCCTATCAAAATACCTTAGATTTTATTTTAGTTGGCTACAAGCACAGCTTTGTGAACACCCAAAGGCTGAACGAGTTCAGTTCAAAACCCGAATGAGGCTGCAATCTTAGGCTGAACTGATGCTCTTCACTGGTCGGATTACACCTGGGCATAATGTCCAAATTTGGGCACTATCTTTAAGAAAGTATTACTCTGAAGATCTATTATTGCTTCCATTTTAAAGACGAAGAAACTGATGCATACAGTTTCAGGTATTTAGGGTTGGGTGGCTAGGAGTTGGCAGAGCCAAGAGCTGAACCTGATCAGCTTGACTTACAGTCCTGGTGCTTGATCACTTTACCAGTGTGTCCCAGTGTGTACATCTTCCAGTAGAGATTGGAAGCATGGTATTGGGTGGTACACAGACAATACAATTAGATAACAGTGGATCACAAGGTGAAAAAAGATATGCCCTTTTTACTTCTTTTGTTCCTATGGATTATGTCAAGGAAGGAGTATCATTTTTGTAGTATTTGTCTTTGCACCCCTCTGTAACACTTGCTAATCTCCTGTTTTAACAAAGACAGAGGTTGCCTCTCACTCAGAACCTTTGCTAGGCAACAGCTCCTAAGTAGAATTTAATATCATTGTTTTCTCTTCCATCTGTTATTATTCCTTATGCAGTTAAGTTCCAATTGACATAGTTTTCCACTGACAAAGTGATGTGGTTTCCATTTAAGGTAAATTTTCTTATATGAGAAAAATGAGCAACTTGAAAGAAAGATCTAAAAGAACTAATAGGACCAGTGATGTTTAAATTTTGGAAATACAAGCCCATACTCTATTATGACCAGTGGATAGAAGGAATGACAGAAAGGTTTCAGTCCACAATGAATCAGGGCTGCCTGGGAAGATGCTGAAGGACAGCCTTGGGAGCTCAAACGCTGTGGCTAGAAGCTTTAAAGTTCCTGCCAACCAGGAGAATCTGGGATTCTTGACAGCAGGGCTTCTCAGGTATCTAACCTCTAGAAACACAGATTTTGGAGCAAGTTACATTCACTCCTTTTGGACAGATCCAAAAAAAGGGTTCCAAGTAAGCTCAGAACAATAGCAGCACCTCTGTGACCATGGTATAATTAACAGAGCACTAGCAGATTCTCTCTAAGGTAACTTTTGAAAGAGACAACATTTGGGAGGTTTACACTTCAATCATTTACTCCCTTACACCTTCTTTTGGTATACCCTCTATTCCTAACATCCCCGAGGGCCAAGATGGTGGGGCTGTTCCTCCTTCCTTTCATGTTCCAGCATTTCCCATCCCCAAATTCCATATCGTGTGGCCTCTGTTTCCCCTAAGGCAGCTCCCCTTGCTATTTTTTTAACCCTTTGGACTAGTATTAAAATGGATGTGTGGGGAAAAAAGGGTTTATAGGGTCCCCAGCAGTTAAAAAGTATCTTTGGTATAGGAAATTTATTTTGAAACCATAAAGTCTGAAAATCCATAATGTACAAAACCATAATCTGATTGCCTTATGGTTCAAGAATATTTGGTGAGTAGACATCACCTGGGCCCCTGACTGCTAAGAACAGAAAGCCACTTGGGAACATATAGGGCAGATAAGCTGTAGGGAAAAGACCATTCAGACAGTCCAGTGAAAGGACTAAATGCTTCCACTGGAGGAGCTACATCAGGGGAAGCTTGTTCAATTGGATTAGGAAATTCTTTACTGAGACACCTCTGATGCCTCTCTTTTCCTCACTTACTATCTCCAACCCATCTACAAGTCCTGATGGATTGACTTTCAAAATACATCCAGACTCAACCTCTTTTTCCTACCTCCACCACTACCAGCCCTATCCAAGCTGGCATCATCTTTCTCTTAGAAAACCTCCTATCTGGTTTTCCTGCACTGACCTTGCCTTCCTACAGGCTGTTCTTCCCAAAGCAACTGCAATGACACATTTAAAAATAAAATTGGATTCGGTCATTTCCCTGCTCAAAACCATGTCTGTAATGGATTCCTGTCTCAGAGTGAAATTCAGTAAATTTCATGGCCCATTAAGGCCATCATCATGTGGGTCCTGGCTGTGTCTCTGATCTCTCTACCAGCTTCCTTGTCTTCACACATACTGGTTTCCTTGCTGGTCTTTGGATGTGCCCAGCATACCCTGTGTTGGACCTTTGCATTTCCTTCTCTCAGTCTGGAGCTCTCTTCTCCCTCTTTTTTTTTTTTTTTTTGGAGACTGAGTCTTGTTCTGTCACCCAGGCTGGAGTGCAGTGACACAATCTCGGCTAACTGCAACCTCTGACTCCCAGGTTCAAGCGATTCTCCTGCCTCAGCCTCCTGAGTAGCTGGGATTACAGGTGCATGCCACTATGCCTGGTTAATTTTTGTATTTTTAGTAGAGATGGGGTTTCACCATGTTGGTCAGGCTTGTCTCGAACTCCTAACCTTGTGATCCCTCCCTTCTTTTGCTCTCTATTCAGAGAGGTATTCCTTTGGCTTTCCTATCTCATAAATGACATAGCCCCTCTTTCATCTTACTCCATCACTGTTTCCTTACCCTGCGTTTTTGGGGTGTTGTAAACTTTACTGATGGCTTGAGAACAATAAAATTGGTGGTGGAGATGGAGTCACAGAGTGGTTAGAGCAAATTGTAGCATCGAAAACAATTTTATTTAATTTTTAAATTTTGTTTTGTTATTTTTTTTTAGATGGAGTCTCACTCTGTGGCCCAGGCTGGAGTGCAGTGGCACAATCTTGGCTCACTGCAACCTCCACCTCCTGGGTTCAAGCTATTATCCTGCCTCAGCCTCCTGAGTAACTGGGATTACAGGCACGCACCACCATGCCCGGCTATTTTTTTGTATTTCTTTTTTTGAGATGGAGTCTTGCTCTGTTGCCCAGGCTGGAGTGCAGTGGCGTAATCTCGGCTCACTGCAAGCTCTGCCTCTCGGGTTCACGCCATTCTCCTGCCTTAGCCTCCTGAGTAGCTGGGACTACAGGTGCCCGCCACCACGCCCGGCTAATGTTTTATATTTTTAGTAGAGACGGGATTTCACCGTGTTAGCCAGGATGGTCTCGATCTCCTGACTTCGTGATCCACCCGCCTCGGCATCCCAAAGTGCTGGGATTACAGGCATAATAGAACACAATTTTAAAGTGAACATTAAATACTCTGTTCTTTAAAAACCTTTAGGCAATCCAGCTACTGTGAATTTCTCCTTGACTATCTTTCCTCCTGGATTCCCAGTCTCTTGTCTCATAAGTGTAGTGTTTTCTCAATCTTTCACCCACAGCCCTAACTCGTCTTGGATTACTCTAAGAAACTCAGGTGCCAGCCTATTTTCGGTTTTGTTTTAATTTACTTATTTTATTGAAATATAGCACACATTTAGAAATCTGTACAACTTGAATAGCACTATAGAAACCCTCCATAGCCTTTTTCATTCTGTGAAACCCACAGAGTAACCACTAACCTGATTTATAACACTATATATCATTTATATTTGTATTAATAGAACTATTTATTAAATAATCATTTGGTCTAGCTTCTTTCAACAATGTTTGTGAGATTCAACCATATTTTGCAGTAGTTTTTTTCCTTTTCATTGCTATATAATATTCTGTTGTATGACTATCACAATTTATTGAACCATTTTACTCTTGATGGACATTCAAGTTTGCTTCCAGTTATAAGCTATTACGAACAATGCTGCTATCAACATTCTTGTAGCTACTTCTTGGTGTGCCTGTGCTTGCATTTCTGTTGAGCAATATATGGCAGTAGAATTACTGGGTCAAAAGGTATGCATGTTTAGCTTTAGAGGATATTACCAAAGAATTTTCCAAAGTGGTCATACTCATTTACATTTCCACCAGTAGCAAATGAGAGTTCTTACGTATCCATTTCCTTACCAACACTTGGTATAATCTTTTAAAAAATGATTATTTATGGCCGGGCGTGGTGGCTCACGCCTGTAATCCCAGCACTTCGGGAGGCCGAGGCAGATGGATCATCTGAGGTCAGGAGTTCGAGACTAGCCTGACCAACATGGAGAAACCCCGTCTCCACTAAAAATACAAAAAAATCAGCCAGGTGTGGTGGTGCATGCCTGTAATCACAGCTACTCGGGAGGCTGAGGTAGGAGAATTGCTCAAACTCAGGAGGCGGAGGTTGTGGTGAGCCGAGATCGTGCCATTGCTGCACTCCAGCCTGGGCAACAAGAGTGAAACTCCGTCAAAAACAAAAAAACAAAAAAACAAAAAAACAAAAACAAAAAAACAAAAAAAACATTATTTATAACTCTGGCTGGTGTAAAGTGGTATCTCACTGCAGTTTTAATTTGTGTTTCCCTGATGATTAGTGAAGCTGAATACCTTTTTCAATGTTTATTGACTATTTGGATAGTCGCTTCAATGAAAAGCCTGTCTTTCCTTCTCTCCTTCCTTTAAAAAAATTGGGTTATTTCTCTTTTAAAAAACTAATATGTAAGTGTTCCTTTTATATTTTAGGCATAGGTTATTTGTCAAGTATAGATTTTGTATTGTAAATTGCCAATTTATAATTATATAAATTATGGGGTACAAAGTGATTTTATAATTTACTAATACAATGTGTGTAATAAAGTCAGCTAGTTAACATATTCATCATCTCAGATACTTAACATTTTTTGTGGTGAAAACATTTAAAAATTATCCTTTAATTACTAAGACTATAGATATTGCAAACATTATTTCCATTTCTGTGATTTGCCTTTTTACTCTCTTAATAGTGCCTTTTTATGAATAGAAGTTCTTATTTTTAGTGTAGTCCAATTTATTAATCTTTTTCTTGATGGTTAGTGTGTTTTAGTCCTGCTTAAGAAAACTTTGTCTACATCAAGTCAGGAATATATTCTCCAATGTTATCTTTTAAAAGCCTTATTATTTTGCCTTTTACATTAAGATCTAAAATCGACCTGGAATTGATTTTTGTATGGGTGAAGTTTCATTTTTTTCCAATGAATATCCAATTGACTTGGCACCATTTATTAAAAATATCCACCTTTCTCTACTGCTCTGTGTCACCCTTGTCATAAATAAAGTACCAGTATACATGTGGGTCTGTTTCTTTACTCTTTGTTGTATCCTATCAGCCTGTTTGTCTGTTCTTTTGCCGAAATATCACACTGTCTTATTTATTGTGGCTTTACGATGAGTCTTGAAATCTGGTACAATAAGTTCTCTAACTTTATTCTTCTTTAAGATCACCTTGCCTCTCCATGGCCATTTACTTTCATATACATTTTTAGAATCATCTGATCAGCACACACACACACACACACACACACACTCCCCCTTAATTTTGGGGAATTACATTGAATCTATAGGTCGATTGTTGGAGAAAATGGATATCCTGATAATATTTAGAGTTCCAATCTGCAAACACAGTATAGCCTTCTATTTATTTAAGTATTCTTTAATTTCTCTCACTAATGCTTTATACAATTTTCTGTGTAGAAGTCTTGCACATATTTTGCTGGATTTATTCTTAGATATTTGATGCTTTTTGATGCAATTTTATTTGGCATCTTTAAAAAATTTTGTTCTCAATTCACTGTTGCTGGTACTTTGCTGTATTTTTCTTCTCAGGGTACATCATCACCTCAACACTTGACATATTATATATTTATGTATTATTGTTTATCTCTCTTGCATTAATGTAAACTCGATGAGAGGAGAACTTTTGTCCATTTTGGTCACTGCTTTATCTCCAGTGCCGGAAAACATTTCTGGCAAATACTAGACATCATAAATACTTATTGAATTGAATTGACTTACCTTGGGTTGAAATCGGCTGCTTGCAACTCTCACTCTTTCTTTCTCTAGAACAATAGGAGTAAGTCTTCTTTTTTTTCCTTCAACTTTTATTTTAAGTTCAAGGGTACATGTGCAGGATGTGCGGCTTTGTTACATAAGTAAACATGTAACATGGTGGTTTGCTGCACAGCTCATGCCATCACCAAGGTATTAAGCCCAGCATCCATCAGCTGTTCTTCTTGATGCTCCCCCTCCTCCCACCCAATCTTGTTGTTCCTGCCACCCCATGTGTCCATGTGCTCTCACCATTCAGCTCCAACTTATAAGTGAGAACATGCAGTGTTTGGTTTTCCGTTCCTGCATTAGTTTGCTGAGGATACTGGCTTCCAACTCCATCCAGGTTCCTGCAAAGGAGATGATCCTTTTCCTTTTTATGGCTGCATAATATTCCATGGTGTATATCTACCACATTTTCTCTATCCAGTCTATCATTAATGGGCATTTAGGTTGATTCCAGGTCTTTGCTATTGTAAATAGTGCTGCAATGAACATATGTGTACATGTATCTTTATAACAGAATAATTTATATTTCTTTGGGTATATACCCAGTAATGGGATTGCTGGGTTAAATGATATTTCTGCCTCTCAATCTTTGAGGAATTGCCACACTGTCTTCCACAATGGTTGAACTAATTTACACCCCCACCAACAGTGTAAAAGCGTTCCTTTTTCTCCACAACCTCTCCAGCATCTATTGTCTTTTGACTTTTAATAATCGCCTTTCTGACTGGTATGAGACAGTATCTCACTGTGGTTTTGACTGGCATTTCTCTAAAGATAGTGATGTTGAGTTTTTTCATGTTTGTTGGCCACATGTATATCTTCTTTTGAGAAGTGTCTGTTCATATCCTTTGCCCACTTTTTAATGTTTTTTTTTCTTGTAAATTTGCTTAAGTTCTTTGTAGATTCTGGATATCAGACCTTTGTCAGATGGATAGATTGCAAAAGTTTTCTCCCATTTTGTAGGTTGTCTGTTCACTCTGATGATAGTTTCTTTTGCTGTGCAGAAGCTCTTTCATTTAGTTAGATCCCATTTGTCAATTTTTGCTTTTGTCACAATTGCTTTTGGCGTTTTTGTCATGAAATCTTTGCCTGTGCCTATGTCCTGAATGGTATTGCCTAGATTTTCTTCTAGGGTTTTGATACTTTCGGGTTTTACATTTAGGTATTTAATCCATCTTGAGTTAATTTTTGTATAAGGTGTAAGGAAGGGGTCCAGTTTCAATTTTCTGCATCTGTCTAGCCAGTTCTCCCAGCACCATTTATTAAATAGGGAATCCTTTCCCCATTGTTTTTGTCAGGTTTTTCAAAGATCAGATGGTTGTAGGTATGTGTTCTTATTTCTGCATTCTCTATTCTGTTCCATTGGTTTATGTGTCTGTTTTGTACCAGTGTCATACAGTGTGGTTACTGTAACCTTGTAGTATAGTTTGAAGTGGCACACGGCTGCTCATCAGCTCTCTCCCAGCAGCATTTACTTCCCAAAGCCAAACACTTCAGTTCTTTCAGTAGTCCTTTCCTCATATGGCAAGAATCTCTCTCGTCATATTATCTGCTTCCCTTAGTAGATGGCTGTGCTTTGCCAATGTTTCTTTTTCAATTTGAACTCCCCGAAGTTATTTGGCTAATGCATATGTTAAAGTTAGAATATTCCTTGCCTAAGCTGGCCCACTTTTATTTACTGTCATAATATTAATGTACAGGAAGATTGTGATTGAAGAAAATTCCCCTGACTTTTTTTTAACACAAGTGTCTCAAAGTCAGGCTCTCTTCATTCTCTATTTTAAAAATAAAATTTAATTATTTTAACATAAATGTAGAACTTTTGCCAGAGGTAGTTATACTCTGAAGCTAATAAAGCTTAAGCTTCAGGGTCTTTCATTCGTATGGCCTCTGTGAATGCTGAGAGATTCTGGGACTTGTAGAGTGTTCTAGGTGGGGAATAAAAACTAGATTATAATCAAGAAATATTTTAAAGTAAGCTTCTCTGAATAAAGGGACATAACTCCAAGACTGTGGTGATTTCTTTCCCATGCTAATAAATATTTACTTTTGTACTTGATTCTTTTTTGTCGTTATTCATAATGTTGTATTTTGTTGTTGTTAAAGAGGGTATTTCAAATTCTATAGGCTTCAGGCCCTATACAACTTGAATTGGTTCCTGCTAAATTTTGTGGGATTTTTGTTTGTTTGTTTTAGAGATAGGGTCTTGCTAAGTTGTCCTGGCTGGAGTGCAGTGGCTATTTGTAGGTGTGATCATTGTGCAAACTCCTTGGCTCCAGCGATCATCCTGCCTCAACCTCTACAGTAGCTGCAACTACAGGCATGCATCACTGTACCCAGCTTGAACCTGCTGGTATCTTAGCTAGATATCCTAGCACTCCAGTTCATTGAAATCACTTTGAGTCCTGACCACTGTGGTTCATTTTATTGAGCGTGTGCTCGCTTCATGTTTTTATGTCACATTTTGGCAATTCACACAGTATTTCAAACTTTTTCCTTATTATTATATCTGTTACACTAATCTGTGATCAGTGGTCTTTGATGTTATGATTGTAAATTTTGGGGGGTGTCATAAATCTTGCCCATATAAGATGGCAAACTTAACCGATAAATGTTGTGTGTGTTCTGACTGCTCCTCCAACTCGTCCTTTCCCTATCTCTCCACCTGTCCTTCTTATTCCCTGAGACACAAAAATATTGAAATTAAACCAAATAATAAACCTGCTGTGTCCTCCAAGTGCTCCAGTGGAAGGAAAAGCCACACATCTCTCACTTGAAATCAAAAGCTAGAAATGATGAAGCTTAGAGAGGAAGCCATGTCAAAAGCCAAGACAGGCTGGAACTAGGGCTCTTGCACCCGTTAGCTAAACTGGGAATGCAAAGGAAAAGTTCTTGAAGGAAATTAAAAGTGCTACTCTGGTAAACATATGAATGATAAGAAAGTGAAACAGCCTTATTGCTGATATGCAGAAAGTTTTAGTGGTCTAGATAAATCAAACCAACCACAACATTACCTTAAGCCAAAACCTAATCCAGAGCAAGGCCCTAACTCTCTTTAATTCTATGAAGGCTGAGAAAGGTAAGTAAGCTGCAGGAGAAAATTTTGAAGCTAGGAGCTTGGTTCATGAGGTTTAAGTAAAGAAGCTGTCTTCATAATATATTAGTGCAACCAGGAAGTGGTAATATAGAAGCTGCAACAAATTATCCAGCTAAGATAATTGATAAAGTGGCCACACTAAATAGATTTTCAGTGTAGATGAAATAGTCATATGTTGGAAGATTTCATCTGGGACTCTCATAACTAAGAGAAGTCAGTGTCTAGCTTCAAAGCTGTGAAGGACAGACTGACTCTCTTGTTAGGGGCTAATGCAGCTGGTGACTTTACGTGGAAACCCACGCTCATTTACCATTCCAAAAATCCTAGGGCTCTTAAGAATTATGTTATATCTATGCTACCTGTGCCCTATAAATTGAACAAGAAAGCCTGGATGACAGTACATTTGTTCACAGCATGGATTAATAAATATTTTAAGTCCACTGTTGAGACCTACTGCTCAGAAAAAAGGATTCCTTTCAAAATATTACTGCTCATTGACAATGCACCTAGTCACCCAAGAGCTCTGATGGAGATGTTTAAGGAGATGAATATTGTTTTCAGGCCCACTAAACATCCATTCTGCAGTTCATGGATCAAGAGTAATTTTAAAGTCTTATTATTTAAAAAATACATTTTGTAAGGCTGTAGCTGCTATTGATAGTGGTTTCTCTTATGGATGTGGGCAAAGTAAATTGAAAATTTTCTGGAAAAGATTCACCATTTTAGATGTCATGGGAGGAGGTCAAAATAACAATAATAGGAGTTTGGAAGAAGTTGATTCCAACCCTCATAGATGACTTTGAGGCCTTCAAGACTTCAGTAGAGGGAGTATCTGCAGATGTGGTAGATATAGCAAGAAAGCTAGAATTAGAAGTGAAGCCTGAACATGTGATGAAATTGCTGAAATCTCATAATAAAACTTGAACAGATGAGGTGTTGCTTTTTATGGATGAGCAAAGAAAGTGGTTTCTTGAGATGAAAACTACTTCTGGCAAAGATGCTGTGAAGATTGTTGAAATGAGAGCAAAGGATTTAGAATATTATATGAACTTAGTTGAAAAAGCAGCAGCTGGGTTTGAGAGTACTGATTCTAGTTCTGACATAAGTTCTACTGTGGGTAAAATGCTATCAAATAGCATCACATGTTACAGAGGAGTCTTTTGTGAAAGATCCAATCTATATGATAAATGTAATTGCTGTCTTACTTTAAGAAATTGTCACAGCCACTTCAACCTTCAGCAACAACCTTATTGATCAGTCAGCAGCCATTAACAGCAGGCAAGACTCTCCACCAGCAAAAAGAAAACGACTCACTGAAGGCTCAGGTGATCATTAGAATTTTTTAGCAATAAAGTATTTTAAAATTAAGGTATGTATATGTTTTAGGCGTAATATATTGCACACAAAATAGATTACTGTTTAATGTAAACATAACTTTTGTACACATTGGGAAACAAAAAAATTCATGTGACTCACTTTACTGAGATATTCACTTTATTGGGGTGGTCCGGAACTAAACCTGCAATATCTCCAAAGTATACCTGCATTTAGTCTGAGATAGTAAAAACTAGCTATTAAAACATCATAATTCTTGCAAATCTATTACATAGCTTAGGGACTGTAATACATCATAAGTTAGGTTTGTGAAATGCAGGCATGTACAACTCAAAAGCATTCAACTCTAATATTGAATTTTATTTTCTTCTGTTTTCTTTTCTGTAGCAGTTTTCCTCCCTTGAGGCAAGAAAGATCTAAGGTCTGGTTTGAAGGGAGGAAGAAAAACGGGGAAAGAAGACATTACCAAGAGCAAAAAGCACATAGATAATATACCAAAAATTATTTTGAAACATAGAAAATTTATTGGAAGAACAAAGATAATTATCAGATTAACATTCATAAAAGGGGAATTAAGACATCTTTTTAAAGAAATTAAAAGATTGGGTAGATAAAAAATGAATAAGAACATAGAGTACATGGACAACACAATTAAGACTGATGAAACATTCACATATATGTACAACACTGTATTCAACATAGAATAGTTCTGTCAGCCTCTGAGCCCAAGCTAAGCCATCATATCTCCTGTGACCTGCAAGTATACATCCAGATGACCTGAAGCAACTGTAGAATCACAAGAGAAGTGAAAATGGCTGGTTCCTGCCTTAACTGATGACATCACATTGTGAAATTCCTTCTCCTGGCTCAGAAGCTCTCCCACTGAATACCTTGTGACTCCCGCCCCTGCCCGCCAGAGAACAACCCCTTTGACTGTAATTTTCCATTACCTACCCAAATCCTATAAAACTGCCCCACCCCTATCTCCCTTTGCTGACTCTCTTTTTGGACTCAGCCCACCTGCACCCAGGTGATTAAAAAGCTTTATTGCTCACACAAAGCCTGTTTGGTGATCTCTTCACACAGATGTGCGTGACAAGTTCTTTTTTGATCACCTCTAGAATGTATTTTTTAAATTGTCCATGTATTACAAAAAACCAAACACCGCATGTTCTCACTCATATGTGGGAATTGAACAATGAGAACACATGGACACAGGAAGGGGAATATCACACACCGGGGCCTGTTGTGGGGTGGGGGAAGGGGGAAGGGATAGCATTAGGAGATATACCTAATGTTAAATGACGAGTTAATGGGTGCAGCACATCAACATGGCACATGTATACATATGTAACAAACATGCATGTTGTGCACATGTACCCTAAAACTTAAGGTATAATAAAAATAAATAAAAAAATAAATTGTCCATGTATTAGACTACATAGAAGACAACACATTCTCCAAAGTAGACCTCATAAAAGCCACATTTTAAAAATTATTTATTCTAATTACAATAACTAATTATAAGTATGTGCACACCGCAATTTAAAATCTCTACACTTGAATGTTAACAAAAAGTATTCTAAATAATTCCTATATTAAAGAAGAAGAAATCAAATTGACATTATAGATGATCTAGCAATAAGCACATATAAAAACCTGTTGAATTTAGCCAAAGCATTATTCAAAGAAAATTTGTAGTCTTAAATTAACTCCTTGGAAAAAAATAAGTACTACATAAAGTAAATAAATATTTAAGTCAAAAAAAGAACAATACATAAGCCTAAAAACGTAGAAGACAGAAATCAATAGAAGTTAAAGACTGAAATTAATAAAATAAAAACATATAAAAAATCCAGTGCTTCAATAAACAACTAGTATTCTTCCAAGAAAACAATAAAATGGAAAAATTTTGCCAAGTCAAAAAACACGAGAAGAGATAAGTCACAAATGTCATTAGAAACAAAAAACTACACATAATTATATTAATAGAAGAAATAAAATTCATTATGTTAATATATTTGGCAATGTAAAGCGGAAAAATCAATAGAAAAATATAAATAATCAAAATTTAATCACGAACTTGACTTCTGGGGAGGAGGAGCAAATGGCAAAATGGAAGCCTCCACTGATCATCCTCCCTGCAAGAACATGCAATTGAACTGTTGCAGGCTGAAGGAGTGAGGATCGTGATCAACTCAGTATACCACTGGAGGTTATATGAGTAAACAGCAAACTGTTCTATGAAAGCAGGATGTTGGAAAACTGACAAACTGTGTCTGTCACCCAGAAGGAATGATGAGGGCAGTCACGCCCCAGGCACAAGTGTTTCTTGTGATTAAGCACATCTGAAGCCTGTTAGCAACAATGTGAACCTCTGATCAATTAAGCAGCTGATCAGTCATTATTTCCTCCTCCCTACTCTTTCTACCCAATAAATACGAAGGGCTGTAGAGGTTCAGGTGGCTGCCTTTGCTCACTAGAAGCAGGGAGCCCTCTTCATCTCTCTTCTTCTTCCACATGTTACCTTTCCTTTAAAATAGTTACTTTTGTCTTAAGTTTTCATTTCTGCATACGTCCCCCTTCATTCAGTCTTGTAATGATGGTCTTAAGTAGTAACAGTAGTAACTGTCATAGTGATGGTCTCAAGTAGTAACTGTGGCAGTCAGCCACATTCAACAACTACCTACACTAAAATATCACCTTCATAAGAACTAAAAATCATGTGAACAATCACAGTACCTGGTATTAACTTCATGTCACTGAAAGAGGCACTGAGGAGGGTAGGATAGACAGTCTTGAATTGCTGATGTCACCCTTCCCCCATCCTCACAGTGGCTGTGTACCATGAAGACTCTGTGCACTTGGAGGAGGGAGAGTGCAGCAATTATGGGACTTTGCATTGGAACTCAGTACTACCCAGCCACAGTGGAAAGCAACACAGGGCAGAACTTAGCTGGTGCCCATGGAGGGAGCATTTAAACCGTCCTAGCCAGATGGGAACCACTCATCTGAGTGGTTGGAACTTGAGTTCCAGCAAGCCTCACCACTCTGGACTAAAGTGCTCTGGGGTTCTAAATAAACTTGAAAGGCAGTCCAGGCCACAAGGACTGCAACTCCTAGGCAAGTCTTAATGCTGTGTTAGGCTCAGAGCCAGTGGACTTCAGGGACACAGGACCTAGTGAAACACCAGTCAGGGTGGATAAAGAAGTGCTTGTGCTACCCTTCACCGAACCCCAGGCAGTGTAGCTCACGGCACCGAAAGACTTTTTCCTTCCATATGAGGAGAGGGAAGAGTAAATAAAACTTTGTCTTGTATCTTGGTTACCAGCTAAGCCACAGTAGGCTAGGGCACTAGGCAGAGTTGTAAGTCTCCTATTCTTGGCCCTAGCACCTGGACAATGCTTCTGGACACACTCTGGGCCCAAGAAATGTTGCTGCCATGAAGAAAAGGACCCAGTCTTGCCAGGATTCATCACGTGCTGACTAAAGAGCGCTTGTGCCCTGAATAATCAGGGGCAGTAGCCGGGTAGCACATGCCATGGTCCTTGGGTGAGACGCTGAGATGTGCTGGCTTTAGGTATGACCTACTACATTCCAACATGGCTATGAGGAGAGACTCCTTCTGCTTGAGAAAAGCAGGGGTAAGAGTAAAGGGGACTTTGCCTGTAATCCCAGCACTTTGGGAGGCCGAGGTGGGTGGATCACCTGAGGTCAGAAGTTTGAGACCAGCCTGGCCAAAATGGTGAAACCCCATCTCCACGAAAAATATGAAAATTAGCCAGACATGGTGGTAGGTGCTTGTAGTCTCAGCTACTCAGGAGGCTGAGGCAGGAGAATTGCTGGAACCCGGGAGGCGGAGGTTTCAGTGAGCCAAGATCACACCATTGCACTTCAGCCCAGTGGACAAAAGCAAGACTCCTCAAAAAAAAAAAAAAAAAAAAAAGAATAAAGGGGACTTTGTCTTGTGCTTCAGGTACCAGCTCAGCCACAGTGGGGTGGAGAACCAAGCAGGCTCTTGGGGGTCCCCAATTCCAGACCTTGCCTCTTGGATGCCATTTCTGAGCCTGCCCTGGGCAATCTACAAAAATAACACTTCACCTACATAGACACACATAGACTGAAAGTGAATCTACCCCAGGGGAAGACCAGTGCCTTGAAGGGCGAGTCCTAGACCTGGCAGCATTCACCACAAGCTGACTGAGGAGGCTTGGGCTTTAAGTGAACATTGGCGGTGGCCCGTCAGAACTCCTACTGGACCAGTGGTGGTGGTAGCCACTGGGAGAGGCTCCTCTGACTGTGGTAAGTTAAGGGTGCAAGGGGAAGGGCCTTGTCTTGTGGTTTGAGGGACAGCTTAGATGCAGTAGAATAGAATACCAGATAGATTTCTGAAGTTTTTGATTCAAATCCTGGGCTCCCAACTGCATTTCTAGACCTGCCCAGGGCCTGGGGGAGTTTGCTGCCCTTAAGGGAAGAACACAAGCCTGGCTGGCTTCTTCACCTGCTGATTGCAGAGCCCTAGGGCATTGAGGAAACATAGACAGTAGCCAGGCAGTGGTTACATCAGGCCTTGGGCAAGACAAAGTGCTGTGCTGGCTTCAGGTCTGACCCAGCACATGGTGGTGGCCACAAGGGTGCTTGTGTCATCCCTTCCTCAGCTCCAGGCAGCTCAGCCAAGAGAGAGACTGCATTTGTTTGGGGGGAAGTAAGGGACAAGAACAGGGTCTCTGCCTGGTAATTCAGATAATTCTGGATCTTAATCAAGACCATCAAGACTGTACCTCTACGAGTCTCCAAGAGCACTACTGAGTTCTGGGTACTCACTAATGCAGATATGGCTGTAGTGACACAAAAACATAGATCACAACACTCAGGTCCCTGCAAATACTTGGGAAACCTTCCCAAGAAGGATGGGTACAAACAAGCACAAACTACAGAGACTACAATAGGTACCTAACTCTTTAATGCCCAGACTCTGACAAACATCCACAAGCATTAAGACCATCCAGTAAAACATGACCTTACTAAATGAACTAAATAAGGCACCAAGGACCAATCCTGGAGACACAGGAAAATGTGGCCTTTCAGACAGAGAATTTAAAATACTTGATTTGAGGAAACTCAATGAAATTTAAGACACACAGAGAAGGAAACTAGAATTTTATCAGATAAATTTAGCAAAGAGATTGAAATTAAAAAGAATCAGGCAGAAATTCTGGAGCTGAAAAATGCAATTGACATACTGAAGAATGCAACAGAGTCTCTTAACAGCAAAATTGATTGAGCAGAAGAAAGACTTAGTGAGCCTGAAGATAGACTATTTTAAAATACATGGTCAAAGGAGACACAAGAAAAAAGAATAAAAAGGAATGAAGTACATCTATAATATCTAGAAAATAGCCCCAAATGAGCAAATCTCAGAGTATTATGGCCTTAAAGAAGAGATAGAGAGGGAGACAGGAGTGGAAAGTTTATTCAGAGGGACAATAACAGAGAACATCCTAATCCTAGAGAAAGATATCAATATTAAAGTATAAGAATGTGATAGAACACCAAGCAGATTTAATCCAAAGAAGACTACCTCAAGGCATTTGATAATCGAACTCCCAAAAGTCAAGGATAAAGAAAGAATCCTAAAAGCAGTTAGAGAAAAGAAACAAATAATGGCTTACTTTGGGAGGCTGAGGCACATGGATCACTTGAGGTCAGGAGTTTGAGACCAGCCTGGCCAACACGGTGAAACCCCATCTCTACCAAAAATAGAAAAAATGACCAGGAGTGGTGGTGCACTCCTGTAGTCCCAGCTACTTGGGAGTCTGAGACAGGGGAATTGCTTGAACCCGGGAGGTGGAGGTTGCAGTGATCCGAGATTGCACCACTGCACTCCAGCCTGGGCGACAAAGAAGACTCCATCTCAAACAAAACAAAACAAACACACACACACACAAAATCATACAATGGAGCTTCAATATGTCTGGCAGCAGACTTATCAGTGGAAACCTTATAAGCCAGGGGAGAGTGGGATGACATATTTAAAGTGCTAAAGGGGCCAGGTGCAGTGGCTCACGCCTGTAATACCAGCACTTTGGGGGCTGAGGTGGGTGAATCGCTTGAGGCCAGGAGTTCAAGACCAGACTGGGCAACATGGCGAAACCCCATCTCTACTAAAAATACAAAAATTAGCCAGGTGTGGTGGTGTGTGCCTGTGGTCTCACCTACTTGGGAGGCTGAGGCACAAGAATCACTGGAACCCAGGAGGTGGAGGTTGCAATGAGCCAAGATCGTGCCACCGCACTCCAGCCTGGGCAACAGAGTGAGACTCTGTCTCAAAAATAAATAAATAAATAAATACATACATAAATAAAATAAACAAATAGTGCTAAAGGAAGATGTTTTTTAAACCCTAGAATAGAATACCTGATGAAAACATCCTTTAAACATGAAGGATAAATAAAGACTTTCTTTTTTTTTTTTTTTTTTAATTTATTTTTTTATTGATAATTCTTGGGTGTTTCTCACAGAGGGGGATTTGGCAGGGTCATGGGACAATAGTGGAGGGAAGGTCAGCAGATAAACAAGTGAACAAAGGTCTCTGGTTTTCCTAGGCAGAGGACCCTGCGGCCTTCCGCAGTGTTTGTGTCCCTGGGTACTTGAGATTAGGGATTGGTGATGACTCTTAATGAGCATGCTGCCTTCAAGCATCTGTTTAACAAAGCACATCTTGCACCACCCTTAATCCATTTAACCCTGAGTGGACACAGCACATGTTTCAGAGAGCACAGGGTTGGGGGTAAGGTCACAGATCAACAGGATCCCAAGGCAGAGGAATTTTTCTTAGTGCAGAACAAAATGAAAAGTCTCCCATGTCTACTTCTTTCTACACAGACACGGCAACCATCCAATTTCTCAATCTTTTCCCCACCTTTCCCGCCTTTCTATTCCACAAAGCCGCCATTGTCATCCTGGCCCGTTCTCAATGAGCTGTTGGGCACACCTCCCAGACGGGGTGGTGGCCGGGCAGAGGTGCTCCTCACTTCCCAGTAGGGGCGGCCGGGCAGAGGCGCCCCTCACCTCCCGGACGGGGCGGCTGGCCGGGCAGGGGGGCTGACCCCCCCACCTCCCTCCCGGATGGGGCGGCTGGCCGGGCAGAGGGGCTCCTCACTTCCCAGTAGGGGCGGCCGGGCAGAGGCGCCCCTCACCTCCCAGACAGGGCGGCTGGCCGGGCGGAGGGCTGAGGCGCCCCTCACCTCAGACGGGGCGGCTGGCCGGGCGGAGGGCTGACCCCCCCACCTCCCTCCCGGACAGGGCGGCTGGCCGGGCGGGGGGCTGACCCCCCCACCTCCCTCCTGGACGGGGCGGCTGGCCGGGCAGAGGGGCTCCTCACTTCCCAGTAGGGGCGGCCGGGCAGAGGCGCCCCTCACCTCCCAGACGGGGCGGCTGGCCGGGCGGAGGGCTGACCCCCCCACCTCCCTCCCGGACGGGGCGGCTGGCCAGGCGGGGGGCTGACCCCCACACCTCCCTCCTGGACGGGGCGGCTGGCCGGGTGGGGGGCTGACCCCCCCATCTCCCTCCCGGACGGGGTGGCTGGCCGGGCTGAGGGGCTCCTCACTTCCCAGTAGGGGCGGCCGGGCAGAGGCGCCCCTCACCTCCTGGACGGGGCGGCTGGCCGGGCGGGGGGCTGACCCCCCCCACCTCCCTCCTGGACGGCACGGCTGGCCGGGCGGGGGAGCTGACCCCCCACCTCCCTCCCGGATGGGGCGGCTGGCCGGGCGGGGGGCTGACCCCCCCCCCCGACCTCCCTCCCGGACGGGGTGGCTGCCGGGCGGAGACGCTCCTCACTTCCCAGATGGGGTGGCTGCCGGGCGGAGAGGCTCCTCACTTCTCAGATGGGGCAGCTGCCGGGCGGAGGGGCTCCTCACTTCTCAGACAGGGTGGTTGCCAGGCAGAGGGTCTCCTCACTTCTCAGACGGGGCGGCCGGGCAGAGACGCTCCTCACCTCCCAGACGGGGTCTCGGCCGGGCAGAGGCGCTCCTCACATCCCAGATGGGGCGGCGGGGCAGAGGCGCTCCCCACATCTCAGACGATGGGCGGCCGGGCAGAGACGCTCCTCACTTCCTAGATGTGATGGCGGCTGGGAAGAGGCGCTCCTCACTTCCTAGATGGGATGGCGGCCGGGCGGAGACGCTCCTCACTTTCCAGACTGGGCAGCCAGGCAGAGGGGCTCCTCACATCCCAGACAATGGGCGGCCAGGCAGAGACACTCCTCACTTCCCAGACGGGGTGGCAGCCAGGCAGAGGCTGCAATCTCAGCACTTTGGGAGGCCAAGGCAGGCGGCTGGGAGGTGTAGGTTGTAGTGAGCCGAGATCACGCCACTGCACTCCAGCCTGGGCACCATTGAGCACTGAGTGAACGAGACTCCGTCTGCAATCCTGGCACCTCGGGAGGCCGAGGTTGGTGGATCACTCGCGGTTAGGGGCTGGAGACCGGCCCGGCCAACACAGCGAAACCCCGTCTCCACCAAAACCAGTCAGGCGTGGCGGTGCGTGCCTGCAATCGCAGGCATTCGACAGACTGAGGCAGGAGAATCAGGCAGGGAGGTTGCAGTGAGCCGAGATGGCAGCAGTACAGTCCAGCTTCGGTTCCGCATGAGAGGGAGACCGTGGGGAGAGGGAGAGGGAGAGGGAGAGGGAGAGGGAGAGGGAGAAAGACTTTCGAGAGACACAAAAGCTATGGGATTTCATCAACACCAGAACAAGAAATGCAGAAATGCTAAAGAAAGGTTTAAATCTGAAAGAAATTGATGTTAATGAGCAAAAAGAAATCATCTGAAGGTACAAAACTCACTGGTAATAGTAAGTACTCAGAGAAACACAGAATATTATAACACCATAATTGTGGTGCATAACCTACTCATATCTTGTGTAGAAAGACTAAAAGATGAACTGATCAAAAATAATTACTACAACAACTTTTCAAGACATACATAGTACAGCAAGATATAAATAGAAACAACAAAAATTTAAAATGCAGGGGGATAAAGATAAAGTGTAGAGTTTTTTATTAGTTTTATCTTTGCTTGTTTGCTAGCTGCTGTGTTTGTTTATGTGATTAGTGTTAAGTTGTCATCAGTTTAAAATAATAGATTATAAGATATTATTTTAAGCCTCACAATAATCTCAAATCAAAAAGCATACAATGAATGCACAAAACATAAAAAGCAAGAAATTAAAGCATACCACCAGAGAAAATTGCCTTTGTTTAAAGGATGATAAGAACAAAAGGAAGAAGGAAGTGAAGACCCCAACCAGAAAACAAATAAGAAAATGGCAGGAGTAAGTTTTTATTTTCAATAATAACATTGAATGTAGTTGGACTAAACTCACCAATCAAAGACATAAAATGACCAAATGGATAAAAAATAAGACTGAACAGTCTACAAAAACAACATGTTACCTATATAGACACAAGTAGACTGAAAATAAAGCAATGGAAAAATATTTTATGCTAGTGGAAATCAAAAAAGAGTAGGAGTGGCAATGCTTATATAAGATAAAATAGATTTCAAGACAAAAACTATAAAAAGGGCAGAGGAAGTCATTATATAATGATAAATGGGTCAATTCAGAAAGAAGATATAACAATTTTAAATATCTATGCACTCAACTATGGAGCACCCAGATGTATAAAGCAAATATTGTTAGAGCTAGAGAGAGAGATAGACCCCAATACAATAATAGCTGGAGACCGCAATATTCCACTTTCAGCATTGGATACATCTTCCAGACAGAAAATTAACAAAGAAAAATCAGAGTTAATCTGCACTACTGACCAAATGAACCTGTAGATATTTGTAGAATATTTCACCCAATGGTTGCAGAATACACATTCTTCTCTGCAGCACATGAATCATTCTCAAGGATAAACCATATGTTAGGCCACAAAATAAGTTTTAAAACATTCAAAAAAATTGAAATAATATCAAGCATCTTCTCTGACCACAATGGAATAAAACTAGAAATCAAAAATGGGAGGAATTTTGGAAACTATACTAACACATAAAAATTAACAATATGCTCCTCAATGACCAGTGGGTCAATAAAGAAATTAAAAAGGGAATTTAAAAATTTTGTAAAACAAATGATAGTGGAAACACAACATACCAAATCCTACAGGATACAGAGAAAGCACTGCTGAGAGGGAAGTTTATAGTGATATGAACCTAGATCAAAAAAGTAGAATACTTCAAATAAACAACCTAACAATGCATCTTAAAGAACTAGAAGAGCAAGAGCTAACCAAACCCAAAATTAGTAGAAGAAAATGAATAATAAAGATTGAGCAGAAATAAAGGAAATTGAGATACAGAGAACAATTTTTAAAATCAATGAAATGAAAAGTTGGTTTTTTGAAAAAATAAACTGAATTGAGAAAGCTTTAGCCAGACTAAGAAAAAAAGAGAAAAACCCAAATAAATAAAATCAGACATTAAAAAAGAGATATTACAACAACTATAACAGTAATACAAAGGATGTTAATGGCTACTGTGAGCAACTATATGCCAATAAATTGGAAAACATAGAAGAAGCCAATAAATTCTGAGATACATACATTGTACAAGAAAGAAATTCAAAATCTGAACAGGTCAATAACAAGTAATGAGGTCAAAGCCATAATAAAAAGTCTTCCAGCAAAGCCAAGCTCAGGACCTGATAGCTTTGCTACTGAATTTTACCAAACATTTAAAGAACTAATGCCATTTCTACTGTAACTATTCCAAAAAATAGAGGAGGAGGGAATACTCCTGAATTCATTCTACAAGGCCAGTGGTACCCTGATACCAAAACCAGACAAAGACACATCAAAAAAAGAAAACTACAGGCCAATATCCATGATAAATATTGATGCAAAAACCCTCAACAAACTACTAGCAATCTGAATTCAACAACACATTAAAAAGATCATTCATCATGACCAAGAGTGATTTATCCCAGGGATGCAAGGATGGTTCAACATATGCAAATCAATTGATATGATCTATCATATCAACAAAATGAAAGACAAAAACTATATGATCATTTCAACTGATGATGAGAAAGAGTCTGATAAAATTCAACATCCCTTCATGATAAAAATCCCTCAAAAAACTGGATATAAAAGAAATATAACTCAACATAATAAAAGCCATATGTGACAGACCCACAGCTAGCATAATACTGAATGGGAAAAAACTGAAAGTTTTTCCTCTAAGTCATGGAACACAACACAGATGCCCACTTTCACCACTGTTATTCAACATAGTACTGGAAGTCCTAGCTAAAGCAATCAAATAAGAGAAAGAAATAAACGGCATCCAAAGGAAGAAGTTAAATTACCCTTGTTTGCAGATGATATGATATTATATTTGGAAAAACCTAAAGAGTCTGCCAAAGAGTTATTATAACAGATAAACAAGTTCAATAAAATTGCAGAATACAAAATCAACATACAAAATTCAGTAGCATTTCTATATGCCAACAGTAAATAATCTGAAAAGGAAACAACAAAGTAATCCTATTTACAATAGCTACAAATTAAATAAAATACCTTGGAATTAGCCAAAGAAGTATAAGATCTGTACACTGAAAACTATAAAACACTGATGAAAGAAATTGAAGAGGACACACAAAAAATAGAAAGATACTCTATGTTCATGGATTGGGAGAATCAATATTGTTAAAATGTTTATACTTCCCAAAGCAGTCTACAGATTCAATGCAATTCCTATCAAAATTCCAATGACATTCTTCACAGAAATAGAAAAAAACCACTAAAATTTATATGGAACCACAAAAGACTCAGAATAGCCAAAGCTACCCTGAGCAAAAAGAACAAAACTGGAGGAATTACATTACCTGGCTTCAAATTATACTACAGAACTATAGTAACCAAAACAGCATGATACTGGAAAAAAAAAAAAAAACGGACACATAGACCAACGGAATAGAATAAAGAACCCAGAAACAAATCCGTACACCCATAGTGAATTCATTTTCCACAAAGGTGCTAAGAACATACTTTGGGGAAAGGGCAGTCTCTTCAATAAGTGGTGCTGGGAAAACTGGATATCCATACGCAGAAGAATGAAACTAGATCCCTATCTCTCACGATGTAAAAAATCAAATCAAAATGGATTAAAGACTTAAATCTAGGATCTCAAACTATGAAACTACTAAACAACAACATTGAGGAACCTCTCCAGGACATTGGATTGGAAAAAGATTTCTTGAGCATATGCCCCACAAGCATAGGCAACCAAAACAAAAATAGATAAATGGGATCACATCAAATTAAAAAGCTTCTGTACAGGAAAGGATGCATCAATAAAGTGAGGAGACAACCCACTGAATGGGAGAAAATATCTGCAAAATACTCATCTGACTAGGGACTAATAAGCAGAATATATAAAGAACTCCAACAACCTTGGCCAGGCGTAGTGGCTCACACCTGTAATCCCAGCACTTTGGGAGGCCAAGGTGGGTGGATTACTTGAGGTAAGGAGTTTGAAACCAGCCTGGCCAACGTGGTGAAACCCTGTCTCTACTAAAAATACAAAAATTAGCCGGGCATGGTGGTGTGTGCCTGTAATCCCAGCTACTAGGGAGGCTGAGGCATGAGAATCACTTCAACCCAGGAGGCAGAGGCTGCAGTGAGCCAAGATCATGCCACTGCACTCCAGCCTGGGTGACAGAGCGAGACTCTGTCTCAAAAAAAAAAAAAAAAAAAAAAAAAAAAAAAGAACTCCAATAACTCTATAAGAAAAATCTAAAATTTGGTTAAAATATGGGGAAAAAAAATCTGAATAGACCTTTCTCAAAAGAAGTCATGCAAATGGAAAACAGGTATATGAAAAGGTGCTCAACACCACTGATTATCAGAGAAATGCAATCAAAACTACAGTGAGATATCATCTCACCCTCATTAAAATGACTTTTATCCAAAAGACAACCAATAACATATGCAGGTGAGAATGTGCAGAAAAAGTGACCCTTGTATAGATTTGATGAGAATGTAAATTAGTACAACCACTTTGGAGAACAGTTCGGAGGCTCATCAAAAAACTAAAATTAGAGCTACCATGTGATCCAGTAATCCTACTGCTAGGTATATATACCGAAGAAAGGAAATCAGTATATCAAAGAAATATCTGCACTCCCATGTTTATTTCAGCACTATTCACAATAGCCAAGATTTGGAGACAAACTAAGGGTCCATTAGCAGATGAATGGATAAAGAAAATGTGTACATATACACAACAGAGTATTGTTTAGTGATAAAAATGAATGAAAGTCTGTCATTTGCCACAGCGTGGATGGAACTGGAGGTCATTATGCTATGTGAAATAAGCCAGGCACAGAAAGACACATTTCACATCTTTTGACAATTATGAAACTAAGAATTAAAACAACTGAAATCATGGAGATAGAGAGTAGAAGGATGGTTACCAGATACTGGGAAGGGTAGTGGGGGTGCATTGTGGGGAAATGGGAATTGTTAATGGTGACTAAAAACAGTGAGAATGAACAAGATCTAGTATTTGATAGGAGAACAAGGTGACAGGGTGACTACAGTCAATAATAATTTAATTGTACATTTCAAAATAGCTAAAAGTAAATAATTGGATTGTTTGTAACACAAAGAATAAATGTTGAGGTGATGGATACTCCATTTACTCTGATGTGATTATGCATTGTATGCCTGTATCAAAGTATCTCATGTACCCCATAAATATTGCACCTTTTATGTTACTACAAAAAATAAAAATTTTAAAAAGTTCACAACTTAAAAGAAAAACTTGACTTCTGGAATGGCACAGTAAGGACTTCTGCAATAAAAGTAATTCTTCTCTTCTAAAAAAGCAATTTGAATGCTGGCAAAAAACTGTCGCGTGGGAGCAATGGCTCACGCCTGTAATCCCAGCACTTTGGAAGGCTGAGGCAGGTGGATCACCTGAGGTCAGGAGTTTGAGACAAGCCTGGCCAACGTGGTGCAACCCTGTCTCTTCTAAAAATACAAAAATTAGCTGGGCATGGTGGTGGGCACCTGTAATCCCAGCTACTCGGGAGGCTGAGGCAGGAGAATCGCTTGAACCTGGGAGGCAGAGGTTGCAGTCAGCCGAGATCGTGCCATTGCACTCCAGCCTGGGAGACAAGAATGAAACTCCATCTCAAAAACAAACAAACAAACAAACAAACAAACAAACAAACAGTCAAAACCAAGTCTTTTAGAACTCTGGAAATTAGAGGTTTGTAACAATCAGAAAAGTATTTATTCAAGAAAACTGGCTGAACCTCAGTAGAAACTGCAGGCCTTGTGGCATTTCAACTTGCTTTAATTCTATTATAACTTCCTTTTCCCAGTTCTGTGTAAACCTTGAAAGCCAAGAGTCATACAATTATGGTCATTATGAAAACCAGCAGCCTTAGAAATCACTGGAGGAAACAGAAGGACTTTGGATTTCCCCAAATTTTCATCTCTAGAGAATAATTACTGTTTTATTTCCCAAAACACATTAAAAAAACTCCATTCTCATGGTTTGTCTTATTCCACTCGACTCATAGCTCACCTTGAACAACTATACACTAACAAAGTGGATAAATTTCTGGAGACATACAAGCTACCAAGATTGAATCAGGAAGAAATAGAAAACCTGAATAGAACAACGAGTAACGAAATCAAATCAGTAATAAAAAGCCTCCCAAAAAAGAATGTCCAGGACCATATGGCTTCACTGCCAAATTTTACCAAACATTCAAAGAATTAACACCAATTCTAATCAAACTCTTCCAAAAAATTGAAGAAATGAGAATTATTCCTAACTCATTCTTTGAAGCCAACATTACCCTGATACTAAAACAAGACAAGGATACAAGAAAGAAAGAAAACTACAGGCCAATATCCCTGATGAACATTATGCAAAAATTATCAGTAAAATACTAGCAACAGCTTATCAAAAATAATAAGAATACACTGTGATCAAGTGGGATTTATTCCAGCAATGTGAGGATCATTCAACATATGCAAGTTGGTAAATGTGATATATCACAATAGAATGAAGGACAAAAATCATATGATCACCTCATAGATGCAGAAAAAAGCACTGGACAAAACTCAATATCTCTTCATGATAAAAACACTAGGCCAGGCATGGTGGCTCACACCTATAATCCCAGCACTTTTGGAGGCTGAGTTGGGTGGATCACTTGAACTCAGGAGTTCAAGACCTGCCTGGGCAACATAGTGAAACCCTGTCTCTACAAAAAACACAAAAATTAGCGGGGTACCGTGGTGTGCATCTGTAGTTCCAGCTACTCAGGAGATTGAGGCAGGAGAATCACTTGAGCCCGGGAGGCAGAGGTTGCAAGATCATGCCACTATGCTCCAGCCTGGGCAATGGGAGTGATACCTTGTCTCAAAAACAAAAACGAAAACAAAAACAAAAAAACTCTCAACAAACTAGACATAGAAGAAACACACCTCACGTGGTAGTCCATTTCCATTGCTATTAAAAAAAATACCTGAGCCTTGGTAACTTAAAAAGAAAAGAGGTTTATTTGGCTGATGGTTCTGCAGATTATACATGAAGCATAATGAGGGTCTCAGGAAACTTACAACCATGGCAGAAGGTGAAGGGGAGCCAGCATATCACATGGTGAGAGAGGGGGATTGTATGGTAGCTCTAATTTTAGTTTTTTGATAAGCCTCCAAACTGTTCTCCATAGTGGTTGTATTAATTTATATTCTAGTTTTCCAGTTTGTTAGTGTGTAGTTGTTCATAATGTTCTCTAATGATCTATTATATTATTGCATTGGAATCTATTTCTCCCTTTGTAGCTAATAATATTTGCTTTATATATCTAGGTGCTCTGGTATTGGGTACATATATGTTTAGAATAGTTATATCATCTTGCTGAATTGATCCCATTATTATATAATGACCTTATTTGTCTCTTTTTAAGGTCTTTGACTTAAAGTTTATTTTATCTAATATGAGTATAGCTACTGATGCTTGCTTTGGTTTTTATTTGCTTGAAATAGAATCTTTTTCAATCCCTTTACTTTCAGTTGTCTGTGTCTTTATAGGTGAGATGAGTTTCTCATAGGCAGCATATAGTTGGGTCATAATTTTTTATCTATTTGGCCAGCCTATATCTTTTATATTATATATGTGAGGGCTTATTCCCATAATTTTAGTAACTGATTTCTAATTGTTCTTTTCTCTTTTATTGTTTATCATTGTGGTTTGGCAGTATTCTGTGGTGGTAACATTTGAGTCTTTCCTTGCTTGTGTATTAGCTCTACCAGTGGTTTTTATTTTTGTGTGTGTTTTTGTGATGGTAGATACCATTCTTTCACTTCTGGGTGTAGGTCTCACTTAAACATTTCTTGTAGGTCTGGTCTAGTAGTGATGCATTCCCTCAGCTTTTGCTTGCCTGGAAAAGACTTTATTTTTTCTTTATTCATGAAGGATAACTTTGCTGGGTATAATATTCGTGCCCGCAGTTTTTTTCTCTTTCTTTCAGTACTTTGGATATATTATTCCATTCTCTCCTGGACTGTAGGATTTCTGCTGAGAAATCTGCTGTTACTCTGATGAGGATTCCTTTATAAATGCCCAGATGCTTTTCTCTTGCTGATTTTAGAATTCTTCTTTTTGTCTTTGGTTTTGACAGTTTGACTATAATGTGCTGTGGAGAAGACCTTCTTGAATTGTATCTATTTGAGGACCTCTGAGCCTCCTGTATCTGGATATCTAAATCTCTTGCTAGACTTGCAAAGTTTTCATCTATTATTTTATTAAATAGCTTTTCTAATTCTTTTGTTTTTTTTTCTTTGCTTTCTAGGACACAAAAAATCCAAATATTTGGTCCCTTTATGGTGTCCCATATGTCACATAGGCTTTGCTCATTCTTTTTTATTCTTTTTCCTTTATTTTCATCTGACTGAGTTATTTCAAAAGACCTACCTTCAATTTCTAAGATTCTTTCTTCTGCTTGATCTAGTTGTTCTGCTTGATCTATTGTTGAAGCTTTCATATGTATTTTGTATTTCATTATATACATTCTTCATTTCCAGAATTTCTATGTGGTTCTTTTTTACTATATCTATCTCTTTGGTAAATTTTCCATTCATATCCTGAATTGTTTTTCTGATTCCATTGTATTTTTTTCTCTTGTCTGTCACTGAGTTTCTTTAAAATCAATATTTTGAATTTTGGGGGGGGATTTCATAAATTCATAAATTTCTTTTTGATTGAGATCAGTTGTTGGAGAATTATGCTATTCCTTTGGAGGTTTCATATTTCCTTGCTTTTTTGTGTTTCTTATATTCTTACATTGATATCTGCACATCTGGTAACAGTCTCCAGATACCTTCCTGTGTAACAGTTGCTTCTTCCAGTTTTCTGAGTTTGCTTTCAGAGGGAAGGGCATTTTTCTTTCTTGTTTGAGACAGAGTCTCACTCTGTCACCCAGGCTGGAGTGCAGTGGCCTGATCTCGGGTCACTGCAAGCTCTGGGAAGGACATTTTTCTAAAGATGTATCTATAGTGTTGGTTGGGTAGGGTGCTTTGGCTTTGATTGTGGGTACATGTGGTAGTCTAGCCTCTGTGTGATTTCTTCAGCTGTAAACAAGGTCAGTGGTATCTACGATTTCCTCTTTGGCTTAGGGTGTGGTTCTTAGTGGAGGTTGTGATGAAGTTTTGCTGGGGACTGGAATGCCATGGCCAGTCCTTTAGCCCCATTGTTGGCAGCAGCAGTCTGAGCATGCCTGTCTTTGGGCACCAGAGCAGCATGTACTCACGCTAGTGTTGGTAAGTCCAGATGGGTTGATTCTTGGACCTCCAGGTGCCTTGCTTGGGTGCCAGGAGTGGCAGCAGTAGTTTGGGTGGTTAGGTAGGTTCTTGGGGCCCCTGGGCAGCAGGAAGTGTGGGTTATGGCAGTAGCAATGGTGGGACAACCCTCTGGGACCCAAGTGTTCTTGGTCCATGTTAAGGTGTGACTGGCTAAGTGGGCCAGTCCCCAGGCCTGCAGGTGGCACATGGGGGTGGGTGCCAGCTGTGGTTGTCATAGCAGTTAGGGTAGGCCTGACTTCAGAACCTGGGAGGAATGCTCAAGTACCAATGGTAGTGGACAGGGCTGGGCAATTCCCAGGCACCTGAATGGCATGCTTGAGTATTTAGGGGATGAAGCTGGGCTGGGCAGACCTGTCCTGAGGCCTCCTACTGGTGCATGCAGGAGCTTGCTCTGCTATGCTGTGGCAGGGTGATCTCCTAGGCACCAGTGGAATGGTTAGGTTGTGGCAGCAGTAGCTATACTGCAGCCCTGCTACTAGGGAGTACAGGATTGCTTTCAGTGAGAACAGCTATAGGCAGCCAGCCGGGGGGCACACACTTTACTTACACTTCAGCCTCACAGCAGCCTGCAGCTGCAGAAATTGTGGATTGTGGAATTTGTCCTTGGGGCATGTGAAGATGCTTGGCCACTCCTTTCCTGGGGGTGTGGGGTTGCTGCCAATGGCTCCTGACTCAACCCTGGCAGTAGTGGCTACAGATAGAAAATGTCAACTGGGCTCCAAAGATGTGGAGATGCAAGGGCTGTTGGTCCCCAGGGCAGGAAGCATTCTAATAGATATTGGGCTCCAAAAATGATGCCATGCTACAGCTGCTTAGTACTCAGGGGTTTGTAGGCCTCAGCATGAGCTCCCTCTCTGGAGTAATGCCATTGCAGTCTCCAGACAGCTCCCTGTGTTAGTCTCAGGTCCTGTATGGGTTGAGGTGCTCTCTTGTGGTTAGACTTGTTGGAGTCCACGGTGGGAGTTTGGGCCACTAGGGTCTCTTACTGACCCTTCACGGCATTAGGGAGCCTCTCCAGGCTTCCAGTTGATCCTGGCTGAGTAGGCCGCTGCACTTTCCTCTTCTTCCTTGGATTTGGTGCTTCCCATCAATTCTCTGTTGAATTCCAGTGCTTTCTCCTAAACAAAGTATTCAAAGTGTGATTATCCACTCACCATTTTGGTTTTTCTCCATGGAAGAGGTAAGTAACAGATGCATCTAGTCAGCCATCTTGAGCCCCTTCCTTTTGCACTAACCACTCCTATTCAACATTATTCTGGAGGTTGTAGCAAGGGCAGTTAGGCAAGAAAAGAAATAAAAAGAATTCCAATTGGAAAGAAAAAAATAAAACAATCTCCATGGCATGATCTTATGTATACAAAATTCTAATAAATACAAAAAAATTAGAACAAATAAATGAGTTTATCAAGGTTGCAGAATACACAATCAATATACAAAAACCAAGTGACTTATGTACACAAAAATCAATCTGAAAATGAAGTTAAATTTTGATTTACGATAGTATCAAAAAGTGAATTACTTAGCAATAAATTGAACAAAACAAGTGCAAGACTTGTATTCTAAAAATGACAAAACATACATGAAAGAAATTAAAGAAACCTGAAATAAGTAAAAAGACAATTCCTGCTCATGAATCAGAAGAGTTAATATTGTTAATATGGCAACACTTCCCAAATTGATCTGCAGATTCAATTCAATCCCTATCAGAAACCCAGCTGAGTTCATTTAGAAATTGAAGAACTGATTAGAAAATTCTTATGAAGTTGCAAGGCACTCAGAATAGTCAAAACAATATTGAAAAAAAAAGAACAAATTTGAGAACTCACACTTCTTGATTTCAAAACTTACTACAAAGATATAGTCATCAAGATTATGTAGTACTGGCATAAGGACAGATACATAGATCAATGAAGTAGAATGGAGAGTTCATAAATAAACCTATGCATCTATGATCAACTGATTTTTGACATGGGTACCAAGACCACTCAAGGGGCAGGGGAAGAATCATCTTTTCAATGCATGATACTGGGAAAACAGGATGGCCATATACAAAAAAAAAAAAAAAAGATAGACCCCCCACCTCATTCCATATACAAAAATAAATAAATGTAGGTTATAGACATAAATATAAGAGCTAGAACTACAAAGCTCTCAGAAGAAAACAGAAGTAAATAGTCAACAGGCACCTGAAAAGATGCTCAACATCATTAGTCATTTGGGAAATAAAAATTAAAACTACAATGAGAAATAACTTCATAGTCACTGAGATGGCTGTAATTAAAACAAGAAGTCTTAGTGAAGGTGTGGAGAAATTGGGATCCTCATAAATTGTTGGCGGGAATATGAAATAGTATACCCACTTTGCAAGTTTGGAAAATTTAGCAGTTCCTCAAAATGTTATAGAGTTATCATACGACCCATTACTTCCAGGTATATATAGGAATAGATTTAAGTATGTATATCTATGTCCTACATATATACCCAACAGAATTAAAAACATGGCTAAGAAAAACTTGTACACAAATATTCATAGCAGTATTATTCATAATAACCTAAAAGCAGAAACAACCCAATGTCCATCAACTGAAGAATGGATAAACAAAATGTGACAGTCATAAAATGAAATATTATTTTGCCATAAAAGTAAGTTAAGTTTTAGTAATATTCTACAGCATAGATAAACATTGAAATAATTATGTTAAGTGAAAGAAGCCAGACATAAATGGCCACATGTATGAATCATGCATAGCAGTATGACTTCATTTATATGAAATCTCCAGGATAGGCAAATTCATAGAGACAGGAAATAGATTAGTAGTTGCCAGAGGCTAGGGCAAGGAGGAAATGGGGAATGATTGCTAATAGATACGTGGTTTCCCTTTGGAGTGATTAAAATCTTCTGGAATTAGATAGCAGTGATCAATGCACATCCCTGTGAATATACTAAATACCATTGAATTATACATTTTTTTAAAAGCGAACTTTATGGTATGTGAATTGTATCCTAATAAAGCTATTATTAAAAATTTAATCAAGATAAGGTGAAAAATTTGAAGATATCAATAAAAATAGAAGAAACAGAAAAGTAGTCCAATAAATCAATAAATGGAGAGTAATGTGATTTTCTTCATAGAAAGATTTAGTATTATAAAGTTACAAAAGCATAATGTGTTCACAAATTAATAGGTAAATTCAGTGTAATCTCAATGAAAATTAATAACTTTGAAAAATGATCCCCTTCAAAATGATTCTAAAGTTCATCTGGAACAATAAATGGACAAGAATAACCAATAAAATTTTGAAACAAGAAAAATAAGAGTAGCTTGCTTCACCAGAACAAAACCTATTATGAAGTTAATGACTAGAGAGTAGAAAACTGGATCCAAGAAGACTATAATTATTTCATGATAAATGAACAATTGCTAAAGTTTTGGGACAAAATCATACCTCACAACATATGCAAAGCTAAATTCCATATAAATTAAATAAATACAAAAAACAAGACTATTAGAACAAAACATTGGAGAATATTTTTATAACCTTGGGATGGTTAAAACCCTCCTAAACTAGATTAAAAACAGGTGTAAAATGGGAAAAACAGATGTATCTAAATATATACAAATTAAAATTTTCTGTCCAATAAAAGGCACTAGAATAAACAAAGAAAATGCGGGAAATATTTGCAATGTACATAATAGGCAATATATTTCGGTAAGAGACCACTTCTTTTCTTTTTCTTTTTCTTTTTTTTTTTTTTTTTTGAGATGGAATTTCGCTCTTGGCACCGAGGCTGGAGTGCAATGGCGTGATCTCGGCTCACCGCAACCTCTGCCTCCTGGGGTCAAGCGATTCTTCTGCCTCAGCCTACTGAGTAGCTGGGATTACAGGCACCAGCCACGATGGCTGGCTACTGTTTTTTTGTATTTTTAGTACAGACGGGGTTTCACCATGTTGGCCAGGCTGGTCTTGAACTCCTGACCTCAGGTGGTCCACCCGCCTCGACCTCCCAAAGTGCTGGGATTACAGGTGTGAGCCACCGCGCCTGGCTGGCAATAGACCACTTCTACAAATCAGTAAGTAAAATAGGAACAAACTAAGAATAATGAGCAAGATATATGAACAAGCAATTCACAGATAAAAAAACACAGGTAGCTAATAATATGAAAAGACATTTAGCCTCTCTAGGCATTGTGGAAATGCATATTAAAATAATGAGATATTTTTGATATCAGATTGACTAAAAAATGTTATTTTAAGTTTGATACAACTCATGGTTGGAGATAGTGTGGAGGAATGAGTATTTTCATACGTGGTTGATAGAAGTTTAAATGATATAGCCTATTTAGATGGTAATTTGACATTATCTACCAAAAGTTCAAATATGCATACTTTTTGACTTAGTAATTTTACCTTTAAGAATGTAGCCTCTAAAAATACATGTTAATCTTAAGAACATCTCCCTCCAGAGAATAAGTGGTATTTAATAGTTTCCCTTGTGCAGAGAAACTGAGATTCCCAGGTGCAGAGAAACTAGGATCCTTATCAGTATTGATGGAAATGAAAACCACTTTATCACTATTTATCAAAAGTTCAAAAATTTCATGCTATCTAACCCAGTGAACTTCATTGCTGGGAATTCATCATGAGGAAGTTATCCTAACTGTGGTAAAAGCTTTCTGTCTAAAGATGTTCATAACACCATTATCCTTAATAGCTAAACATTTGAATTTATTTAAAAGTCCAAAATAGGGAAACATTAAATAAACCATGGCAAATCTGCTCAATAGACTATTATGACACCACTGAAAATGATGTTTACAATATTATTCACATAGAAAGTGCTTCTGAGATTATATTTTGCAAAATGTCAGTGTATTAGATTACATATGAGTTATCATTGCAGATGTCTTGGGCAAAATATTCATTGAATTCAAATGTCTACCACTTGGAAAGCCCTTTTCATATATCAGAACCAAGGCAGTCTACCCCTTTTGGCTGTTTCCCCATTCCCTGCCCCTGTCAGCAAGCTTTCTCCTGTGTCTGCATTTCCGAGTTTGCCCACACTGCCACCTGTTTCTTTGCTGTTTCTTGGCTTCTACCATTTCTTCCAGCATCTGCAGGGGCTCTCCTCTCTCACACCATCTTTGCCTTCATTCCCCAAGGCTTCAGGATACTAGGATACTAGACTTTTACTGAGCATTTAGAGATAATGGAGTGGAGGGTTGAAAATGGCACTGAAAGGAGTATCAGAATGAATGTACATTACTGTTGCTAGAACTCACTGTTCTCTCCCCTCAGTGGGATTCTGGTGCCAACTGTCAAAATAGTAATGTGTTTTTTCCTCCCAGTGAAAAAAATCATATGCATTTTGAGCTGGGGAAGTATATGATGGTTTCAATCAGTCATGCCTTCATGAGTGATTAAACAGCCAACCGCTCTGTTCTCTGAAGTTGGGCCCAGGTTCAGCTAGAAGGATTAGCACTGTTTGCTGCAGCCTGGGGAGCACCTCAAGTCAGCCATCTTAGTCAGATTAGTGTTAACATTCTGTGATTAAATAGGGCTATATGCTGAGCCCATTTCCACAGGCCAGAGAGGAAATCAAATTCTCCAGCCTTAGAATAGGGACAGCTTGTGTTGTGCCAGAACCATATTAGACAAAATAAAACAAAATTGTATTTGCTTTTCTGCGAAATGATGCTGCCCTCATATCCACGTGCTGGAAGAAAGATGAGTCTTGTGGCCCTGTGCCCTGGTCAGCCATGTCCACAGGCTGCAGCCAGTGGTCAAGGACAGGACAGGAAATGACCTTAAGATGCCCACCACAGTTTGCTGCTGGAGAGGAGAGCCGCCAGTGTCTTCAGGATATTTAAAGGGGCTGCAATCTTATTAAGCTCCTGTTAATAAGCACAACTTCCTTATTTATTAGGATAAAGTGGCCTGGGATTAGAGAGAGAACCTAGTCTTTAGCACTCAGCAAATAGAAAAATAGAAAAAACATTTTTTTTTTCTGAATTATCCCACAGCTGTGAACCCAGGATTAACTATTTTACTGTCACAGTGTTGACTTCAACTGTGATGTACCAAGCTCATTTCTGACTGTTTATTTCTGTCTCAATTCTTGATTTTTAAAATTGTTGCTAACTGATTATTGAGAAAACCGTAGTTGCAAATATCAAACTTCCTTTCCAAATAGTGGCTTAGGCACATTTGAGAAGAAAAATTCCACCCTCATTTTTCTTTGTGGTAGAAAGCAAATGTCCTTGGATTTTAGAAGATCTGTTGATTGAGTCCATCACATTTTCTAGCCTTTTCTAGGATGAAGCTTACCCTTTCAGGTAGAAAAGCCTGAAGAATGTCTCTCTTCTTCCCTGAGAATCCCTGTTTATTCCTTGTCACAGCCTGGTTTGGGACTGAGTGCGAGTCAGAGTGAGACCTCTTTCACCCCAGGGGCCATGTCCCTGTGAACAGAGTTCCCCTGCAGAGCTTAAATTAGCAGTAAACACTCAGGGAGACAGCCAGAGGTAGTGGCCCTGCAGGCAGGCACCACCCCATCATCGGACAGTTCATGATTTGGCATATTGTGGCTGGGGAGGTGAAGCAGGTAACAGAATAGAAGAGAGAATTTCTGCAGCTCAATTGGGAGAGGCAAAACATGTGAGCTGACTCAGACCATCAGAGCATGGGATAGAGCTCTGGTCAGGAAAGAGAGCTCCAGATTTGAGTGTGGGGCCTGGTGCCAGGTTGGTGGCCTGCTAGGGAAAGCTAATGCCATGCAAACTTGTGTGCTGAGCAGTTGGTAGTGAAGCCTCTACAGCCAGCATGAGTTTTCCTTTTTGCTGAACATGTCTAAGAAAATACTCATAAGTATTACTTAGTACTTATTTATTTATTTAAACAAAGAATATCCAAATTGCTCTCTACCTAGGAAGGTGGAAGGTCAATAGGTCCAGCAAGGAACTTGGGCTAGGTAAATGGAGGAACTTATTTCCTTTCCATTCCTGGAGGCCTTAGCTGAGCTTGGCTGTCTTGGAATGCCTCCAAGTCTGAGGTGGCAATTTGCAGAACATATTGACAGGCTCAGTGCTGAAAAAATTATACATTATAAAATTATAATGCCCATCATGTATTAAGCACTCAAAAAGACTCTAGGAGGCCCATTATTTATTCACATTTTACACGTGAGAAAACTGAGGCAGAGACAATGAGGTAAACCACCTGCCTAACATTATACAGCTGGTGGAGCAGAGAGTTGGCTGTAGATGCCAGGCCTCAAGTGCAAGGAAGACAGTGGGAGGCCCGTTCCTGCCTTTTCAGGGTTTCTTCTAAGATCTTGAAACCCTGAGGGTATAATGGCTGATTTTCCAGATGGCAGTGACAGGGAAAATGTGGATTCATTGGCTCCAATGTTCTATCTTCTGTTTTTTTCATAGTCCAAATATTATAGTTTGGTTCTGTGACAACATCTCCATTGTTACTATGAGGGCCTTTCTCAAGGTATAGAAGGTATTTACACATCACTGTTTCAAACAGTACTCAAAATGCACTTTTATTTAGTTTGCTATCTGATTGTTCATCCAAGCCCAGAGTATTTATCTGGATCAGGTTCATCTGACAACTCCAGAGTGATTTTTCCACCCCTACGTGCTCCAAATCCCTTACGCTAGGAGTTTTATTTTTCTGTCACCTGTTTGTTGGCTCAGTTTTCTCAGAACTTTGTTTCTCAGAGCAAGAGTGACTCATGCTATGCTAAGTCAGCAGAGCAGCAAGAGAGAGGCAGGCATAGTCAAACCTGGAGTCTGGCCCTGTCAGGGAAGATGGCTCTGGGGAAACTGGTGTCAGACAAACAATGTGTGGGGCCCATGGTATGAAAGCCACAGGGATCGGAAAATTAGAATACAGTATGATGCAAGCTGTCATGGAGATCAGCTCAGCACAGTGGAAGTTCCAACACCCACTCTCTCATAGCACCCTATGCTTTTCTTTCTTCATACTTGACAGTATGTGATGAGTATACATGTTTAATGATTTGTTAAATGTATGTTGTTTTCATTAGACTGTGAGCTCAATGAGGGCAAAAATCTTGTCTGCTTTATTCACAGCTGTATAACCAAGGCCTAGCACTGTGCCTGGCATATGATAACTAAAGATTATTAATTGAATAAATAAATGAATGAATGGCAACCATTCTACCCTGTGAAGTCCCAAGGACTGCCTCTCACAGAAGATGTGCTAAATGTTGTAGGGTGGATAGTAAAGATCATGTGGATCAGGTGGGAAGAGAGAATCAGTAAGGGATTTATAGGCAAAGGAAGTCACAAGTGGCTTCTGATTTCTGCGCAATAAATTTATATTTAGTAGAGAATCTTGTATTTTCAATATAAGATACTAAAATGAAGTAAAGGAAAAGATCAATGAATTTGACTATACCAAAATGAAAAATGTTGGTATTTTACATTGTGCCATAAACAAAAGACACAACACATTGGAAGTAAACGATTACAATGTGTATAATAGGTAAATGACTTGTATTATATATATGTATAAAATAATTCTTAATAAAACAATTCTTACAAGTCAGTAAGTAAGAGACAAACAACTTACTAAAAAAATGGTTGAGAGGCCAGGCATGTTGACAGCACACCTGTAATTCCAGCACTTTGGGAGGCCAAGGCAGGAGGATCACTTGAGGCCAGGAGTTTGAGACTAGCCTGAGAAACATAGCAGGACCCCGTCTCTATAAAAAATTAAAAAATTAGCCAAGCATAATGAAATCAGCTATAAGGCAGGCTAAGGAAGGAAGATCCCTTGAGCTTAGGAATTCAAGGCTGCAGTGAGCTATGATTATGCCACTGCACTCCAGCCTGGGTGACAGAGCATGACTTTGTCTCAGATTTTAAAATAAAATAATAAAATAAAAATAAATTTATTTGAAAACTGAGTGGGAGAGGTAACATTAGTGATCACTGAAAATGGAAAAAAAAAGTGCGTCTTTAGTAATAATCAGGGAATTGCAAATTCAAACAATGAGATACCATTTTCATTTTTTTGGAATAAAAATTTTTAAAAGATTGTTAATGTTCAGTGTTACTGAGGGCCTAAGGAGACAGGTACTGTCATACACTACTTGAAGAAGTGTAAATTGGTGCAATCACTTTAAGAAGTAATTTGGCAGTACCTATTAAAAAATTAAAAGTTCCATCTAGCAATTCCACTTCTCAAAAGCTAATAGTCAAGAAACGCTCCTGTGCCAATGAGGCAGATGCAAAGGTAGTCATTAACAATATTTGTATTAGTAAACAACCTACAGGTTCACCTGTGAAAGAAGGAAATAGAATGAAGTGGATTTATAGGTACTGACATGATTAGAAATCCAATGTACACTGTTGAGTGGGGGAAAAGTGACTAATAGAAATACTGAAATTTTTATATAAAGAGCAATTTGTACAAAATAATACTTTATATTAGATATTTTCTATACATACATATGCAAATGCAAAGAAGTAATGAAAGAATGTACCAAATTGCTAACTGTGATCACGTCTGCAGAGGGAAAGAGGACTAGGAATGAAGATGGTAGTCAAAGGAGACTTTTCACTTCTCTATAATGTTTCAGCTTTAAAAAAAATTATATGCATTACTTATGGTATTAAATACTTAAAAATATACTTATCTGCCATAAGCATTTCATTGTCCTGTGTCCATTTGGAAGGGGGATATCCTTACATTAAAGCAGGGGTTTTGATCAGAGTTCTCATCTTTTTAGGAAGATGGCAACATTACTTCCTTTGTTTGGTTGAACATCAAAATACATTCCAGGTTCTTGTGAGAAAATAGAACTTTGAGTTCTTCATCAGCCAATGCTTATTGAAAATTTAATTTTGAGAGACAACAGTCACAGAACATTGCATAGAAGACATACAAGCCATCTATTCTTCAGATGGTTTGTATTTTATTCTTAGCTCTAGTTTGATTATCAGAGCACTTATCCTGGATCACATTGTTTTTGCCTATGTAAAGTTGCTTCAGTTTTTGTCATTGTTCGGTAGTGAGGTCATGGAATTTATGATTGTATCTAATACTGGGTTGTTATTAAAGACACTATCTGATACACTTCATGATCATCCCCTTTTAAAATCTTGGGAAAATTGTTTTCCTGTCTCAGTAACAAAACCAGAATTTGCTTCCCCAGAGCAGTTGGTTTATGAATATTTTACCTGATTGTGTTCTTAACTTTGCCTTACCAGCTATGAAGCACAGATTCAAATTGTAGCCTTCTTCTGGCACCCAAATTAATTCACATTTGCATGCATTTTGTGAATTATTTTTACTTTTGATTTAAAACTTATTTTGCCTGCCTTGATTTTCCTTTTATTCTAGTTTCATCACCTATAGTAAACTATTCTGTAGACTATTTTAAAAGTGCATTTTTAGAAACTGCTTTAACTGTTTTTGTGTTTTTAAAATTAAACAGAAGGATAAAATGAATAAAATAAAACCTCTCTTTTATTGGAACCATAAAAATAATCTAAAAAATTAGCACATTGCTGTTAGACAAAACAAACACACAACCACAAAAAACACCAATGTGAATAGGAACTGATTTGATAACTTTTCAAAGATCTCACAATTTTGTGTTCATCCACATATACTAGTTATGGGTCTTGGTTTCTGTTGGAAATAGCTCAAATCCAGTAGATGTTCCTCTTCCTCAATACAAGTTTTTTTTTTGTTTTTTTGTTTTTTTTTTTAAGGAGGCCAATCACTGGAGAAGAACAACGATAAGTGTAGTGGATTGAATGGCAGCCTCCAAAAAGATTGAATGGCTGACATAAATGGAAATGAAGAAGAGACACTAAAACACTGACTCAAGAAGCTTAATAAAGCCCAAACAACATAAATAAAAAGAAATCCATATCTACACACATTATCATGTAACTTTAGAATTTCAAAGACAAAGAGAAGATTTTAAAAGAAGCCAGAGGCCAGGCGTGGTGGCTCACACCTGTAATCCCAACATGTTGGGAGGCTGAGACAGGCAGAACACGAAGTCAAGAGATCAAGATCATCCTGGCCAACATGGTGAAACCCCATCTCTACTAAAAATACAAAAATTAGCTGGGCGTGGCAGCGCATGCCTGTAGTCCCAGCTACTTGAGAGGCTGAGGCAGGAGAGTTGCTTGAAACGGGGAGGCAGAGGCTGCAGTGAGCCAAGATTGCACCACTGCACTCCAGCCTGGGTGACAGAGCGAGACTCCATCTCATAAAAAAAAAAACAGAGGGTGGAGCCAAGATGGCCGAATAGGAACAGCTCCAGTCTACAGCTCCCAGCGTGAGCAATGCAGAAGACGGGTGATTTCTGCATTTCCAACTGAGGTAACGGGTTCATCTCACTGGGGAGTGCCGGACAGTGGGTGCAGTGCATCGTGCATGAGCCGAAGCAGGGTGAGGCATTGCCTGTCCCGGGAAGTGCAAGGGGTCAGGGAATTCCCTTTCCTAGTCAAAGAAAGGGGTGACAGACTGCACCTGGAAAATTGGGTCACTCCCACCCTAATACTGGGCTTTTCCAATGGGCTTAACAAACGGCACACCAGGAGATTATATCCCGCACCTGGCTCGGAGGGTCCTACACCCACGGAGCCTTGCTCATTGCTAGCTCAGCAGTCTGAGATCAAACTGCAAGGTGGCAGCGAGGCTGGGGGAGGGGTGCCCACCATTGCTTAGTCTTGAGTAGGTAAACAAAGTGGCCAGGAAGCTTGAACTAGGTGGAGCCCACCACAGCTCAAGGAGGCCTGCCTGCCTCTGTAGGCTCCACCTCTGGGGCAGGGCACAGACAAACAAAAAGACCGCAGTAACCTCTGCAGACTTAAATGTCCCTGTCTGACAGCTTTGAAGAGAGTAGTGGTTCTCCCAGCATGCAGCTTGAGATCTGAGAACGGGCAGACTGCCTCCTCAACTGGGTCCCTGACCCCCGAGTAGCCTAACTGGGAGGCACCCCCCAGTAGGGGCGGACTGACACCCCACATGGCCGGGTACTCCTCTGAGACAAAACTTCCAGAGGAACGATCAGGCAGCAGCATTTGCGGTTCACCAATATCCACTGTTCTGCAGCCATCGCTGCTGATACCCAGGCAAACAGGGTCTGGAGTGGACCTCCAGTAAACTCCAACAGACCTGCAGCTGAGAGTCCTGACTGTGAGAAGGAAAACCAGCAAACAGAAAGGACATCCACACCAAAAAACCCATCCCTATGTCACCATCATCAAAGACCACAAGTAGATACAATCACAAAGACGGGGAAAAAAACAGAGCAGAAAAACCGGAAACTAAAAATCAGAGCACCTCTCCTCCTCCAAAGGAATGCAGCTCCTCACCAGCAATGGAACAAAGCTGGACAGAGAATGACTTTGACGAGCTGAGAGAGGAAGGCTTCAGAAGATCAAACTACTCCAAGCTGAAGGAGGAAGTTCGAACCAATGTCAAAGAAGTTAAAAACTTTGAAAAAAAAATTAGACGAATGGATAACTAGAATAATTAATGCACAGAAGTCCTTAAAGGACCTGATGGAGCTGAAAACCACGGCACGAGAACTACGTGACGAATGCACAAGCCTCAGTAACCGATGCGATCAACTGGAAGAAAGGGTATCAGCGATGGAAGATGAAATGAATGAAATGAAGTGTGAAGAGAAGTTTAGAGAAAAAAGAATAAAAAGAAACAAACAAAGCCTCCAAGAAATATGGGACTATGTGAAAAGACCAAATCTACGTCTAATTGGTGTACCTGAAAGTGACGGGGAGAATGGAACCAAGTTGGAAAACACTCTGCAAGATATTATCCAGGAGAACGTCCCCAATCTAGCAAAGCAGGCCAACATTCAAATTCAGGAAATACAGAGAACGCCACAAAGATACTCCTCGAGAAGAGCAACTCCAAGACACATAATGTCAGATTCACCAAAGTTGAAATGAAGGAAAAAATGTTAAGGGCAGCCAAAGAGAAAGGTCGGGTTACCCACAAAGGGAAGCCCATCAGACTAACAGCTGATCTCTTGGCAGAAACTCTACAAGCCAGAAGAGAGTGGGGGCCAATATTCAACATTCTTAAAGAAAAGAATTTTCAACCCAGAATTTCATATCCAGCCAAACTAGGCTTCATAAGTGAAGGAGAAATAAAATCCTTTACAGACAATCAAATGCTGAGAGATTTTGTCACCACCAGGCCTGCCCTAAAAGAGCTCCTGAGGGAAGCATTAAACATGGAAAGGAACAACTGGTACCAGCCACTGCAAAAATACGCCAAATTGTAAAGACCATTAAGGCTAGGAAGAAACTGCATCAACTAACGAGCAAAATAACCAGCTAACATCATAATGACAGGATCAAATTCACACATAACAATACTAACCTTAAATGTAAATGGGCTAAGTGCTCCAATTAAAAGACACAGACTGGCAAATTGTATAAAGAGTCAAGACCCATCAGTGTGCTGTATTTAGGAAACCCATCTCATGTGCAGAGACACACATAGGCTCAAAATAAAGGGATGGAGGAAGATCTACCAAGCAAATGGAAAACAAAAAAAGGCAGGGGTTGCAATCCTAGTCTCTGATAAAACAGACTTTAAACCAACAAAGATCAAAAGAGACGAAGAAGGCCATTACATAATGCTAAAGGGATCAATTCAACAAGAAGAACTAACTATCCTAAATATATATGCACCCAATACAGGAGCACCCAGATTCATAAAGCAAGTCCTTAGTGACGTACAAAGAGACTTAGACTCCCACACAATAATAGTGGGAGACTTTAACACCCCACTGTCAACATTAGACAGATCAACGAGACAGAAAGTTAACAAGGATATTCAGGAATTAAACTCAGCTCTGCACCAAGCGGACCTAATAGACATCTACAGAACTCTCCACCCCAAATCAACAGAATATACATTCTTCTCAGCACCACACCACACCTATTCCAAAATTGATCACATAGTTGGAAATAAAGCACTCCTCAGCAAATGTAAAAGAACAGAAATTATAACAAACTGTCTCTCAGACCATAGTGCAATCAAACTAGAACTCAGGATTAAGAAACTCACTCAAAACCATTCAACTAATGGAAACTGAACAACCTGCTCCTGAATGACTACCGGGTACATAATGAAATGAAGGCAGAAATAAAGATGTTCTTTGAAACCAACGAGAACAAAGACACAACATACCAGAATCTCTGGGACACATTTAAAGCAGTGTGTAGAGGGAAATTTATAGCACTAAATGCCCACAAGAGAAAGCAGGAAAGATCTAAAATTGACACCCTAACATCACAATTAAAAGAACTAGAGAAGCAAGAGCAAACTCATTAAAAAGCTAGCAGAAGGCAAGAAATAACTAAGATCAGAGCATAACTGAAGGAAATAGAGGCACAAAAAACCCTTCAAAAAATCAACGAATCCAGGAGCTGTTTTTTTTTGAAAAGATCAACAAAATTGATAGACCACTAGCAAGACTAATAAAGAAGAAAAGAGAGAAGAATCAAATAGATGCAATAAAAAATGACAAAGGGGATATCACCACCAATCCCACAGAAATACAAACTACCATCAGAGAATATCATAAACACCTCTACGCAAATAAACTAGAAAATCTAGAAGAAATGGATAAATTCCTGGACACATACACTCTCCCAAGACTAAACCAGGAAGAAGTTGAATCTCTGAATAGACCAATAACGGGCTCTGAAATTGAGGCAATAATTAATAGCTTACCAACCAAAAAAAGTCCAGGAACAGATGGATTCACAGCCGAATTCTACCAGAGGTACAAGGAGGAGCTGGTACCATTCCTTCTGAAACTATTCCAATCAATAGAAAAAGAGGGAATCCTCCCTAACTCATTTTATGAGGCCAGCATCATCCTGATACCAAAGCCTGGCAGAGACACAACAAAAAAAGAGAATTTTAGACCAATATCCTTGATGAACATTGATGCAAAAATCCTCAATAAAATACTGGCAAACCGAATCCAGCAACACATCAAAAAGCTTATCCACCATGATCACGTGGGCTTCATCCCTGGCATGCAAGGCTGGATCAACATACGAAAATCAATAAATGTAATCCAGCATATAAACAGAACCAAAGACAAAAACCACATGATTATCTCAATAGATGCAGAAAAGGCCTTTGACAAAATTCAACAACTCTTCAAGCTAAAAACTCTCAATAAATTAGGTATTGATGGGATGTATCTCAAAATAATAAGAGCTATCTATGACAAACCCACAGCCAATATCATACGGAATGGACAAAAACTGGAAGCATTCCCTTTGAAAACTGGCACAAGACAGGGATGCCCTCTCTCACCACTCCTATTCAACATAGTGTTGGAAATTCTGGCCAGGGCAATCAGGCAGGAGAAGGAAATAAAGGGTATTCATTTAGGAAAAGAGGAAGTCAAATAGTCCCTGTTTGCAGATGACATGATTGTATATCTAGAAAACCCCATCGTCTCAGCCCAAAATCTCCTCAAGCTGATAAGCAACTTCAGCAAACTCTCAGGATACAAAATCAATGTGCAAAAATCACAAGCATTCTTATACACCAATAACAGACAAACAGAGAGCCAAATCAAGAGTGAACTTCCATTCACTATTGCTTCAAAGAGAATAAAATACCTAGCAATCCAACTTGCAAGGGATGTGTAGGACCTCTTCAAGAACTACAAACCACTGCTCAATGAAATAAAAGAGGATACAAACAAACAAACAAATGGAAGAACATTCCATGCTCATGGGTAGGAAGAAGCAATATTGTGAAAATGGCCATACTGCCCAAGGTAATTTATAGATTCAATGCTATCCCCATCAAGCTACCAATGACTTTCTTCAAAGAATTGGAAAAAACTACTTTAAAGTTCATATGGAACCAAAAAGGAGCCCACATTGCCAAGTCAATCCTAAGCCAAAAGAACAAAGCTGGAGGCATCACACTACCTGACTTCAAACTATACTACAAGGCTACAGTAACCAAAACAGCATGGTGCTGGTACCAAAACAGAGGTATAGACCAATGGAACAGAACAGAGCCCTCAGAAATAATGCCGCATATCTACAACTATCTGAGCTTTGACAAACCTGACAAAAACAAGAAATGGGGAAAGGATTCCCTATTTAATAAATGGTGCTGGGAAAACTGACTAGCCATATGTAGAAAGCTGAAACTGGATCCCTTCCTTACACCTTATACAAAAATTAATTCAAGATGGATTAAAGACTTACATGTTAGACCTAAAACCATGAAAACCCTAGAAGAAAACCTAGGCAATACCATTCAGGACATAGGCATGGGCAAGGACTTCATGTCTAAAACACCAAAAGCAATGGCAACAAAAGCCAAAATTGACAAATGGGATCTAATTAAACTAAAGAGCTTCTGCACAGTGAAAGAAACTACCATCAGAGTGAACAGGCAACCTACAGAATGGGAGAAAATTTTTGCAACCTGCTCATCTGACAAAGGGCTAATATCCAGAATCTACAATGAATTCAAACAAATTTACAAGAAAAAAACAAACAACCCCATCAAAACGTGGGTGAAGGATATGAGCAGACACTTCTCAAAAGAAGACATTTATGCAGCCAAAAGACACATGAAAAAATGCTCATCATCACTGGCCATCAGAGAAATGCAAATCAAAACCACAATGAGATACCATCTCACACCAATTAGAATGGCAATCATTAAAAAGTCAGGAAACAACAGGTGCTGGAGAGGATGGGGAGAAATAGGAACACTTTTACACTGTTGGTGGGACTGTAAACTAGTTCAACCATTGTGGAAGTCAGTGTGGCAATTCCTCAGGGATTTAGAACTAGAAATACCATTTGACCCAGCCATCCCATTACTGGGTATATACCCGAAGGATTATAAATCATGCTGCTATAAAGACACATGCACACGTATGTTTATTGTGGCACTATTCACAATAGCAAAGACTTGGAACCAACCCAAATGTCCAACAAAGATAGACTGGATTAAGAAAATGTGGCACATATACACCATGGAATACTATGCAGCCATAAAAAATGGTGAGTTCATGTCCTTTGTAGGGACATAGATGAAGCTGGAAACCATCATTCTCAGCAAACTATGGCAAGGACAAAAAACCAAACACCGCATGTTCTCACTCATAGGTGGGAATTGAACAATGAGAACACATGGACACAGGAAGGGGAACATCACACACTGGGGCCTGTTGTGGGGTGGGGGGAGGGGGGAGAGGGAGGGATAGCATGAGGAGATATACCTAATGCTAAATGACGAGTTAATGGGTGCAGCACACCAACATGGCACATGTATACGTATGTAACAAACCTGCACGTTGTGCACATGTACCCTAAAACTAAAAGTATAATAATAATAATAAAAAGAAAAAGAAAAAGAAAAAAGACAGATTGCTTTCAAAGAAGTAACAACTTGTCAGTTGGCTTCTTCATAATGAGGAGTGCTAAAAGACAGTGGAATAATAACCTTCAATGCACTGAGAAAATAATTGCCAACATACAATTTTACACCTGTCATGAATAGGGTAAATACAAACTAAGAGATTTTTCCAACAGCAGACCCTCCCTAAAAGAATTTCTAACGTGTATACTCCGTATATAGGCAGAAAATAATCCTACAGAGAAAGGCTGTAATGTAAAAAGGAATAAAGTGCAGTGAAGAGTAAATATGTGGGTAAATTTAAGGGAAATGAATCAAATCAAGGAATAATGATGTTGTTATTGTTAGCAGAAGAAAAGATATTTAAATACATGAAAAAATAATATGTAAGTTGGAAGGAGTTTAAATGATATTAAAATGTTCTGTGGACCTTGTTCAATAAGAGATAGTGATTAATTGTAGACTTCCATAAGTTAAGCTTGTATGTGGTAATTTCTATAGAAGCCTTTCAAATAATGGAAAGAGAATGTTTAATTTCACACCTAGTGGAGGAAAAAAACTAGTATGTTTTAAAACAATCTAAAAAAAGGCAATAAAAAAAGAGAAAACACACATGGAACAGGTGAGACAAATAAAAAGCATAAAATAAAATGATAGATTTAAGCAGAAATGTATCTGCAATTATAATAAACATAATAATAACTAATAAACAGGTGGTATGGTTTGAATATGTCCTCCAAAGTTTATGTGTTAGAAACTTAATTATCAATGCAACAGTGTTGAGAGGTGGGACCTGAACTTTAAGAGGTGATTAAGTTATGAGGGCTCTGCCCTCATAAATGGATTATGTCATGATTGCAGGAGTGGGTTCATTATTGTGAGAGTGAGTTCTTCATAAAAGCAGATTTGCCCCCTTCTCTCTCTCTCTGTCTCATGCATGTTTGTGCCTGTGTGCTTGTGTGCTCTCTTGCCTTTCCACCTTCCACCATGGGATGACACAGCAAGAAGTCCCTTGCCAGATGAGGGCACCTCAGCCTGGGACTTCCCAGCCTCCAGAACTGGAAGAGATAAATCTCTAATTTTTATGAATTTCCCAGTCTCAGGTATTCTATCAGGTATTCAGTACAAAACAAACTAATACACTTATCCCATTGATACTGTAAAGCCCACTTCTGACATAGAATTTGATACTGTCATTCCTGCCTAGAGATAACAGATATTACTGGATTTTCAATAAACCTTATTCCCCTCCTACCAGGTCCTACAGCTCCTTTGGCATATTTTCTCTCTCTTCCCTTAGCAAGCCTCATACTTCCTCAATCAGGTTTTGCTGATTTTTTTTTCCCTTTCTAACTTTTATTTTAGGTTTGGGGGTACATGTGCAGGTTTGTTATATGGGTAAATTGCATGTCTTGGGGATTTGGCATACAGATTATTTCATCACTTTTTGCATCATTAATAGAAATGATGCAACTATGTGCATCATTTCTATTAATGCACATAGAACCCGATAGATAGTTTTTTGATTCTCACCCTCTTCCCACCCTCCATTCTTAAAAATGTTTCTGGAGGCCAGATGAAAGGTTAGGGCAGATCCTGAGTAGGGTAAGTATTACCTTATAAATAGGGATGCCAGATTTAGCAATAAAAAAACAGGATACAGGAGATTATGATACTGTAATAATTCATGAAAATTTAATAATTATTCACAGTTTATCTGAAATTAAAATTTAACTGGGCATCTTGCATTTTATCTGGCAACTTTATTTGCAAAGCATTGCCTTGTTTGATACCTCTTAATAGCCTTCAAGAAATAGAAGGTCTCTATCTAACAAGGGAGAGTTGGTCACTTCTGCAGACCGAGGGGTTTAGGCAACTAAAAATTCTTACTAAAATCCTCAACCTGATCTTCAGTTGTGCAGCTCTCCTGCTGCAGGAAATGAGTGTCTTTAAATGCTTCCAAGGAGATACTTTGACTCTCACAGTTTGCTTAAACTTTTTTTTTAATTATTATACTTTAAGTTTTAGGGTACATGTGCACAATGTGCAGGTTAGTTACATATGTATACATGTGCCATGCTGGTGCGCTGCACCCACTAACTCGTCATCTAGCATTAGATATATCTCCCAATGCTATCCCTCCCCCCTCCCCCCACCCCACAACAGTCCCCAGAGTGTGATGTTCCCCTTCCTGTGTCCATGTGTTCTCATTGTTCAATTCCCACCTATGAGTGAGAATATGCGGTGTTTGGTTTTTCGTTCTTGCGATAGTCTACTGAGAATGATGATTTCCAATTTCATCCATGTCCCTACAAAGGACATGAACTCATCATTTTTTATGGCTGCATAGTATTCCATGGTGTATATGTGCCACATTTTCTTAATCCAGTCTATCATTGTTGGACATTTGGGTTGGTTCCAAGTCTTTGCTATTGTGAATAATGCCACAATAAACATACGTGTGCATGTGTCTTTATAGCAGCATGATTTATAGTCCTTTGGGTATATACCCAGTAATGGGATGGCTGGGTCAAATGGTATTTCTAGTTCTAGATCCCTGAGGAATCGCCACACTGACTTCCACAATGGTTGAACTAGTTTACAGTCCCACCAACAGTGTAAAAGTGTTCCTATTTCTCCACATCCTCTCCAGCACCTGTTGTTTCCTGACTTTTTAATGATTGCCATTCTAACTGATGTGAGATGGTATCTCATTGTGGTTTTGATTTGCATTTGTCTGATGGCCAGTGATGGTGAGCATTTTTTCATGTGTTTTTGGCTGCATAAATGTCTTCTTTTGAGACTTCAAACTATACTACAAGGCTACAGTAACCAAAACAGCATGGTACTGGTACCAAAACAGAGATATAGATAAATGGAACAGAACAGAGCCCTCAGAAATAACGCTGCATATCTACAACTATCTGATCTTTGACAAACCTGACAAAAACAAGCAATGGGGAAAGGATTCCCTGTTTAATAAATGGTGCTGGGAAAACTGGCTAGCCATATGTAGAAAGCTGAAACTGGATCCCTTCCTTACACCTTATACAAAAATCAATTCGAGATGGATTAAAGACTTAAACGTTAGACCTAAAACCATAAAAACCTTAGAAGAAAACCTAGACATTACCATTCAGGACATAGGCAAGGGCAAGGACTTCATGTGTAAAACACCAAAAGCAATGGCAACAAAAGCCAAAACTGACAAATGGGATCTAATTAAACTAAAGAGCTTTTGCACAGCAAAAGAAACTACCATCAGAGTGAACAGGCAACCTACAAAATGGGAGAAAATTTTCACAACCTACTCATCTGACAAATGGCTAATATCGAGAATCTACAATGAACTCAAACAAATTTACAAGAAAAAAACAAACAACCCCATCAAAAAGTGGACGAAGGACATGAACAAACTTTTTTTTTTTTGAGACTCACTCTGTGGCCTAGGCTGGAGTGCAGTGGCACGATCTCAGCTCAATGCAACCTCTACCTCCCAGGTTCAAGCGATTCTCCTACCTCAGCCTCCTGAATAGCTGGGATTACAGGCACCTGCCACCACAACAGGTTAATTTTTTGTGTTTTTAGTAGAGATTCGGTCTCACCATGTTGGCCAAGCTGGTCTTGACCTCCTGACCTCAAATGATTCACCCTCCTCGGCCTCCCAAAGCGCTGGAATTACAGGCGTGAGCCACTGCACCTGGCCTTAAAGTTGTTGATTAATAGATCTGAGCCTGAGATTTTTCTTTCTGCCATGAATCAATAATAATTAACAATAGCTATCCAATTCCACAATCCTTTCTTGCAGGTACTATTACCCTACAAGCCCCAACTGCCTGAGGCAGTAGTTTCTAAACTTGTCAGCACATAGGAATAAACTGGGAGTGTCTAAAAATACCGGTGCCAGTGTCCTAAACCCAGAGATTGTAATGTAATTAGTCTTAGGTGTGGTCTGGGCCTAGGAATTTTTAAGTTTCCCAGGTGACTTTAATGTGCAGATCACTGAAACCACTAGCCTAGGATATTGTACCAGTTAGCGAATCCCCTTGCACCTGTATCCCGTTACAGCTCACTACAGGTAAAAGCCTTAAAAATCCACTTTCACAGTGTCTTAGTCCTTTTCTGTTGCCACAAAAATGCTTTTTGGTGTGTGGCATGCAGCATCCAGGCAGTATCAGCACCTGGTCCTACTGTTATCCAGCTGGTGAGTAATCCAACGACAAAATCCTCCACTTACTGTCTGCTTCCTAGGACCCTTCCTGGTATCAACTTTCTTAGGTAGGCTTCCCTAGAAGCAGAACCTAAGGCAGGTAATCTTATCCAAGTGATATGTGTGGAACACTCTCAAGAAAAGAGAGTGAGGAAGGCAGGACAGGGTAAGGATGAAAGCAAGAATGTGGTCTTAGCTGGTGACTAGCTTTAGTGCCTGATCCTGGGGCAACTCTGGAACACAAATTCTACTACAGAGTTATCCCTACCTTGAGGCAAGGGGGTGACCTTTTGTACCCCTACATCAGTTAATCATTGGCTGAGGTCTGTCCCTAGAGGGGTGATGGAGGGCTGGAGTATAGCTTCTTAGCCAGGGCCAGGACTAGGGTGAAGTGAGCAGGGTAAAATTTGAAAGAAAGTAAAAAAACTCAACAATCAAGATTAATACGATTTTAATGCAATATATTAAATAAAAATGAATTTAAAAATTCATGATGAACACAATAAAGTTTTAAATAAAGATAGAATTAGGGGAAGGGGTTCTTATTTGGTCAAGGACAAGTCTTACAAAGAGAGCAACTGTAGGTTGTTAACAGTCAACACAGCATCTGGGGGATGGATGCCTTGGCCAGGTAAGGGTGGGGAAACAACAATATCTATTATACCACCTTTCCCCCATTCTATTTATTTAATTTTGGGTTAACTCTATTCTCCTAGGATTTGGGGGAGGGAGCAGAAGAGAAAAATACTTGGTCTTTTTAATAAAGTCAAAAATCTCTGGCCATGGTGATGGCTTTAGGGATGAACTTGTGACCCAAATGAGCCCAATCTGCATCCTCCTCAAGGATGTTTTTGCTGGAGGTAACAGAAAAGATGCTGCAGACAACATACACTGGAGCCATCTGTGGTCATTTTTCCCAGCTGCACAGAGGAATCTTCCTATAATAGGAGACAGAGATCAACATGAAAAGAAAATCTGAGCCAAGAACAAAACCTGAGAGAGAAAGAGGGTGGGCTGAAAATATTGATTGTGCCTTTGGACTCAGCAAGGTCAACACTTTTCCATTCTATAATTTATCAATTAGGAATTATTTTTTTATGGAATGGAAAGCTTGAATTGAGGAGCAAAACCAACTTGGGGAATACAAAGGGAGTTGAAGGAGAGAAGGAGAGAGAGAGCAAGAAGAAAACAGTCTATTGGCTCACATAATGGAAAAGCCCAGGAGTAGATTTGTTTCAAGTGTGGCTGGAAAAAGGTTGTGCATGACATCATAATGATCCATGGATCTTCTTTCTTAGAACTGCCTCCATCTTCAGGTCAAATATGAATTAGACAATAAGCTGAGTGACATATATTCTGGTTTCCTCAAAACTCTACTTATCCACTTTTGACAATGGTTCCGTGATTCCTGAATCAAACATCCATGCCTGGATTCTGCTTTCTTCAGGATGGATTATTTCCTAGCATCCTCCTTTTCCCCACCAGTTTTCTCCTCATGATCACTTATACCTGAATCATAGCAGAGGACAACGTGGGCTCAAATCACACCTCTTCCTCCTGCCACAATACAACAAAACACTAGTTCACTGTTTTGCTGCTCTCATAATTTTTTTCTTCTCTAAATTCTCAGAATATCTCAATTCACTCTTCTTTCCATCTGATTCCCCCTTCTCTTCTTAAAACAACTTTTTAGACTTTTGCAAGATAGCCTTTTTTTTTCTTCCCAAGATAATGTATGTAAACTATTTAACACAGTACCTGGCATATGGTATGCTCAATAAACAGCATTGCGGAGGAGAAGGAGGAAGAAGAGGAGGAAGGGGCAAACAATAATGTACCTTACGTAGGTTTAAGAAGATATAAAATTTTTTTTTGTCTTTGCAACTTTACTACATTTTCTTTATTCAGTCCACCATTCATGGGCATCTGGGTTGATTCCATGTCTTTGGTAATTGTGAATAGTACTGTCGTGAACATATGTGTGCATGTATCTTTATGGTAGAACAATTTGTATTCCTTGTATTCCAATTTGTATTCCAGTTTTATACCCAATAACAGGATTGCTGAGTCGAATGGTAGCTCTGTTTTAAGTTCTTTGAGAATTCTCCAGACTGCTTTACACAGCAGCTGAACTAATTTACACTGCTACCAGCAGTGTACCAGTGTTCCCTTTTCTCTGCAACCTTGCCAGCATCTGTTATTTTTTGGCTTTTTAATAGTAGCCATTATGAGTGGTATGAGATGGTATCTCACTGTGGTTTTGATTTGCATTTCCACAATGATTAGTGATACTGGGCATTTTGTCATATGCTTGTTGGCTACATGTATATCTTCTTTTGAAAACTGTCTGTTCGTTAATGTCCTTTGCCCACTTTTAAATGGGGTTGTTTGGTTTTTGCCTATTGATTTAAGTTCCTTTTATATTCTGAATATTAGACCTTTGTCAGATGCATGGTTTGCAAATATTTTCTCCCATTCTGTAGATTGTCTCTTTTCTGTGTTGATAGTTTCTTTTGCTGTGCAGAAGCTTTTTAGTTTAATTAGGACCCACTTACCAGTTTTTGTTTTTGTCGTAATTGCTTTTGGAGTCTTCATCATGAAGTCTTTGCCAGGGCCAATGTCCAGAACAGTATTTCCTAGGTTTTCTTCTAGGGTTTTATAGTTTTAGGTTTTACATTTAAGTCTTTAATCCATCTTGAGTTGATTTTTGTATATGGTGAAACGTAGGAGTCCAGTTTCAATCTTCTGCATATTGGCTAGCCAGCTATCCCAGCACCATTTATTGAATACAGAATCATTTCCCATTGTTTGTTAATGTTGATTTTGTCAAATATCAGATGGTTGTAGGTGTGTGGCTTTATTTCTGGGTTCTCTAACCTGTTCCATTGGTCTATCTGTTTTTGTAACAGTACCATGCTGTTTGGGTTATGATAGCCTTGTAGGATAGTTTGAAGTCAGGTAATGTGATGCCTCTGGCTTTGTTCTTTTTGCTTAGGATCACTTTGGCTATTTCGGCTCCTTTTTGATTCTGAAGTGGGAGGCAGGACTGGACTCTGGGCTCAGACATCAGGCCAAATTGAGGACTAGCTCAATTGAGACATGCCCTAGGGATGGGGCACAAGCAGCTTTCCATAAGACATACCCACCAGTGTGCTGTGTCAGCTTACAATTTCCATGGCAACACCTGCAAGTTACTGCCCCTTTTCATGGCAGTGACCTGACAACCCAGAAGTTACCACTCTTTCTAGAAATTTCTGCATAATCCACCCCTTAATTTGCATGTAATTAAAAGTAGATATGACTGCAGCACTGCCTTTGAGCTACTGCTCTCAGCACACTGCACATGGGGTAGCCCTGCTCTGCAGGAGCAGTCACAGAGCTGTAACACTGCCACCTCAGTAAAGCTGTTTTCTTCCACCACCAACTCACTTTTTTTTTTTTTTTTGAGACGGAGTCTAGCTCTGTCACCCAGGCTGGAGTGCAGTGGCGTGATCTCAGCTCACTGCAAGCTCTGCCTCCCAGGTTCACGCCATTCTCCTGCCTCAGCCTCCCAAGTAGCTGGGACTACAGGCACCAGCCACCACACCTGGCTAATTTTTTGTATTTTTAGTAGAGACCGGGTTTCACCATAGCCAGGATGGTTTCTATCTCCTGACCTCGTGATCTGCCCGCCTCGGACTCCCAAAGTGCTGGGATTACAGGCATGAGCCACCAACTCACTTTTGAATTCTTTACTGAGCAAAGCCAAGGACTCTCCCAGGATAAGCCCCAATTTGAGGCTCATCTGCCTTGCATGAATTCCATCTGAATTTTAGAATAGATATTTCTAATTCTGTGAAAAATGTCATTGGTTGTTTGATAAGAATAGCATTGAATCTGTAAATTGCTTTGGGCAGCATGGCCATTTTAACAATACTGATTCTTCCTATCTATGAGCATGTGATATATTTCCATTTGTTTGTATCTTCTCTGATTTCTTTCAGCAGTATTTTGTAATTCTCATTGTAGAGATTGTTCACTTCCCTGGTTTAGCTGTATTTTATTTTTTTTGTGGCAATTGTGAATGGGATTGCATTCTTGAGTTGGCACTTATGTACGATGTTACTGGTATATAAAAATGTTACTTTGTACCCTGGATACATTGATTCTGAGTCCTGAAACTTTGCTGAAGTTGTTTATCAGATCCAGAGCCTTTTGGAAGAGACTATGGGGTTTTCTAGATATAGGATTATAGCATCTGAGTGTTTCTAATGCCTAAGACCCTGATGATCAAGAGTTTTCTTATATCATAACTGTATTTCCTGCTGCAAATAAACCACTCCTAATAAGTTCTCCATATAAGTAATTTCTCAGGGAGAATGAAAACTCTTAAAATTCTCATTGCTATGCCATCTTGTTTCTTTCTTTTTTTTTTTTTTTTTTGAGACGGAGTCTCGCTCTGTCGCCCAGGCTGGAGTGCAGTGGCGGGATCTCGGCTCACTGCAAGCTCCGCCTCCCGGGTTCACGCCATTCTCCTGCCTCAGCCTCCCAAGTAGCTGGGACTACAGGCGCCCACCACTATGCCCGGCTAATTTTTTGTATTTTTAGTAGAGACGGGGTTTCACCGTTTTAGCTGGGATGGTCTCGATCTCCTGACCTCGTGATCCGCCCGCCTCGGCCTCCCAAAGTGCTGGGATTACAGGCGTGAGCCACTGCGCCCGGCCGCCATCTTGTTTCTTTAAGTCTTCTACAATATATTTTTTCCCAGCTAAAACACTTTAAACTCTGAGAAGTCACACACGTTAATATGCATGGCTGGTTTAGACACAGGAACAAGATTTATTGTTTTTTAAAAAAGCATTCCTTCCTTTTCTTTTCTTTTTAAATTGATAACAGGAGTCTCAAAAATACTCCCAGACTGTAACTCCAAGAGAGTTCAATAAACACATTGAAAATTGGAGGAAAGCTAGTAAATGTGTTTTTTAAAATATGTGTAAAGGAACTTATTTGATTGGATGGGTTGACTTTTTGAAACAAAAAGTGTAATAGACTTGTTTTTCCGTCAAGTGGACACAGCTCAACTGTTCTTACAGAGGTTGAGACCTGAAACCTGGGGGCAAATACTTGATGTGTGTAGTTAAAAAGTGGCAGATAGACTGGTGGAAACAGCATGTAACTAGTTTGTGTCACCAGTTAGCATTGTAACTATACCCTAATATGTTCTAATAATAAGCTTCAGGTATATGTTCTGGGTTGCAAAATATGAATTTAAGAAAATGTTTTAATTATTTGGCAGTTAGTGATCTGAAAGCAATCAGCTCCTGCTTCTTGCTCCATACTCTGTGCCTCTGGTCTCTCATGCCAGAAATTAGCCCCTACCTCACCCCTGTGCTGGGTCTATGCTAAAGAAAAGGATCTTTTCAACATGGTGACTAAGTAAAAAACTGTGATTCCTAATACTATTTCCAATCTGCTAGCTATGCCTGGGCTATCCAACTTTTCCAACATTATATTTTAGGATTTCTTTTTCCCCATATCATTTGAGTGCAGAAAGCTCCTGTGGTCCATCTCCAATAAAGCAGCTCCTGTTAGTTTCCATTTCCCTCTGATTTGAGTTTACTTTTGTTATGAAGTCTACTTTGCCCTGCTCCTGGTCTGATAAGCCTGGGCACCAGGATCTAATCTAGAAATTTCAGGAGGCTTCTGCTAGTTCAGCTCCTTAGAAATGCCAAACTTGTTGAGGCTAACTATGTCTGTTTCCTAATTGGTATACCTGCCTCCAATTTGCACGGCCCTCCCTGATACAAACCATCCTCTACATGGCTGCTCCTCAAGACAAGGGCTTTCCGAAATATTAACTGGGAGCCTTTGGTCCTTTTTATTCTCAGCTTAACTGCTTAGAATTTCATGTTATATTTAGTAAGGAATGAGCTTCCTGTTATCTTCACAAAGAAGTAGATATTATTGATTGTCTGGAAATAATCTTGACAAAGGAAAGATAAAGGTCCCAGGAACTTGGCTTTGGTCTCAGAAGGTAAAGTTGGAAAAGTTCCACGTGCATAAGGTGAGAGCATGAATCATCTCAGTCCCTAAGTTGAGATCCTGAGAGTGGGACTTCATGTGAGGCTGATGCAGGAGGAGTTGTAGGAGCATTTCTGGCTTTCAGCAGGGTGTTTGGAAGACTTCTGGGCTGAGTGTTATATGAAAGAATCCAAGCCCACGCCTGTTAATCCATGTACAGCCCAACCTACAACTCCTCCTACATCAGCCTCACATGAAGTTGCCATCCTCCCACTACTAATTCTCACTCACCATCCTCAAGCCCACCCTGTTGAAACAAGCTACCCAATTGCTTGTTTGTTGTGGCTCTTTTATTTTTCTTTCCTTTCCTTTTTTAAACAGTATAATCCTTATCTTTTGGATTGCCCTTGATCCTGTAAGGTAGGTAGATATTATTATCCCTATTTTACAAATAAGAAAACTGAAAATCAGAGATTAAGTAATTAGCCCAAGGTCACACAGTCAAGTGTAGTGGTGTCAGGTCTATCTGACCTAAAGTCCATGATCTTCCTTCATTATGCTCTGTTGACACCCATTTTCCAGCTCTTCCAGTTAACAAGAAGTTTAGAGGGGCACAGTGGGGTGGGAAGAACCCTGGACTGAAAAATCAGGAACCTGAGTTCTGGTCATGGCTCTTTTTGGTGTTGGGTGAATTACTCCCTTCTCTGCCCTCATGTACCACATACAATGGGAAGGTTCTCCTCATTGCTTTCTGAATTTCTTCCATTTCTAGTAGACTGTTAGGACAATTTAGTGACTTTTACTTTGTACTTGGTATATTTAGGAAACTGAGTTCACAATGTTTAATCTGAATCAATGTTATAATCAGGTCACGGGAAGAGAAACCACTTTGCCACATGCTACAAGTACGATAGGGCTATCGTACTAAAAACACATGGAGTAAGTACATTTATGCATACTGAATAAGGAATGCAGAGGTTCCATCACTACTCACACCCACCCCTCTTCTCTCACTTGGCTCCCAAAATACTAGCAGCTATACCTCTACCTTCCAAGCAAGATACTGAAAAATTACCAGCTCAAAAAAGAAGATCTAAAAATGATTTCCTAAAAATGTCTTGCTCCAGATCCCTCTACCATGAAGCTAAAGTTGACAAACCCATCCATAAACTCAGATCCTCCAAACTTTTAGTTTTTCACTCTTAATTGTGAACAGACAGTCAAGTATCATCAGACAGCTGGGAATCCTTTAACATGGATGATATAGATCAAAGCAAACAAACAGGAAGAAATAACTTGGAATATAAAACTTTAAAAACAAACAACCTAATCGTTAATATCCTAAGAGAGTTAAGAGATAATATTTCAACCATTAGGAACAGGCTCCTTGCAAAAAGAAACATTCAGAAAACAAAAAGGAGCTCTGAAAATAAAACATGATAGCAGAAGTAAAAAGTACAACAGAAAGGCTGGAAGATAAACTTGAGAAAATCTCTAGGAAATGGAACAAAAAACAAAATATGGGCAACAGGAGAGAAAATAACAAAATTGGAGGATCAGTCTAGGAGATTCAACATTCAGGAATCTGACATTCTAAAATGAGAGACTAGTGAAATAGAGGGGAAAAATAATCAATGAAATAATTCAGGAAAATTTCCCTGGAGGAAAGGACATGAGTTTCCAGAAGAAAAGTCCATCTGAGTGTTAATCACAATGGACAAACAGGCATTTCATGACAAAATCTTAGAACACTGAGCAGATTCTAAAAGCTTTCATGTAAAAAGATAAGGAGTCAGAATATTTGTAGATTTCTCAAGAGCAACACTGGAAACTATGGACAATGAAAATAATTTCCAACCCAAATTTTTATACCAAGCAAAATTATTAATAGTTAAGCAGGAAAGTAAGATAAAGACATTTTCAGATACATAAAATTTCATTAAATATATTTCCCACAGATCCTTTCTCAGAAAGCTGCTGGATCAAGCTACTGAAGGATATGCACCACCAAAGTGAGGGGGTAAATCAAGAAAGACAACTATATGGACATAGGAATTGGGAGATCCCTTCAGGGTAACTGTTGCTCACCAGACCTAGGGTGTAACTTGTTCAGATTGGAGCAGGTTTTAAACTTTGTGACTAAGGACAGTGAAGGATTCTATATCTGTAAGTATCTTTTCTTCTGAAGTGAACAGGTAGACATAATAAAATCCAATGGAATCTCACTTTTATTATAAGATCCACAATGATGCTAGAATATTGGTGAGAATGAAAACTTATACATACAGATGTATGTTTTTAATATGAAGGATTACACTGAAGACTGATGTCAATCATCCTAGCAAGAGTATTCTGATTTCTTTAGACTGTAGTGTAAAGTAAAACCAAATCTGCCTGAGTAAGGGGAATATGTGTATGTGTGTGTACACACACTTAAAAATAGGCATACTGTGACTACGAATGGATACCCAGGAAGCTGGAGATCAGAGTTGTGTGGCTAGGGAAAGGGAATGTGAGGGAGACCTTTTCACTATTTACCTTCTTGTTTCTCTTGGTGTGTTGGACAGAATGAAGGGTAAGAGAGATAGGAGACTGGGATCAGTTGGGAGGTGACTGACATGTTTTTGGTATGAATAAAAAAGGTCCTGAATGAGAAAATAAGAGGTGGGTGTGAAAGTGGGAGGAATGCTTTCCTGGCCTAGTGATGACTGATAACAGAATGAGGCAGGAGCGAAGGGGTGAGCAGTGGGTGCTGAGGGAAAGGTTGAATGCAGTCATCAGAGATGACTCTTTGCTTTCAAGCCTGGGTTAATGTATTTGTTCCTTCTCACACTGCTAATAAAGACACACCCAAGACTGGTTAATTTATAAAGGAAGGAGGTTTAATTGACTCACAGTTCAGCAGGGCTGATGAGGCCTCAGGAAACTTAAATCATGGTGGAAGGGGAAGCAAACATATCCTCTTTCACAGGATGATAGGAAGGAGAAATGCCAAGCAAAAGGCAGAAAAGCCTCTTATAAAACCATCACATCTCATGAGAACTCACTCACTATCATGAGAACAGCAGCATGGGGGTAACTGCCCACATGATTCAATTACCTCCCACTGGGTCCCTCCCACAACACGTGGAGATTATGGGAACTACAATTCAAGATGAGATTTGGATGGGGACACAGCCAAACCATATAATTTCACCCCTGGCTCCTCCCAAATCTCATGTCCTTACATTTCAAAATACAATCATGCCTTTCCAACAGTCCCCCAAAGTCTTAACTCATTCCAGCATTAACCCAAAAGTCCCAAGTCCAAAGTCTCATCTGAGACAAGGCAAGCACCTTCCGCCTATGAGCCTGTAAAATCAAAAGAAAGTTAGTAACTTCCTAGATACAATGGGGGTACAGGCATTGGGTAAATATACCCATTCCAAATGGGAGAAATTTGCCAAAACAAAGGGGCTACAGGCCCCATGCAAGTCCAAAATCCAGTGGGGCAGTGAAATCTTAAAGCTCCAAAATGATCTCTCTTTTGTCTCCATCTCTCACATCCAGGTCATGCTGATGCAAGAGGTGGGCTCCCATGGCCTTGGGCAGCTTGGCCTCTTTGGCTTTGCAGGGTACAGCCCCCTCCTGACTTCCTTCATGGGTTGGCATTGAGTGTCGGTGACTTTTCCAGGCGCATGGTTGGTGGACCTACAATTCTGGGGTCTGGATGATGGTGGCCCTCTTCTCATAGCTCCACTAGGCAGTGCCCCAGTGGGGACTCTGTGTGGGGGCTCCAACCCCACATTTCCCTGCTGCACTGCCCTTGCAGAGGTTCTCCATGAGAGCTCTACCCCTGCAGCAAACTTCTGCCTGGACATCCAGGTGTTCCCATACATCCTCTGAAATCTACGGGGATGTTCCCAAACCTCAATTCTTGACTTGTGTGCACCTGCAGGTTCACTGTGCTGAAGCTGCCAAGCCTTGGGGCTTGCACCCTCTGAAGCCATGACCTGAACTGTATCTTGGCCTCTTTTAGCCATGGCTGGGATGCAGGGCACCAAGTCCCAAAACTGCACAAAGCAGCAAGGCCTCGGGCCTGGCCAGGAAACCGTTTTTCCCTCCTAGGCCTCTTGGCCTGTGATGAGAAGGGCTGCTGTAAAGAGTTCTGACATGGCCTGGAGACATTTTCCCATTATCTTGGCAATTAACATTTGGCTCCTTGTTACTTATGCAAATTTCTGCAGCTGGCTTGAATTTCTCCTCAGAAAATGGGTTTTCTTTTCTATCACATTGTCAGGCTGCAAATTTTCCAAACTTTTAAACATAAGTTCCAATTCCAAACCATATTTTTGGGAATACATAAAACTGAATGCTTTTAACAGCACGAAAGTTACATCTTGAATGCTTTGCTGCTTAGAAATTTCTTCCACCAGATACCCTAAATCATCTCTCTCAAGTTCAAAGTCCCACAAATCTCTAGGGCAGGGGCAAAATGCCACCAGTGTCTTTGCTAAAACATAGCAAGAGTCACCTTTATTCCAGTTCCCAACAAGTTCCTCTTCTCTATCTGAGACCACCTCAGCCTGTATTTCATTGTCCATATTACTATCAGCATTTTGGTCAAAGCCATTCAACAAGGCTCTGGGAAGTTCCAAACTTTCCTACATCTTCCTGTCTTCTTCTGAGCCCTCCAAACTGTTCCAACCTCTGCCTGTTACAAAGCTCTGCCACTTACAAAGTTAACAATGTTGGGTAAATTACTCTGACTTATCTCTGTGTTTATATTTTCTCATCAGCATAATGGGCATAATATTCCATTACCTACGTCACAGGGTCATTGTGAGGATTAAATAGGATAATGAGTTTAAAGGTTTAGATGAGTGACGGGTATATGGTAAATGTGAAATAATGTTAGCTAGTACTATTCTGCCTAATGACCTCTTTCAACCTTCTTTTTCTTTCCCCTAGTCTTAGAATACAGCAGTTCAGAGAATTTAATATACAAAGGAGGGATGTTCTCACCAAAGGGCATGTTAATATTTCATTCAATCTTTAAACAGATATGTTTTGAGAGAACAAAAAAGAATTCTGAAAAGAATACATGATAGCAGAAATAAAAATACAACAGAAGTTAGAAGATAAAGTTGAGGGAATCTTTAAGAAATACAACAAAAGACAAAAAGATGGACAATAGAATAGACAACTATCTTAGTTGTCTGAGGATCCATTGGAGAGAAATTAAACACATTCCTGCCCTCACAGAGTCTAGGTAATTTTCTTTTTTCCAGAGTTTTCCTGGCTCCTCTCACATGCTGTATGTGTATATATGCATTTATTTTATAATCATGGTGTTTTCAAGGAATATTTTTACATTAAGCTTTTGTTTAATGTACATGTAAGTACATAATTAAAAAATTACACACTACAGGTTACAAACTCAAAAGTAAGCTTCCCTTCCTTATTCCAGATTTCTTAGTTGTCCTCAAAAACAACCATTCTTACTTGATTTTTTATGACTTATTACTGAGATAAACATATAGAAGTATACAAGCCTCCTTTCTCAAATAATGGTAGGGAAAAGGGAGGAGGAGAAGATACAGGATGCGTGAGAGGCTTCTAGCCATAGAGATGTAAAGAGAAAGGAAGTACATTCAGAGGACAGAGCAGGGAACATCAGACCACAAGGGTTGAGTAGTACTCTTGAAGCCAAAGCAGAAAATGTAGACTTTTAAATGAATGTAACAAGCATTTATTAAAAACTGTGCTGCACAAAACATGTTAGAAACTAGCCAGGTGCTAGGAGTCTAATCAAGGCAGGGGCAGGGTAAAAACATGGGAATATTACATGGACAAGCTTGTCTAGCATGGCAGTCTATAACCCTTGAGGGTTTACATAAAATAAAGGAACATTTTTGTGGCTCAGGCTCCCCAGAGTTCTCTTTATGTTTGGGCAGAGACTGCCCCATCCCTTAGTGATCCCACCTTAGAGCCAGGTTTTCAAAGTCATTTCTCCCAGTATATCTGTCTCTGTATGCAAGTTTCCTCTGGTTGCCTTGAGCAAAAACAATCATCCAACTCAAATTTGCTAGCCCTATGCTGGGCCAGCCCACGTTCCCGTAGGACATCTGTAGGCTAAGTAAGCCCCGGGTGATCTGTGTCTTGGTCTTCCTAATTCCGTTGCAGCTCTTCCTCTCTCAGCCAGGAGTGGAAAGTCCTAAGCCTCCTTCCATTCATCCCATTATCAAGGTGATGGCTCTCCCTCCCCAGCTCTGCTTCCAGGAAGATGACATCCCAATAACTTGGGTATCACCAAAACCCCTCCCTGACCACCAGGGAAACTGCTGTCTGTCTTATGTCCATTTGGACAGACTATCCATCTGTTGCTTGTTTCAAGACTTGTTGATGGGGTGGACAGACCAGACATTTCATGTATTTCTGTGGATCAAGATCTCTCTTTTTTCTCTCTCTCTCTCTTTTGAGTATTGTGATCTCTTTTGGTTCTTTCACAGCTTCCCCAGGCCATCTCACTAGTCAGTTCTTCAAGAGAAACAGGGTTCACAAGCTCTGGCATTTTCCTGTTTATTCAGTTCTCTCCACTATGGCTTGTTGGGTGGGGCAAGCCTCCTCAATATTAGCAACAGCCCAGATAGAAGTGGCTCCAGGTTCTATCTCTGCCTCTCCTAATTTCCCCAAATTTAGGTTGGTCTGCTCATTGTTGCCTGTACCCTAGGCCACCGTTTTCCTTACTGACCCTGACAGAGGGATGAGAACTCCTTAGCAGGGGTAGACTTTTCTCTAGAGCATAGTAATCACACTATTACAGTACATAGATCTCTATGTTTCAAGATATTAACACTATAAGGTCATAAATACATAAGTCCCACCCAGACTGAGGAGGTAGTTGTTTAGTCACAGGTACACACAAAATTCAGTGGGGCACCAGCTTAGAATTCTGGGCAGATAAAAGGCAGTTTTCCAGAAATTGAGAGGTCTATTTAAAAAAAAAACACAATCTATGAAATTAAGAGAAGAATCTGATCTGGAGGAGGTATTGGTCCTAAATTTTATTTCCAGGTCATGAGCCATTAAGCTGGGCTTGGCCCATAAGTGTGCTCTGAAGTGAAAAGAAGCAGTAAGAGAATTAAAGTCTCCTCTTGGCATACGGAGCAGAGCTGGAGTTACAGGGAGGCTATTCCACTTAGAGGGAGTCCTGGAGCCCCCTTATTACTCATGGTAATGTCTTTTTGCCTTCTGGAAGAAATCAAAAAGGTTGCCCAGGAACTTACAAAGGAAAGGGTAGAAAAAATGAATACTTGTATGGGCTTTACTCTTTAATTAAAAACATGTATCACTTTTGTCGCATGAAGATGTCTTCGAACTTTTAAAAACACGCTGGGCTTCATCAGATCTTTCAGGTATATGGATTTTTTCTCTGGAGAAATAGAAGAAAAGATTAGGTGATATTTCACATTTGAGCTACTTTCTTTTTCTAGATTTCAATGATAGGGCAGAATAGAGGTTGCCATTGGAACAGCAATGAGGAGAAACAAACTATTGAAGAGAAAGGTGGAGAAAGCAAGAGAAAAGAACCACGGTCTACACTGTCATCTATGCTTCAAGAGCTACCCTTTATTTCTGCCTGGCCCTTCCCATGCCCTCTGCCGGTTCTCTGCTGCCTGCCCTCTGCAGGCTCTTCCAGACCATTTCTGAAACTGAGTGTGACAGGGTAGGCAGGATTTCAGCACCCTTTCTCATTGTCCAAGGGTGCCCGGAATTATTAGTTTTGTTGCTAGAATCACAGTGGCTGGTATATCTGGATTAGTGCTGGGTACTCTCGGTTGTCTCTGCACCCTGGGGGTTATGACCCTATCTCTGAAACCAGGCTTGTGACTGAGGGTTGCTTTGATCCTATGGGTATGCAGTCAGAGCCTTGATATTCCTGAGAGCTTAATTTCTCAGGAGGGATAGAGGTACAGACTATCTGATAGCTTCACGTTGTGAAAGGACTGATCACCACGAACTTTTATGTATTCATCATGCATCAATCATTCTTTCAACATTTATTGAGAACCTGCTATATGCCAGGCACCATGCTAAGTGCTAGCAGCACAATGATGAGCTTAACTGGTATGGTCTCTGCTCTTCATAGGATTTAGTTAAGTCTAGTTTATAGAGTTTAATAAGATAATTACACAAATATGTAAGCATAATCTGGTGTTATTAAGAAAAAGCCAAGGGATCCACATGACACTGTAACAAGTTGACATTTTCTAGTTTGGGAAAGGGTTTTTAAGAAAGTGCTGCTTGAGGCAAGATCTGAAGAATGAGGTAAAGAAGTGGCAGAAGAACATCTAAACAGGGCCATAGCAAATACTAAGATGCTCAGGCTGAAGCAAACATGTTATCATTCCCCACTTCTTCATTTATTCATTCCACACATGTAGGATGCCCACTAATCTAGGCACTGTGCCAGGTACTGGGGTTACTGTGGCAGATAAGATGAAGCCCATGTTCACCACCTCTGAAGTCTTTGGTATTGACTTTTACTTGACCATGACAGAGCTTGTCATGCTTTCTGGGCATTGTGCATTGGATACCCTGTCATCCATTATCAGGTTATTTTCTTCCAGTTCTTAACTAGTTTTATTTTCCTCTCCCTCTCCATTAGTTCAGGTTTGCTGAGGTCTCAACATATGTTAGGCATAAGCCTATTCAAGTAACAGGCACTCTGGGGATTATACCTCTCTCTCATCAATGTCTCAGGGTCAGGATTTACCTTTTCTTGGTCTGTTCACTCTCTTCCCTCTCCATTGTGTTGGTTCCTGAAAGACACCAAGAACAATCTTCAAAAATGTATTCCTCCTAGATACCAAAAGAAGGAAAGTTTGAAAAGGCTTCAAAGTTCTGGGACTGAGAGAGAAATTGTTGTGACTTTATATATGGAAGAGATAGTTACTCAAATGATGCAATTTCAGGGGGATTGGGAAGAAGTTTCTTGCATTCAAAAAGTATATGCCTTCCCTTTCTCACTGTGCCTTAAATTCTAACACTGGAAATAGATTTTTCACTTATATCTCTATCCTGGCTAACCAAAAAATACCATTGGGAGGGGTAATATATTTAGTTTTAGCAATCATTTTGTGATTGGAAGAGTTTCTAATCCTTTTCTGAAAGCAAGGTTTATAAGGAGGAGGAGAAGAAGTCTTGAAGATGTTGATGCCTAAATCGGCTAGCCAGATGGTGCTAAGAATATTACACAATGTTGCATGGGCAAGGCCAAGTGGGAAATTTCTAGCCAGCTAGACCTCACAAAGCCTGAGTTGCTATTGATAGGGACTTGCTACTGACACAACTTGGGATGTAAATTTCTCTAGGCTGACTGTTGTGATGATGCTATTGTCCCACGTAAACTCCAACAGGTTGCTAACCTGGGTGTCCATGGAGGTATTTATAGACCACAAGAATCCACTCAACAATACCTCTGATGGTTTTGTGATTCTGTCTTTACTAAATAGAGCATTCTTGAACACTTCCTGTCACTGGAAGTTCTCTTTTATGTGTGTATGTGTGTATTTAAAAACAATCAGCTTTTATGAGGCCACAAAGTCATAAGAATGATATAATGGACTTGGGTACTTGGGGGGAAGAGTGAGAGAGAGGTGGATGAAGGATAAAAGACTACACATTGGGTACAGTGGACATTGCTCGGGTGACAGGTGCATCAAAATCTCAGAAATCACCACTAAAGAACTCATCCATGTAACCGAAAACCATCTGTTCCCCAAAAACTATTGAAATAAAATAAAAATAAAAGATAAAAACAATCAGCTTTATGGAGGTATAATTAATAAATAATAAAACCCAATCATTTTCAGTTTAGAGTTTGGTGATTTTAACGAATATATATAGTCACGTAACCACCACCACAATCAAGATCGAGAACATTTTTATAAGCCAAAATAGTTCGCTTTTCAGCTGATTCCTTTCCCCCATCCCATGGATAACCATGAATCTACTTAAAATAGTTTTGCTTTTTCTCAAATTTCATATACATGAAATTGTATAATGTGTATTCTTCTTGTGCCTGGATTGTTTCACTTAGCATAATGCTTTTGAAATTTATCTATGTTCTTGTGTATTATTAGTAGTCCATTCCTTTCTATAGCTTTGCAGTATTTCATTGTATAAATATACCACCGCCAACTGATGAAAATTTAGAATGCCAGGTTTGGTATTATGAAGCAAGCTGCTATGAACATTTGTGTATGAGTCTTTATATATTTTTAAATTTTTTAAAATTTCTGTTTGGTAAATGTCTAGGATTTCTGGGTTGTATAGCAGTATATGAGAGTTTCAGTTGCTTCATATCCTCTCCAACACTTGATGTTTATCAGACCTTTTAATTTTAGCCATTCTAGAGGGTGTGCAGTGGTATCTCATTATCGTTTTAATTTGTACTTCCCTGATGACTAATGATGTTGTGACTGTGCTCATCGGCCATCTGTATATCTTCTTCTGTTATGTATCTGTTCAAGTCTCTTCTTCTTGCCTTTTATTAAATGGATTGTCTTCTTACTAATGAGTAGCAATATGTAATTATATACTGGATACAAGTCCTTTATCAGATATATATTTTGCAAACGTTTTCTCCCTGTCTGTGGTTTGACTTTTCGTTTTTTAAACAAAGTCAAAGAACAAAAGTTTTCCATATTGATGACATCCATTTTATCTTTTTATGATATGGTTTTTGCTTTCTGTGTCCTATCTAAGAAGACTTGCCTAACTTAAGGTTACAAAGATTTTCTCCTCTGTTTTCTTTTGGAAGTCCTTTCATTTTAATTCTTAATATATAAGTTACTTTGTGTGTGTCTAGGTTCATACTTTTTCCATGTGGATATCTAATTGTCCCAACACTATTTGTTGAAAATACTATCCTTTCTGCATGGAATTACCTTGGTAGCTTTGTCAACAGTGTGAATCTATTTTTGACTCTCTATTTTGTTCCATTGACTGATATGTCTGTCCTTTTACCAATATCACACTGTATTAATTACTATATATAGTAAATATTGAAATTAGGTAGGTTAAGTCCACCTTTGTTCTTTTTTTTTTTTTTTTTTTTTTTTTTTGAGAGGGAGTTTCACTCTTGTTGCCCAGGCTGGAGTGCAATGGCACGATCTCAGCTCACAGCAACCTCTGCCTCCCGGGTTCAAGCAATTCTCCTGCCTCAGCCTCCAGAGTAGCTGGGATTACAGGCATGCGCCACCATGCCTGGCTAATTTTGTATTTTTAACCTTTGTTCTTATTTTTCAGAATTGTTTTGGCAATTGTAGATTCTTTGCATTTCCCTATAACTTTTCGAGTAAGATTTTTAGTATCTATTAGAGAGCTTACCAGGATTTTGATTGTGATTACATTTAATCCATAGATCAACTTGGAGAGAATGGTTATCTTAACATCTAGTCTTCTGATTCATAAACATGGCCTATGTCTCCATTTATTTTGGTTTACTTTAATTTCTCCAGTAGTAATATTGTATAGTTTTCAGTATATAGACCTTGTACTTGTTTTGTTAAATTTATTTCCAAGTTTTTAATATTATTTGATGCTATTATAAATGCTATTAATTTTTTTCAATGTACAATTGCTTTTGTTAGTATATAGAAATAATTGATTTTGTGTATTGACTTTGTATCCTGTGTCTTTGCTACACTCACTTATCAGTTTTAATAGGTTTTTGATAGATTCCTCAGGATTTTCTACAAGCATGATCATTATCTGTGAAAAAAGACAGTTTTACTTCCTTTCCAATCTGTATGTCTTTTATTTCTTTTTCTAGTCTTGTTTCTCTGGCTATGACCTCCAGTACAATGTGGAACAAAAGTAGAGAGAGTAGACATCCTCCCCACATTCGCCATCTTAAGGTAAAAGCAATCAGTCTTCTATCATGAAATATTATGCTAACAGAAGAATTTTTGGTAGATGTCCTTTGTCAGGTTGAGGAAGTCATCTTGTATTCCTATTTTTATGAGAGCTTTTCTTTCCATTTAAAACTATGAATGGGTATTAATTTTGTCAAAAGTTTTTCCTGTATCCATTGACATGATCATATGTTTTTTTCTTTTTAGTTTATTTATGTAGTAAAGGTTATTGCCTGATTTTTGAATGTTGAGCTTACCTGTGTTTCTTGAATAAACCCCACTTGATCATGATGTATTATACTTTTAACATATTGCTAGATTTTAGTTGCTAATTTTGTTAAGCATTTCACGAGAGATGTTTGTAGTTTTCTTTTCTTGCAATGTCTTTTCCTAGTTCAGTATCAGGGCTCCCCTGCCTTCAGAGGGGCCTGGACACTGGCTCCAGGCAGCAAACTAGAGCAATCATAGGGCTTATCTCATTTTTTCTTTCCTTCACTCAGGGACTACAGTTTTCTGCTGTCTGTCATCCGATCTCTGAAAACAGTTGTTTCATATATTTTGTCTGCTTTCTAGTTGTTTATGGAAAGAGGGCAATTCCTATAGCAGTTAATCCTTTGTTGGAGGAAGCAGAAGTCTACTTCTTCTATACAATTTTAAAGACTATTTATTTATTTATTTATTTATTTATATTTTTTAAGACGGAATCTTGATCTTCTGTCACCCAGGCTGGAGTGCAGTGGTGTGATCTTGGCTCACTGCAACCTCTGCCTCCCAGGTTCAAGCGATTCTCCTCTCTCAGCCTCCCAAGTAGCTGGGATTACAGGTGCCTGCCACCACACCCAGCTAATTTTTGTATGTTTAGTAGAAATGGGGTTTCACCATGTTGGCCAGGCGGGTCTCGAACTCCTGATCTAAGGTGATCTGCCTGCCTCAGCCTCCAAAAGTGCTGGGATTACAGGTGTGAGCCACCACCCCTGGCCTAAAAGACCTTTTAATTGTTAGAAAAGTCTCTCTTAATTCCTTATACCCTCTCATAACCTTCATTCATAGAGATGCCCTTCAGAGTCATACCATCAAGCTCAATCTTTGCATCCCATGGTAGCTCTTCAGATATTTGAAGACAGTATCTCTGTTCTCTCCAGGCCTTCTTTCAGGTGAAGCATCATCAGTTACTTGAGCTATTTCTTAATTGACTGAGTTCCCAGATGCTTTATAAATCTGGTTATGTTCTATTTTTGTAAAGTTTCTTCTTAAAAATAATGGTGTTTATAAGGACATGAATAGACAATTCTGAAAAGAAAATATACAAATGGCCAACAAACATGAAAAAAAGTTCAATATCACTAACTATCAGGGAAATGCAAATTAAAACCACCATGAGATACCACCTTACTCCTGCAAGAATGGCCATTATTAAAAAATCAAAAAATAATAGATGTTGGCATGGATGTGGTGAAAAGGGAACATGTTTACACTGCTGGTGGGAATGTAAACTAGTACAAACACTATGGAAAACAGTATGGAGATTCCTTAAAGAACTAAAAGTAGAACTCTACTATTTAATTCAGCAATCCTACTACTGGGTATATACCCAAAGGAAAATAATTCATTATATGAAAAAGACACATGCACACGCATGTTTATAGCAGCACAATTTGCAATTCCAAAAATAAGGAACCAACCTAAATGTCCATCAACCCATGAGTGGATAAGGAAAATGTGGTAAATATCCCTCATGGAATATTACTCAGCCATAAAAAGAAACAAAATAATGGCATTTGCAGCAACTTTGATGGAACCAGAGACCATTATTCTAAGTGAAGTAACTCAAGAATGGAGAAACAAATATTGTATGTTTTCACTGATAAGTGGGAGCTAAACTATGAGGATGCAAAGACATAAGAATAATATAATGGACTTTGGGGACTCAGAGGAAAGAGTGGGAGGGGTGAGAGATAAAAGACTACACACTGGTGCAGTGTACACTGCTCGAGTGACAGGTGGCACCAAAGTCTCAGAAATCACCACTAAATAACTTATCCATGTAACCAAAAACCACCTAGTTTAGTTCAGTAGTTCCCAAAAAACTATTCAAATAAAAATTTTGAAAAAGAATCTTATAAATGTAAAAAAAGGTACTTATAGTTGAATACAGTATTTCAGATGTCTTCAGATTAACACAAAATGAATTATCCTTTTATACCCATGACAAAATAGTCACCATATCAAAAAAAGCCACTGTCAAAAAAATGAAAGCAGACAATTAAAAGGTAGATTCTAAACTTTTAAATTTGCTTACAAATTCAGCATTTTGAAGGGGAAATGTGATGATATCACTAACTTTCAGTCTTTAAGCCTGTGAATATTTCTGTTTAAATGTTGGTTAAAAACGGATCACGAGGTCAAGAGATCGAGACCATCCTGGCCAACATGGTGAAAACCCATCTCTACTGAAAATACAAAAATTACCTGGGCTTGGTGGCACGTGCCTGTAGTCCCAGCTACTTGGGAGGCTGAGGCAGGAGAATCGCTTGAACCTGGGAGGCAGAGGTTGCAGTGTGCTGAGATCGTGCCACTGCACTCCAGCCTGGTGACAGAGTGAGGCTCTGTCTCACACACACACAAAAAAAAAATTAAAAAAAAATAATAATAATTTCTTTTGAAAAAGGCACTTTACCTTTAAGAAATCATTCCTGAAACAGCTGAGACTCCTAGGTTTGTTCTAGGGAGGCAAGCTGTAAAAACCGTTGTTGCTAGGGCATTGTATACAGATTTCAGTCACACAAGACCCAAATGAGGAAGTAAAATTTCAGGGGGAGCTATTTTAGTTTTTCTCCCAATGGGTAAGCTGATAGGGTGATTTCTGTTTGGGAAAAGACAGTAATTCATAGTTATAAATTCTCATGCCTTATCTGCCCTATTTGACAAAACAAAAAAAGAGAAGAGAGATTGGAAACTGGCTAGAATAACTATGGCATTTCCTTTTTATTCATTTAAACAGCCTAAACTGGGTAAATATATACAGTTGAGGCATAGAAAAACTATAATGAGAAAACACTGGATAGGACTTTTGGTGCCAAGTTAGTTAGTTTGAGGACCGTCTCCTCTGAGAAAGGGATTAACACTGGAGTAGGAGGAAGCTCCACTTTTGGAGAAATTCCTACCAGTTATCAGTAAGCTTGTGTCTCTGTGGAGGGATCTGCTGTTTCCACATTGGTCTCTTGGCAGAATTCAGCTCCTTATAGTTGCAGAACTGAGATCCTAATTTCCTTAATGGCTGGCTGTCAACTGAGAGCCACTTCCAGCTTCTAGAAGCTACTTACATTCCTTGGCTCATGGCTTCCTCCTTCCATCTTCAAAGCTAGAAATGCTGGGTTGAGCTTCTCAAGTTTCAGATCTCTCCTTCTTCCAGTTCATTTCTCCATCCCAGCTAGGAAAGGTTCTCTGACTCATGTGATTACATTGGGCCCACCTGGATAATCCAGGTTAATCTCACCATCTCAAGCTTGGTGCCTTAATCACCTATGTGAAGTTCCTTTTGCCATGTAAGATAACATATTACAGGTTCTGGAGTATAGGAGGTGGACGTCTTGTGGGGGGCATTATTTTACCTATCACATAGCCAATGCCAGGAGTACCCACAAAGCAATGGCAGATATTGCTGAAGTTACAGAATCCAAATTTACAAATATATCATATCTATAATGGCATAGTTATACCTGTTGCACCTCCCTCCCTACAGTGATAGCAAGGCTTCTCTCTTTGATCAAACTCAGTGGCATGGATGACTGTCTGAATAAATAACTTTTTCTTACCAATATTCTTCATTACATTCTTAGGGGTCATGTATGTGCCACTCAGCCCAATCTGACCATCTCATCTGTACCTACAGAGCTTATTTAACCACCTTCTAACTTCTCTCATGTGAACACACATATCCTCTTTATCTCCCCTATCTAGTCTCCTGATTTTTTTCTGATTGCCTCATGGAGGAAGAAACATCCTTAATCTTTTTCTCCAACCCTTCTTTGTTTCATTTGTAAGCTGATCATTCTAATGTGAAGAAAAATCTAGCAAACAGCTTATTCCCAAGATGTAAGTCACTTCTTCATATTTGACTAATTTTAAATGGCAATGAGGTTGAAAGAAAGTGAAGCTCAAAACTCTCACCTTGAAAAGTCAAAGCCTGGACAAGCATGATATGTCTTTACATCTGTGCTAGGAATTTTATACTTTTATATCATAGAAATCTCGCAGCACACTCCATACATTGGCAGTTTGAATGGCTCTGCCACATGCTTTGTGTTAATTTATTTAAATTCGATCGTTGCTCCCCAATTTCTTATTTTTAAAGTACAGCAGGATGCATTGAATGACTGCTAATGTCATCCATCTATTTTCTAGTTAGATTTTAAAATCAGTATACTGAAAAACAAGATGCTGGCCAGAGGCAATACTCATCTTGTGCTTTCTACCATAAGTGAGTTAGAAGGTTACCTTAATTATTAGCACCAATCAAACTAATTACTACTGGAGGCAATTACTGAGATAAAGTCCAATCTTAGCTTAGAACCAGACCAAACTACAAAAAGGCATGGCATTATTATAAAGTTAGGGACCACTTTGTCCCCATGAAACATTTTTATAACAGAAGTCAGTGGGGAGGGTGTTTATAATAACAAAACTATTGGACTAACTCAAGTGTCCAAAAAATGAGGTTGGTTAAATAAATAAATTATGGTGTATCCACAAAAGGGAATATCTTGCAGCCATTAAAAATGATGCTGTAGAATGATATTTATGACATTGAAAATTGTCTTGCTACATTTAGTATAACAAAATTAGAACACAGTACATATATTATCCAAATTGTGAAAAATAACCCTTATGATAATCCTAATTATGGAAAACAACATAGATTGATACACAGAAAAATCTTAAAGATAGGCACCAAAAATATTTGTGTAATCATTTTTTCTTATTAGTGGAGTTATAGATTATTTTATTTTTGGTATATATGATAATGGATATGTATTACTTAGAAATTAGTTAAAGTTAATATTGTTTGTTATAAGTCAATGGGCAATAATTCATCTAACTTATTTCATAAGAAACCTAGATTTTTTTAGAGACGAGAAGCTGATTCTTGTGGTCATTTAGCAAATATCCCTGCTTAAACACCACCAGGTCCACAATCTTTAACATTTAGGAGTGGTTTCACCATTTTACTTTATGTATATGTCACAGTAACCTCATGAAGTGAGGTAGATAAAGCAAGTAATAATCAGTTTTCCCTGGAAACCAGAAGTACATTTGTAAACCAGAGGTTAGAAATGTCGCCTTTCTTTGAAGTCCAAGAGCAGCATTATCTGCTACTGCCAGTCTGTATAGGCTCAAAACTCCAAGGGAAAACCTTTTTTCCCAACAACTTCCTGACTTTTTGCCAGTCTAGGCTCAGCCAACAAGCTCCGGAAGGCAGCCAGCCGATTGGGAAGTAGGTGCAAAGTGACAGTCTGTGGGGAGGACAAGGACTCACTCACCACATTTATAAGAGTTGCGAGGCCGCTTCTTCTTCTTCCATTTCCATAGAATTAGACAGAAAACCATCACACATATAATAACTGTTGGAAGTACAGCTGTAATCCAAGGAATGTGGTCTGGGGGAGGCTGAGGGTCCTCAAGCTCTACAAATGACCACAAATTTTCAATCAGCCAGGAGAGTCATTTACAAAAGGTTTCTGCTAGCTGCTCTTCTCTTTATTTACCTGCCAGCCTCTCCCCAGGGCTCTAAGGCCAGAGAAGCCTGAAATCCACAATAGGAGGCCATAGAAAGTCCCAGGCTCAGGGCCTCAGCAGCGACCTAAGAATCGAGCCCATGCCTCTGGCCAAATGCCTGGACTGAGCTGCCATGCCTTCATGGAGGTGGGGATAACACCGACCATGATCAGGAAGAAGAGGGTCAGCCTGGCCCGTGATTCTGGAATCTGGGTGAGGTGTCTGTGCTGAGGCTCTGCACGTGCAGTCATTTGTGCCGTGCCTGCTATCCTGCCCCCCTCTGCAGTCAGTTCCCAGGCCCTGAAGTTCCTCTCGTGATGATTCTTCTGTCCACTATAATCTCCAGACACCTCTCACTTGGACAAATGGAACAGCTTCCACAGGCCCCTACCTCTAGTTTTCATTTGCTTGTTTGTTTAGTTTTTTCCTACTGAGGTCACAGCAGGTTTCCTCTGCATGGCTTTCAGCATATCTCATCTACTGAAAAACCTTTGATGTTTCTTCATGCCTTGAGGAACCTTCACGCCTTCAGGAACTACTTCCTTACATGAGAACTCCTAAGTTTCTGGGGAGTTGGAAAACAGGCTTTGTGGGGAAAACTTAGAACGGAGTCGCCCACTTTAAAGACATTTTTGGGAACAGTTCTGGTAGCTAATCCCAAATTTCAGGAAAATTAGGACCAGCTGATCTATTAGCTTAGCTATAATTTGTAGACACATGCCCTGTTTCTGGGATGTTAAGAAGTTGTTGGCATTGCAGGCCATATTTAATCCCTTTTGAGTCTGTCCCAGTCTATTCCACTTGAGCCAGTTTGGCACTCCCAGTAAAGGGGGTTAGGGGTTATACTTACTAACGTGGAGGCTGCTACCTTTTAACATGCAAAAAAGGCCCCTTGACTCAGGGTCTAACCTATCTCTGATCAAGCGATAGAATGGGAAACCCAGAGAGGCAAGCCCCATCTTCCTGAGGCAGCTAGAGCTGAAACATTTCTGAAGATGGGGGTACCTGTTGAAGTTTGGCAGAACAGTAGTTGAGAAGCAGCAGGAAGGTGAGCCATGATGAGGTTATAGTGGTGGCAAGCCCCTGTTAATTTGTAGACTATGGGAGCCGTAACAGAGGGCCCTGGGGCATGTCATATATGGCCATCTTGTGGCCACCAATCAAACTAATTACACATTGAAGGAGGTACTGAACTTCAGGCATAGCTTGGAGAGGCTTCTATCTGGCCAAGAGAGGATACAGGAGAAGCAACTGGGACAGGACGAGTTGGCTCCACCATTTACTGGATTCTCAGAGGCTGAAGTGTCTGAATAGGAAGAAGTCAGTAGCAGGAGATGAGATTGGCCCAGTTGTAAAGTTGGTTCATGGGGACTGGCCCCGTGGGCTGTTCACAGACCAAGTTATATCTGAACAACAAGACACTGGGAGAAAGGAGGTGACAAAGCCAGGGTATGGAGCAAGGAGTTGGATGGATGTCACTGGAGGGGGCAAGCCAAGAAATCACCGCTGGAGAAGGGGTCAAGGTAAGAAGAAGGCAGATGTGGGTGTCAAGGTCAGCACAGGCAGTGATGGGACAGGGTAGATGCAGACCACCTTTATTCCAGGAGGGAATCTTGCAGTTACAGCTTCTTAAAAGAGGAGTCAAATATAGACACATGCCCTCCTGGGTAAAGCCAGGACTTTAAAATGTCAGGCTCCTATTAGTGGCTACTGCTTAGTTTCAATCCTTTCCTCCACTGAACTTGTCCCTGAAGAATACTTGTGAACACACAAGCATTTCTGCCTCCAAGGCTTTCTTTGACATACCTCCTGCACTTACGTCAGATACAGCTGATCCACTGTGGTCCTCTCACCTGCTTAGCCCAGATACTGTCTCAAATTTTTTCAGCTACGGAAGTCACCACAGTTTTGGGAACCTGTCATCCAGAATGCCCTCCCCTCCTCACCACATTTATTAACCCCAATAATTTATTTTACATGTTACAAGGTACCCCTTCCTTTAGGAACCATTCCCTGACCCTCAGGGATCTTGCCTACCTCTGAATGCCCATAAATCTCATTACCAGTCACTTTTATTTTAAATTTAGTCAGATATTTCCATGGAATAAAATTTAGATTCCAATTCAACCTTTTAAAAATCCAGTTTTTCATGTGTGCACATTACAGGGTTCTGATTCTATTGGAAGGTCCTCAAGGGCAGAGGGGGTGTCATATCTTTTTGTTTTCACTCCTGTGACCAATAATGTCCCAAATGGTTCTATACTCACAATAAATATCATTTGTATGTCTGCATGTATGCATGGTGTGTGTGTGTGTGTGTGTGTGTGTGTGTGCAAGCGCATGTATGTGTTGTAATCAAAGAAAGAATTCTAGCCTGGAGGAATCCTGTATTTTTAAATCAAAACTTCAGAATCCTCCATCCAAAGGTAAACCAAGAGACTGAGTCAGTTTCAGGGCTAAAAGCATATTTCTTCAAGTGCAACATAGGCTCGTAGCCTCCTGGACCCTGCATCACTCAGGAGAAGCAGGAGACCTCCATCTGGGTCCTTCCTAACAGCGTCATAAAATGGCCCAGTTGGAGGTTTCCTAGCAAGTCGGGGACATTGGATGATCTGCCTTAAGCATTTGTGTATAATACCTGCTGAAAGAAATAGTCTTGGAAAACAGCTTTACCTATAGAGAAAGGTGAAGATAAAAGCCGCGTCTTGTCAGTTTCCAGAATACAGAAGATGGTCATATTGCTCGTAACATCAGGGAATGAAACAGACAAGCTGATGGAAACGTCGTACAGTTCTGTGACATTATCTTGAGATTTCTGCATAACACCATCATACTCGATAGTTGAATTCTTGGTTCTTAGCAAAACACTCATCTTCTTAGGTTCTGGGTAACCGTGTATAGATGAGCAGGTCAAATTTATGTACACATTTTCTGTTATATTAGAAATTGGTACTATTTCAGGTTGACTGAAGTTAGCTGAAAGCAGAAGAGAGATAAAAAAAAATCAATCTAAGTTTAGATGTATCTAGGAGGGAATAGCAAATAACTGGGTACTTGATCTGGGGCTCATTGGGGCACACCTGGGAGCCTCAGGGTGTCTAAAATGTGACCCTCAGCCCAAGGTGAGTGCCACATAATGACTTCATGTTTATTTTTCAACAATAGAGTTTGCAGCCATGCTTACTTCCTGCTTATCCAAATCAAAGGGGTGCTCTCTAAGTGACAGGAGGGCTGTAATTGAGTCACCAAAGATTTACAATGAAGCCACTGTTTCCAGGGAGTAGAGTCTTTGGAAGGAGAAGTGGTCTGACTCTAGGGCCCAGGTGTCCCATGGGGCACATTCCAGCTCCCCAGACTAAGAGAGCAGGAAGGAATTGAGCTGGAGTCTCACCAGGAACTGACAGAGTTCATGGTGCTGAGATGCCCTGCGTCATATCTTTCAGAAACCCAAGCAGGATTGTGGTAAGTGAGTGGGTGGATATTTTGGAATTCGAAATTCAGAACACTGATTTTTGGCATGAGCATCAAAGTGTCTTCATAACATACTCTAAGAAGAAGGCCAAATCCAGCTATTTTAGGGAAAAATACATGATCTTAATAAACACAGTGTTTCTCTTGCCTTTGCCATTCTCACTTTTCTGGCTGTTCAGGATCACTGGCATGGAGTCCCTAGACCTGTGTCATGTGCCTTCTGTCAGAAAAAATCCCTTGTTCTTTTATAGTTACTAGGTAGTTTGCAGGTTCTACAAACTAATTTATAATTTAGTGTATTCTTACTAAAAGGTCTGTCATTTGCATGTCATCTTTATAAGTTTTGCTATATCAGTGTACTATTTGAGCAGTCTTCTTGGAGTCTATGTGGCCTGTAGAAGGTGAATTGCCAGACCGTGTTTAGCTTCATTAACAAGATCTGTGAAATCACATGTTGCGTAAGTTAGAGTTTTTCTAATATACATTAAAACAAATACAACATGGCTTTTCAAAATGCTTATCTGTGTCCCACCTAAAACATTTCCAATGGTACCTGACCACATTTTGAAAACACGGATTTAGCACTTGGTTAACTATTCCTAAAGCCCTGCAGCCTAGTTTAAATCACACAGGGTTCAAAGGGAGCAGCTCTCCATTCTATTTTTACTTTTGCTTCTGTTTTACTCTATGGTTTTAGAATAGGTGTTGATCTGCCTTTTCAAGTTTCATCAAAAATTAACCTGGATCCAGTAATACCACACCTGGGTATTTCCTCTAGAGAACTGAGAACTTATGTTCACACAAAAACCTGTACATGAACGTTTACAGCAGCCTTATTCATAAGAGCCCCAAACCAGAAACAACCCAATGTCTTTTACTGAGTTGAATGGATAAACAATAAAATGCTACTCAGCAATAAAAAGGGACAAGCTCGATATGTGCAACAACTTGGGTGAATCTCGAAGGCGCGCTAAACGAAAGAAGCCAGGCTTAAAAGGTTACATACTGTGTGGCTTCACTTATGTGACACTGTCAAAAAGACAAAACTATAGGATGCCCAACAAGGGTTATGAGTGCAGACAGGGTATGACTCTATGAAGGGACAGCCTGAGGGAAATTTTTAGGGTGATAGAAATGCTCTATGTCCTGTGGCGGTTACCTAAATCTATACAAGATCTATACAATCAGTAGAACAGTATATCAAAACAAAAAAAAATAATTTTACTGTGTGATAGTTTTAAAAAAATCTGTAGTGGCATTTAGGCCTTCCAAGGTCTCGTGAAGCAGAGGAGCTGGTTTGTAAGTTTGTGGGTTATGTTTGTTGGGTTTTTTTCCCTTCTGTCTACCAGGCTCATGGTTGTGGCAGCAAACAACTCATAAGCAACCTAGAGGAGGCTGAAGGGAAAACCCAAATGTGTCAGCTGTCCGCTTTGCTAGGAGCTCCAGGCAAAGATTTAGTAGGTGAAAAATCTTGGACCCAAGGAAAAAATGAATGTAAGACATCTGAGGCCTTTATGGTTATATAAACTTTGTGATGGCCAAATTATCCATGGTTTTTACTATAGGTAATTAGCCATATTATCTTTGTTCAATTAGCTCTATTTTTTCCCCAAAGCAGATTTTTACTGATCCTTCAGAAGCAGACTATAAAAAGTACAAAAGACTTTCAGTTCCCTACTCCCAGACTCTACACTCCCTTCAAATGCACTTCCCAGAAGTGGCTGTCCTCTGCCTTCTCTCTATAGACCCCCCTTTTCCCCTGGGCCCCTCAAGTCCCCCTCCAGTGTTTTTCTAACTCATTTGCAGTCTCATCTGAGAAGGCTAAGAATCTGAACACACACCATTGACCACATACCAAGCACTGACAGTTCAGAATTCATCTGGTGGATGCGAATCATTCCTGTGGGCTTTTTGTGATGGATGATACATTGATACAAGCCCTTGTCCTTGATCTGAAGATTGTGAAGTCTCAGGGTCCAACTGTCCGAATCAAAACTTGTGCGGCCCATATACTTGGAATGAACACTGTCAAATTTCTCTTTGCCTAAGTATACCTCATTCAGAACCAAGTTTTCCTGGTCCTGCCAAAATACTACTAGCTCACTCAGGCTTTGGTTTTGAGAGTTTGCAAATTGGCATGGCAGGTCTGCAGTCTCATTGAAATAAGCTTGAATCTTCAGAGGAGCAGCACCTAAAAAAGAAGGTTAAGGATTAGGGAGGGAGAAACAAGAGGAAAGGGGAAAAAACCTCCATTTCTCTTTATACAATACCCAGATACTATCTTATCAGTAATCATGCTGAAGAATAAGATATTAAGCTCTGGAACTGTGCACATCTGCTTGGCATCTGGAGATTAGGACCTTTGTCCTTGCTTCACCGCTGACTAAATGTGTGGCCTTGTACAAACTGCAATCTTTATGAGCCTCAGTTTCCTCATCTGATTAATGAAGTGGTTGACTAAATGTTCCAAGGGTCTTTCTAGTACTGTGGTTCTGTGAATTTAAATTGCAAGACAGGGAAAAACCAGTAGAGTTAGACAACCCATTCACCCACCAGTTACCTTCCTATAACCTTAATTTTAGTTTTCATCACTGTAGCTGTTACAGGTTCCATAACTTCTACACCATCACCAAAAGCTTTCCCCTCCCCTCCCATCCACATATTCCTTGGTCTGCTATGGTGAAAAGATTGCTGATAATGGTAATAAATTATAGCCCCCCTTTATTATACTTCATTAGTTGGGGAATCACGTTGAGTAACATCTTTGAAATTCAAATAGCTCCCTTTACAGAACTTCCCCTATGACTGCTGCTCCCATGGCCAGCACTTCCAAGGATGTCAAATGCTTTAGAAATGACTTCGATAGTGAACCAAGGCCTTTATTTTCAGTGACCTCTCTAAGCTCTTTCAGAGATCAGAAAGAGAACTGGGCAAATTTGATGGCTGTTTTCGGATTGTGGTGGTCAATGACCATTTAAGGCACATGAGTGAAATGCTGAAAATGAATCATAGATGGGCAGGTGAGGATGTGCTTTGGGAGTATTGGGGAAACCCCAGGCACCACAAACTTGCTGCTCCCAGTATGCACTGACCCTGGACAATTTTACAACCATAGACATCATGCTGGAAGGGTTGAGAGAAAGGCTTTAGTCCTTGAGGACACTTTGGGGTTTGTGGGAAGGATGTGGGCCACCCAACTACTTAAATGTGAATGATCACGGGGTTTGTGTAGGACCTTTTCTAGGTTACAGAATTACTTGAGACTTGGCAAAAAAAAAAAAAAAAAAAAAAAAAAAGTAAGCAGTGGTGGGTGAGAAGTGCGGGGGTGGAGAGTGGGAAGGCTGTTTCTTACTTAATATGAAGTTAGATGCCACCTTGGAGAGGAAGTTAGTGTAAGTTCTAAATAAAATTTCATCATTCAGGATTTATGTGAAGGCATGTTGACATTGAGGAGGAAAGGGAGGAGATGGGTTGATGAGAGAGATGAGAGGAGCTTCATTTGAAGAGTTCTAAGTGGGGGAGTAATTAAATTGATGTGGTTTCTCTTGAAAGAGGGAATAGAAGGACAGATAACAGTGACATGCACTTGTCAAACTAAACTGTGTACAGAGTGGCCCAGTGAGAACACATAATCAAGGGGTTGGTGGTGGTCTTGAACTCTTAGGGAAGCAGACAGCAGGCATCAGTGGGAGTTTGCACAAATATGAATCACTGCCTATTTCACTACACTCACTAGGACCCTGTGAAGTACTTGAGGTATAAAATGCACCACCTGTAGAGGATGCGTACCGGTATTGGAGGGAGGAAGGAAAATCTATATGCGTACCCTGACAGTGAAAGGGAGACCTAAGGAAGATTTAGTGTGTTTATGAATCACCTTACAAGGCAAACCTGAGGCTTCTGCATCTTCTTTGCTGAGCTCTTAATGTAATGCAAGAGTGCCCCCTACTGTAAAAGCTTCTAGCATTGTCTCTGAGGAAATACTGGTTTTAGTCTAAATTGTCATGTAATATAGGACAGATGACCTGATGGAGAAACCAAACACACAGTTAAAAATTCTGCCAATTAACAGTCAATGTTATGTTATTACTCAGCTGTCAGTTGTGCCTTCTGGACCTGGAAATGACTTCGTCTTTAGCTGCTTCTGTCTTCTTGATTTACATATATATATATATATATATATATATATTTTTTTTTTTTTTTTTTTCTGTAGAGCCTCACAGTATCTTCTTTCCTTCCCATCCATTCTGTCCACTCACAGACCAGTCTAACTCCGCTGACCCAGGCCCCTTCTCCCAAAGATTACAACGGCTTTCTCTTCCACTCATCGAGTGCTCCCTTCTTCACCTAGCAACTGAAAGTGTGATGTATGGACCAATGAGATTCACGTCACATGTGGGCTGGTCTGAAACACGGAATCTCTGGCCCCACCCAAGACTTACTGATTCAGAACCTCCATTTTAACAAGAGCTATAGTTTGAGCAGCTGTTGTAGAGAATCTCTGCCTCTGTCTCCAGAGTGGATCACAGAAAATGACATGAAAATTTTTTTTCCATCCATCCCTCCTCAGACTCCCTCTCCTCCCCATGGGGTGGAAATCACTTTGAAATCCATTCTGAGTGGAACTGAAAGTATTTTGCAATTTATACTCCATAGCACCTCACCAACCACTGGCTTCCATGATCTCACACAGAGCCAGGCATGGGGGATGCTGCTAATCCTTTCTCTGACTAAATGGGGAAAGTTTGGCTCAAGGTCTGTGATCACCAAATGACTTCAGGCCTTCCATTTTATGACCCCAGACCTCAAGCCACCTAGCAACTGGACTTACTGGGATTCCATAGGTGGGTAAGCATTGAGAATCTCTCCCTTCCCCAGCACTTGGGTAAGAGGAATGGTCGAAGTCTAGTTACAATGGGTTGCTATGATGTCAGGAACAAGTCGCTCAAGAATCCAGCTAGATGCCTTCGTAATCAGCTGAAGGAATTTGTTTCAAAGGATAATTAAGGACTTCCTGAGCAATACACTCTACTGTTGGAATGCCACTCAAAAACTGTAATTTGCTAGCCTTATGAAGTCTCTGACCCCACTGGGACTTCAGTGTTCCCTGGCTGCTATCCCCAAATGCATATCTTATATGTTTAAGAATTATCTCTTCTTTATGTTCCTATGCTTATCTGTACTAAAAAAAATTCCTTCTTTTACTAAACTTCCTCCAAAGTTTTACTTGGCCCTTTGAAAGCCTCATTCCATTACTTACTACAAGGAAACTCTCCCACATCTTTAACCCCTTCATTGACTGTTTCCCTGAGGTTATTATTTCAGTGAAATCTGGCTTCACCCAAAGGAAGCCACTTGCTCCAGCCCCAGCTACTGTTTGTTTTATCACACTTTGTGGGGACTTTGAGCAACACCTTCCCCTTTTGAGGTGTCTGACTTTCTCATTGCTTGTAGCTACTAAGTCACTACCACCTTGCTAAATGAGGATTTTGGCATTAGATGCAAGGTCTTGCTAACAATTTGGGTGACTTCTTCATGAATGAGTCTAACAACCTTGCCTCAAATTTCTTTGATCTTGTCAACTCCACAGGTCTACACCCGCAGACTATTTCAGCAGCTGCCCCCCACCTTCTTATGACATAACCCTGAAACTTTTCACCTGGAGCAGCTCAGTCCCTAGAATCTTAATCTCAATATACTAATCTCCGTCCACAACCTCCTATTCATCCAGGTTTTGCTCTTGCTTACTCCTTCTACAACTGTTGTTCAACTTAATCAAGACCTCAGCTTTATCCAGACCCTGTAGTGCAGTGTTTTCCACAAGAACTCTTAGTGATAATGGAAATGCTCTGTCTCTGTGCTGAACAATATGATAGCCACCAGCCCCTGTGGCTATTGAGCAATTGATACATAGCTAGTATGACTGAGAAGATGAATTTTTAATCTTATTTAATTTTAATTAATTGAAATTTAAGTAGTCACATATGGCTAGTGGTTATTATATTGGACAATGCAACAATAGTATGTCTTTGTAATTATTCCTTTCCACAACTTCAATAAACACACCCCTTTGTCTCTATAAAATTTACCCTGGGGACACTCTACTTTTGGTCTACATATCTGTTCTTACAACTGGGCAATTGAGCAGTTCTGGAGGAAATTATTCAGTTGTGCGGACTGGTGACATTCCAAATCTGCAGTGTCCTGTCTCACTTCACTCGGCCTCCAGGCTATTCACCTGGTTCACCTCCATTACTTCAAACACAAACCTTGTGCTACTGCTTTTAGTTTCTCTTTCCCTTGGAGTCAAACTCCCTGAAAGAGTAAGCAGCAATTGCTGCCTTTATTCCCAGCCTCCCACCCCCACCTCTCTACTGAAACTCCCTGACAAAGGTTGTTGGTGACTTCACACCATGGCCAAGGCTTGAGCTCTTTTCAGATCTCAACTCATTTGACCGCTGTGTCAAATGCAAGTGTTGGCATCTCTCCTCATTGAAATGCTCTATTCTTTCCCAATCTCTGATTTCCTTGTTAATTTTCTCAAATCACTCTTTAATTTTGGTAACCTTGAGTGCATGTTCTTGGTCTTCTTATTCTCCATACTTTCCTGGTTTTTCTCCTCTAGCCCCACGGATTCAACTGTCAAGTAAAAGCTAATAACTCCCAGGTGCTTATTGCCAGCCTATAACTTTCACTAGAGTTTCAGATACCTGTATTCAACTTCCTGCTGGATGTCTCTATCTAGATAGCAACAGGTACTGTCTTCCTCCCCTTCAGCCTTCCTCTACTCTATCTCAAGGAATGCTCCCCTGTCTGGGAATGACCAGACAACCCTCTTCTGTCTACAATCATCTAAATCATCTGTATAACCAAGATGAATCATTTGTGTACCCAAAATACCCAACAGAGGCTCTACACAAGTGTGTCTGAGGAGATCTAGAACTACTACAGCCAGAGCTGAACTCCAATATGTTAAGAAAAGGGTAGAGGAGACTAATGTAATTGTCTCCTAACTCATCTGCCTGCTCCGTCCTTGTCCCCGGGTCTAGTTTCTCAAGCCAAAATGATCCCTTAAAAATACAGCTCCAATCACATAATCCTCCTGTTCAGAAGCCTCTGATGCCTTCCACCAAACTGAAAAATATATCCAGATCCCTTCCCCTCACACTGAGAACTACATCCAAAGTCCTTCCCCTGGCCTTACAAGACCTCATGTAATTGGGTCCCCAGTACCTATCAGGCCTCTTTCCCCTGCTTACTCTCCCCAGCCACACTGCCTCCCTTGACATTCCTCCAAAAGATCACACACTCTGTCTCAAGTCCTCTTCTCATGTTGTTCCCTCTGTCCAGAAGGTTCTTCCTCCAGACAGTCTCATAGCTTCTCCTTCACTTCATGTAGGTCTTTCATTAAATGCTACCTCCCAGGGAGATTTCTCTAACCATTCTATTGAAGATAGCATCCTGGGCATTCTGTCCCTCATGCTGACTTATATTTATTGTGGTACTTATCATGACATGACATGACACGGTATGTTTGGTTATTGTCTGTCTCTCCTGAGATGTCTGGGTTCTGATTAAAAATCTATGTGTGATTTTTCAGACCTGACCACAGGCAATTAAAGAGGCTTAATCTGACAAGCCTTGCTGAGGAAGTTGCCCTTTCTACAGCAGACTTGGTGCACAGTCAGTGCATGGCAGTCTCTGAAGGGGGCTGCAATCAAGATCTCAGCCTCCCGCCAGTCATGCTTTTTCACATACTTGCAATCTTAGCCCAGGCACCCTCATTCTTAGGTCTCTTTATCTGAGGCTCTGGGGTGAGGTCTTCAGGCACCTCTGCTGAAGCCTCCTCATCATAGAGAAGACACTTTTCTCCACTCGGACTCAGTACCTAGCACTTTTCCACTCCCTGCCTTGAAGACACTGTTTTCCACTCTGACTCAGTACCTAGTATTTTTTCCACTCCTAGCCCTAAAGACACTATTCCCCACGCTAACTCAGTACTTTGTACTTTTCCACTCCTAGCCCTCTCACCTCATTTTCCTCATGAATTCTCCCCACCCTTGGATTCCTCCACCCCCAGGTCCATAAAACTGCTAGAGCCTTTCATTTGGGGCTTCTTCAATGGTAAGGCGACCCCCTAAGTCTGCACTGATTACCTGACCCTCGACTGGTATACTCACTCTATGTGGGGAAATGGAACAGGCAGAGTCTGCCCTTCCTCCCATTTTAGCCTCTTGATTATACCGTCGTAGTAAGAGATTAAAAGCTGAACTATTTTATTTTTGTTTTGCTGCTATAATTGGCTCCTCTGACACCTGACAACTCAGCTCTCTCTCTCCCAGCTCAGCTGAGCACCTGACATCTCCCATTAGAATAAGCTCCATGACAGCAGGGGCTTTGTCACTTTTCCTCACTGTGACATTTCCAGTACCTGCAATTGTCCCTTACAAATATGAAGCACTCAATAAGTAATTGTTGAAGAAAGGAAAGGAAAAATCTCAAGAATAACTAGGGAAATGCAATTTAAACCTCAGTGAGAAACCATTCTTTTTGCCCATTTGATTGGCACGTATTAAAAAAAATACTGGTAATACCCAGTGTCCGCGAGAGTGTTAGGAAAATGGGTCCTAACTGCTGAATTTACTGCTGGTAAAATTCTAAATTGGTACAACCTTTTTGGAGGACAGTTGGTAATATGTAAGAAAATTAATTATGGGCTTAAGCATTGACTTAGCAACTCAATTTCTTAAGAATTCATTCTACAAAAAGATACATGTGCACAAAATTAGAGGTACACAGGTATTCATTGTTTATAAGAACAATACACTGGAAATAAGTTAAATGGTTTAACAAATAATGATACATCCATACAAAGTAATGCCATGTAGCTGTGAAACAGAAAGCTATAGGGCAGTACACTATTATAACTAATAGCATGGATTCTGGACAGCGTGAGTTCAATCTCAGCTCAACTACTCACTGCCTGTGTTACCATAGGCAAATTACTTAACTTCCCTGTGTCTCAGTTTCCTCTTGCAAAAAGCAGGAACAATAATGGTACCTACCTCATAGGTTTGTTGTGAGGATTAAAGAAATGAATATTTGAGTTAGTGTTGGATCAAATACTGGCCTGTGGTAAGCATTAATTGATTTACTTGTTTTTGTTTTTTTATTTATTTTTAACATTATTAATGATAGAGAACAATGTCTATCGACATAAAATCAATAATTTATAGATAAATTTACTCAAAAAAAATTTAAATAAGTATATTTAGGATACTTAAAAAGATATTTGAAGTAACATCAAAAAGTACAAGAAATTATAAAACATAAAAATAGATAGGCCATGCCTATAATCCCAGGACTTTAAGAAGCTGAGAAGAGATAATCACTTAAAAGGAGTTCAAGACCAGCCTGGGCACAAAGCGAGACCCCGTCTCTAAAGCAAAACAAAACAACAACAAAAAAAACTAGCCAGGCATGGTGGCATGTACTTATAGTGCCAGCTATTCAGGTGGCTGAGGCAGAAACATCTCTTGAGCCTGGGAATTAGAGGCTGCAGTAAGCTTTGATAGCACCACTGCACTCCTCTAGCCTGGGTGACAGAGTTTTTTGCTTCCATAAATCTCAACAGTACTTCTGGGGACAAAATACCAGGTTACATATTTTGGAAATGGTATTAAAACTCCCCTCTCACAAAGGAAAAATAAGCCACAGTCTCTCAAACACTTGCTTCTTCCAAAAAAAATGTCTGCTTGCCTTGGGAGCCTCTCTGTTCCATACCAATTTCACTCTTGCTCCCAAACAACCCTATACACATCCTATTCAGTGACTGTCTTCCACTAAATCAACTTGTCTGATTGCTCATTTTCTCTGGAACCCACTAAAAGCCCTCCTGAAACAATCAACTAATTTGGGGGTAAGATACTCCCTACTAGATAACATATATCTATTTTGAAAAACACTGAAATGGTGGCTTAACATAAAGGGGTGAATCCAATAGAACTATTAGGCTCCATGACAATTCTTTGGGAATGATAGGTCTCGACTGTCTATTCACCTCCAGGTGATGGTTTTAATGAGGGCTATCAACAACAGCAGGAAATGGGAGTCAAAAGTAACCACCCACGCAGATATCTGCAAAAATCTTGGGAGGAAAACAGTGGACCTTTCCACAGGAATGAGCTTTTGAGCCAATCTTACATAAATCTTAAGGTGGGCCGGGCGCAGTGGCTCATGCCTGTCTGTAATCCCAGCACTTTGGGAGGTCGAGGCGGGCAGATCACCTGAGGTCAGGAGTTCGAGACTAGCATGGCCAACATGGTGAAACCCCGTCTCTACCAAAAATACAAAAATTATTTGTGTATTTTTGTATTTTGTGGTGGTAGGTGTAATCCCAGCTACTTGGGAGGCTGAGGCAAGAGAATCACTTGAACCTGGGAGGCGGGGGTTGCCGTGAGCCAAGATCATGCCATTGCACTTTAGCCTGGGCAACAGAGTGAGACTCCATCTCAAAAAAAAAAAAAAAAAATCTTAAAGTGAAGAAATATTCCAACTACCACTCCAGGTACATGAAATTAACTAGAGGTGTTGTTCAAGAGAAATGAGAAAGCCCTAGGACCCAGAGAACCCTCAGACAAAAAGAGAGCAGCTACCAAAACTCAAACTGGAAAGATACTTCCTCCTGATGTGGGAGCTACTGATTTTTCAAAAACCTCTCTGGCTCCAGCCTAAAAGTGTGATGGAGGTGCCAGGACAGTGGCAAACAGAGCTTGAAAGTTAGAAGTGCCTCTGCAGGTGGCACTAGGAATTCCTTTCGCTTTGTAAATACAAGGCACAAACTGTAACCTAATTCTGCAAGGCCACAGGTGCCCGTTTCAGTCTTAAACTCCCATCCAATTTTATCCTCAAGAGCAGGGGCAGCAAATACTACTGTGTCAAATTTCCATGACAGAGGACACAAAATATAGGGAGGGAAAAGTTAAACAGAATTGCTTCACTGTATTGCTATTTCTATGCCATGAAATGAATTATTCAGCTCTACATTTTGAGGGTGGATTATGTGGGCCAATTGCATCTCCTTTCTCCCTTTGGAAGCCGGCCCTGTGGCTAGGTCACTGTTCACCAGCCCAGTAAGCAGAGGTGTGCCCTGAGAAGAAAGAATTCAAATAGAATCTGATTTTTTGTTGCTTTTCATCGTGTGTGAATTACTGGCAATGTTATTTTCTGATCTGATGTCATGGGCTTTCTATTCCACTTTAAAATTGTACTGCCAAAAATATAGTCACTTATTCTCTCACCACCATAAAACTTAAACGGTTACCATTTGAGGTTGTTGCTTTCAATATTGGTAACTCTTTTCTCAGGAGCTAAGAAACTTCTAAGAAGTGTCAATGGCAAATCAAGGGCAAAAGTGACACCTGAACTCAGTTTTCATAGAGTGTCTCGGCTTTACTTTCTCACTTTCAGTGTGCGGAGTCAGAAAATTTGGTGGGAAATGGTGTTCCAGTTTAGTGTTTTCTGGAAATGTGTTTCCAGGGCATTTTTCTTCCTTCTCTCCCAGATCTTGAGAGCTGGGCTGGTCACTTTGATGAGAAGGGCTTGGGCCCAAGCTCTTGGGTCAACTGAGGTGTCAGCTGCAGGTGATGGGGAGGAGGCACTGGATGAACACGGATGAGGCAGAAGCTATATTATCCACCAAAGCTGTTCAGGCCCCATGGAAGAAGTCTTACCACTTATTCATGGTTTACCACAAGAGTTAGGAGAAGAGTCAAGTGAACGAATGCTAAATCTACATTGCTGGGTGTGAATCCAAGCTCTGCCACTTAGTAGCTCTGTCGATCTTGGGTAAATTACTTCATCTCTCTGGGCTTTAGTGTCCACATCTTAAAATGGGAAATAACAACAAGACCTAAAGCAGAGAGTTATTGTGAGGCTCAAATGAGTTAATATTTATGAGGTACTTAGAACAGTACCAGGCACAAAGTAAGGGATATATATATATATGCATATACTGTCATGTATTGCACAGCCACATTTCAGTCATATACAATGGTGGTCCCATAAGATTATAACACCATATTTTTACTGTATCTTTTCTATGCTTAGATATGTTCAGATACAAAAATACATACCATTGTGTTACAACACCTACAGTATTCAGCACAGTAACATGCTGTGCAGGCTTGTAGCCTAGGAGCAATAGGCTGTGCCAGGTAGCCTAAGTATGGAGCAGGCTATGCTATCTAGTTTTGTGTAAGGACACCCTATGATGATTATACAATGACAAAATCGCCTAATAATGTGTTTCTCAGAACGTACCCCTGTTGTTAAACGATTCATGACTGTGTGTATATATGCATTTATCAAATAAATAAAATAAGTCATGTGCGATGGCTCATGCATATAATTCTAGCACTTGGGGAGGCTGAGGTGGGAGAATTGCTTGAGCCCAGGTAATCGAGGCCACAGTGAGCTGTGACTGTGCCACTGTACTCCAGCCTGGGTGACAGAGAAAGATGCTGTCTCAAAAAATAAAATAAATAAAATAAATAAATAAGAAGTGGGATGAGAAGGGAATCTTACTGGATAATGTTCTCTAGAGTCTTCTTGCCTTGCTCTCTGACACACACATACCTCCCACATCCCCAGGAGCTAAGGTAGCAGGTCATGGGCCCTGGGGGTTGGAAGCTGCTGTTGTTACCTAAGTCAGTGATCAGCTGGCACATCTACAGACCTTGCACTCAAGGACTCCACAAGCTCAAGGTGCTAAGCAGAAAAACAGAAATCTGAAAAGGCTTATCCCAGCCAGCATGGATCTGAGGGACCATCTCTTTGTAGTTCCCTGACTCCTCATCATCCACAGCAGACATGGGGACAGTGGCCAAGGGCCTGGTGTGTGGCCATCTGGAGGAGGTGAACTCATGGCTGGTGGCCTGTGGGTGCTGTAGCCAAACTTCAGGCTCAGTTCACCTCCCTGTCTTAGTGGGGTGGCTTCCCTCTCAGGCCTGCAGGTGGAGACAAGGAGCAGCAGGAAGGGGTGGGCCAGGAGTAACTACGAGACACTGAGTCACAGGATACATGGCAGGGACCGCAGCCAACTCCTGTTTATAGATGAAGAAACTGAAACTCAAAGTGGAACTGTAAACAGGGAAGATCTGAGTTTTGTGAGGCTGGATGCTGTTAAAATTTTGAGGGGAGGTGGTGGATAGTTAAGAAAAAGAATGTAGAATTCAAATACAAAATGCCCCTGACTGCTAACACCACCAGACAGGAGAATGGCATGGAGGGAAAAGTTGCAGAGGAAGGAGACAGTGGTCATAACTTATTGTGGTTACAATATCTTACTTATTCAAATTTTACCAAAGCATAAGACAGGTGACCACACTGCTAGGGGGCCCTTCACAGGGTCTTGAGGGGGATTTAGAAAGGGTTGTGCAAATGGAGGGCTCTGAAGCTTCAGCTTCATTGGCTCCACTATAAATCAGCTGACACAATTAGCTGAACATCCATAGTTGTCAGGAAGCCGTGGCAACCATGAGGTATGTGCATGGGCTGTAGGGAAGGGAGTGAGAGAGGGTAGGGAAGTCAGGGACGTGAAAGCCAGTGCTCCGAATGAAGGGAGACTTTTGGAATTCTGTCAGTTGTTTCCTAGGAGCCTGAGAAAGACAGAAACAGGGTCAGAGAAGACCAGAAGAGAATATGTGTGGAACAAAAGAGTCAAGTCTCAGGGGCCTCAGTGCAGCAGCCTTCCCCCATCCCCATGGGATGGGCCAGGCTACCCTACTCTGAGCATCTAGGCTCACTGATGTGAGACTGCAGAGGAGGAAGAAGCACACGGGGGGGAGAGCTCCATCCCAGCTGCCTGCCATCAGCTGCTCTCAATCATAACACTTCCTTCTTCTCCAGGAAAGTCTTTTTTGCATGTGGTCTTGTACAATGCTCAGTAGAAAGTGAGTAAAACCCACCAAGTCTCAGGCCTGGGCTTGCTGTGGTCAGACTCATCAGGAGACAGTAGGATTCCAGGACTTAACAAAGCTGAAAGGTTCTTACCAGAGAGCAGGAAGGCCATCACAAAGAGAATGTTACTCAGTCCCATAGTGCTAGAGTCGAGAAAAAAAAAGGTAAAACTTGATTAGAAAAGGAAACTGAAAACCGATGTTCACCAAAACATGACCTGGACGTGGAGTTTGGGATTCACTTGGGTTCTCGGGTGTGCAGAGACAATGCCAGGGCTTCATCAAAGCCATTTCCTTTTGCTCTTAGCTCCATCGATAGGTCACATTTCCCAGCCTCCCCTGCAGTTATACAGGCCATGAGACTGGCTTCTAGCCAATGGAATTGTGGGCAGAAAAGATGTTTCTTCCAGATCTGGCTGCTAAAGTCTCTTCTCTTTCCTCCCTCTCCTGCCTTCTTAGCAGCAGGGGATCCAGAGGAAATGTCCAAGGGCCTAGAAAATCGCAAAGTCTCACAATGGAAGAGATCTGGTTTGCTTAATAAACTAATAAAGCAGCTCTCTTTACACCTCTCCCACAACTGATCTACAATGGATTGTGATATTGGCAAAAAATAAAATTTGAGGGATTGATTATTGCAGTAGCTAGTATTATTTATCTTGACCAACATAACAGGCATGATGGGGGCAATCGGTTAGTATTGCATTTACGCTTAGAAATCTGCCTTCCTTTTGTTTTCCTGTGGTTCTCAAACTTGAATGTGAGTAAAAATCACCTGGAGAGTTTCCTGGGCCTCAACCACAGAAAGTCTGGCTTAGTAAGTTGGGATGAAACCCATGAATTTTTATGTTTAACAACATAAGGTGATGACAATGCTGCCGGCCTAAGGACCACGCTTTGAGAGCAATTCACTTAATCTACATGATGAAGCCAAGAAAAAGGATATGCTTTGCTTTATAACCTCTATCTTCTTTCTTCCTCTCCCTCCTCCCTCCTTCACTACCCACGCACTTACCCTAACTAGCACCAAAAAGGCTGCTTAGTGGCTTATAAGGAAGCAAAGAATAAGGAGAGGTGACCAACATTAGATGCGATCAGGCACATTCAGGATGGTATGGCCATACACAGGAAAGATGACCAACATGAGAAACAGGTGGAAAAGCAAACCAAATACAGGAATATGATACAGAGCCAAGGACAAGGCCAGTGCTAAATGCTTGCCCTAGAAATCTGCCCAATTTGCACTGAGGGGGACATAAATTTGGCTTATAGCTTTTTAACAGCCAATGTAAAAAGGAAAACCTAACCAGTGAATTAATTCACAGGTCTGTCCACTAAATTCATAGGTCTGTTGATAAAAACAAATCAATTCTTTCCAGGAAAAGATGCACAACTATTCTTGATCGAATAGCAGAAATGTATGCCCCAGACGGTGTTGTCTAGAAGCCATATGTGTTTCTTTCCTCTGCTCTCATAGCACCCAGTGCAGGACATTGGGCTAGAAGTGTCTGTTATGTTTTTTTTCCTTCTAGACTATACCTTTTCTTTTTTTAATAAATATTTTTGAATAGATCATGGTACTAAATGTAGATGGTACTAAATTTGAAAGATAAAGGTGATAAATAGTGGAAAGCAAGTCTGCCTCCCAGCCTTGTCCCTTAGCTGTCTAGTTTTCTTCCACAGAGGTAACAGGGGTGATCACTGTTACATGTTACCAGTTTCTTGCCTCTACTTAAAGTTACTTTAGACAAAACTAAACAAAAACATTGACCCATATTCTGTTTTCTTTTTATTTTTAAGCACAAATGGTAGCATACTATGTACGGTTTTGCACACATATGACTACCTTGGAGATTATTCTGTATCAGCATGTAACGAGTATCCTCATGCTAAAAGTTGCATATTAGTCTATTGTATTCTATTGGATGACAATAATATATATATATTTCCAGACCACTAGTGATGGATACTTAACGTTGTTTCCAATCTTTTGTTGCAATGGAAAACCTTGATTATATGCCATATCACACAGGTGGGAGTAAGCTATATTCCTAGAAGCAGAATCGTTTGACCAAAGGGTTGAAGAATAGTTGCAAATTGTTCTCCCCTGAGATTATACGTTTATGCTCTGATCAACACAAGAGTGCTTATTTTCATGTACCTTTTGCCAACATGTTTTCTAATTTGTGATCTTTAGCAATAGGAAATGGTGAAATTACATCTCATAAGTTTTAGAAATCTTTGTTATTTAGAAATCTTTATTAGTTTATGAGATTATACGTTTATGCTCTGATCAACACAAGAGTGCTTATTTTCATGTACCTTTTGCCAACGTGTTTTCTAATTTGTGATCTTTAGCAATAGGAAACGGTGAAATTAGATCTCATAAGTTTTAGAAATCTTTATTAGTTGTGGCATAATACACATAAAATTTGCCATCTTCACCTTTTGAGTGTACAGTGGTATGAAATACATTCACATTGTTGTACAGTCATCACTACATCCATCTTCAGAACTCTTTCATCTTGCAAAACTAAGCCTCTATACCTATTAAACAATAACTCTTCTTTCTCTCCTCCTCTCAGCTCTTGCCAACCACCATTCCACCTTCTGTTTCCATGAATTTGACTGCTTAGGGTATAAGTAAACTCATACAGTATTTGTCTTTTTGTGACTGGCTTATTTCACTTAGTATAATGTATTCAAGGGCCATCCACATTGTAGCATGTGTTTGAATTTCCTTTCTTTCTAAGACTAAATGATATTCCACTGTATGTACATACTACATTTTGTTTATCCATTCATTTTTGATGGACATTTGAGTTGCTTCCACCTTTTGGCTATTGTGCATAATGCTGGTATGAACAAGGCTGTATGAATATCTCTTTAAGACTCTGCTTTCAGTTCTTTTGGGTATATACCCAGAAGGGGAATTGCTAGATCATGTGGTCATTCTATTTTTAATTTTCTGAGGAACTGCTACACTATTTTCCATAGCAGCGACATCACTTTACATTCCCATCGACAACTGGAACAAGAGCTCCAATTTCTCCACATCCTTGCCAACACTTGTTCAATTCTCATATTCTGTGATAAGTAGGTTGCTGTTGGTGATTTAGTATGAGGAAGCTCACAGGAATCAGACAGAGAACTCTGTTCCCATACTCTGCGCTTGTGTGGTGTCAGCTTTGGCTCAATAGGTAATGCCCAAACTCTGAAATCTATTGGCTGGAAGGGAGGGAGACAGCAATCAGGAACCAGCTGTTCAGCTCTTACATGGAACACCTACTGTGTATTTCAGCAACTGAAAATATTTGCAACTAGTCACAAAGTATTAATTTTCTATGTATAAAAGAGCTTCTATAAATCAATAAGAAAAAGGCCAAAGACCCAAACTAAAAGCGGGCAAAAGAAATGTACAGATAGTATGTGGAACTGGAAATAACTATCTCATACATTTGAAAAGATGGTCATACTCAAAATAAAAGAAATTCAATATAAAATGACAGTGAGAACAACTTCCTACTCATTAGGCTGGCTACTACAAAAAAAAAAAAAAAAAAAAGAGGGCCCTTTGAATCTGAACTCCCACCTAATATGGGAATCGCTCATGGTTTGCAAACCAAAAAACCATTATGTTCGACCTAACCAAAGACAATTTTTCTTCTGGGGTGGCATGACAAACAGGGACACAAATCAAATTATATTTTACTATAAATTTAACAAATCACCTTTCATTCAAATAATTACATGAAATCAGTATTGCTCTAAGGAATCTTGGACAAATGGCCCCTGTAATTCACACAGTGGGGAGAAGCACTGACCCTGACAAGGAATCAGTACCATTTTTGATTTCTCAGTTTGGAAACTCTCTCTTCCCCTGGGTTAGAAGCTGCTTCTCCTTACCTTCCTTCCGTCAATACTAGTTTTGTCCTCTGAAGCTATCCAGAGTAAGCCTAACACACTTCTGCCAAAGTCTGTCAAGGATTTGGTGACAGCAAACACATCTCTCCTCAAAATCCTGGCCTGGCCCAGGAGTAACAATCCTTCCAGTAAGCTTCACTAATGTTAATTTGGAGACCACACACCATCCTAGAAAACACTCTGGACACTTAGTTTATCAGTGACCCTGCTGTAATAGGATGTTAAAATACTCAAGATTGATATGATTTTCTTTCATGAAGTACAAGTGCCCCATATGAAGAATTTCTCTCCATTCTAGCCATGATGTGTGATGTGTGTGTGCGAGGGTGTGGGCTGGGTTAGGAAGCCAGTTTCTCCAATGTCATTGGCCGTGAAGAAGTGTAGAAATGTCCCCACTCCCTCAGGAATGAACCTCCAACCACAACCAGAAGCCATAACTTTCTCCAGTGGGCCTGTAAAGTGGAAACTCTTGCCTTCGGAGGGAGAGAGCAAAAAGGGGAATGGAAGAGGAAAGAACCTAAGAATTTACCGGGGGGATTCTCTGAGAGGAGATTTCTGTCAGCTAAGCACAGAATAAGGTCTATGAATAAGGTGGGTGAACTAGTCAGAAATCTAAAAAGAGGAGCCTCCATGTAAATGGAGGTTCACTCCAGAAACCAAGAAGAGCACCTGCCGTAATCCACTTTCACTTACTTTGTATGTCTGGCCCATCAGAGAACATGAATAAGAGTTGGCTAAATGATTAATCATATTATTACTGCTCACAACAGGGTGAGATTATTTGTCCCCATGTTACAGATGAAGGAATGGAGTCTCAGAGAGGTCACAGTACTTGCCCTAGGCTGCCCAGCTAGTAAATGGTACAGCTGAGATTTAAACCCATGCAGCCTGTGTTTCTTTCACACACTGGTGTAGCACGTTTAAAAATGCCAACCAGTTTTTGCTCTGCCACAGGAGCCAGTGGAAAGGACTCTGATGTTATCTAGCCTCTGAGACAGACGGGAGCAGCACAGCCTAGGGCCAGGTGTGATGGTGGCTCCTGGAATCGAGAGGACTCTCAGAGAGACAGACTGGGGTGGGAGAAGAAGGGGCCCCAAAGTATCCCTTTGCATCAAGAGGGTTTCTGCCCTGAGCTGCTGTTCATTCTGCAAACACTGCTCGAATACCCACTGTGTGCCAGGTACAGAGAGTACTTCTCCACTTTAACCTGGACAGGCACCAGCTTCCCAGCGTGGATTTAGGCTTCAGGTGCACACTACTGTGGACCATCTAAGCCATATCTAGAAGAGCTCTGGGGAAATATGACTACTTGGGCAGAAAAGGAAGGAACTAAGAAGGGGTATCTTTGTATCTGAGGTCTGAAGGAGCATGTGGGCTCTCATTCAGGCAAAGGGCAGGATGAGGGAGGTGGAATGGCAGCAGCCAGTAATGGGGTGGGACAGGGGAGTGCAGAGAGGATGAAACAGGAAGTGAGAGGAGGGGTCCACAGTAGATGTTGGAGAGCAACAAAGAAAAAGACTTATTTCACAACTTTGTGTAGAATGTTAGTGGTAACCGGAGTATCAGGAAAAATGCTGAGAAGTTTGCTGGTGCCTCAGAAGGTTATTTATTGAGGTAGTCTTTCAGGCAAACATTTGCTACATCTACTCAGTGTCAGACTTGTTCTAGAGATTGAGGGGTTGTAAAGACATGTAGGCCTTGGTCCCCCACCTGGCACTAAAGAGAAGAAAAAGTGTCCACAAATAACTACAATGCAGGCTCCAGGGCCAGTGTGGAAGGTGGTAGGTAGTCCTTGGCTTCTTGTGAGGTATACAAGAGTTCTTACCCTGAGCAAAGCAGGGGACACCACAGTCTCTGTGGAGGAAGGATTAGGTCGGCCTCAGCCCAGCAGCACTCAGGGCCCAGCTCATTGCCTTCTGCCGATTCATACTTGTGGTTGGATAAGCCAGGCCTGCTGGACTGGCACGTCACCAGCTCGCTGAGAGGAGAGTAGAGCTCCAGTGCAACATCAGCTCCCTGGGGCCTTGGTTTGCCTCTGGGTGTGACATGCTGCACAGCGTTACTTCTCAGAGCACCAGGACCTGAAGTTTCATCCTCTGCATTCCGCTGTCCCACCCCATTACTGGCTGCTGCCACCCCACCTCCCCTCATCCTGCCCTTTGCCTGAACAAGAGCCCACACGCTCCTTCAGACCTCAGACACAAAGATACCTCTTCTTAGTTCCTTCCTTTTCTGCCCAAGTAGTCATATTTCCCCAGAGCTCTTCTAGGTGTGGCTTAGACGGTACACAGTAGTGTGCACCTGAAGCCTAAACCCACGCTGGGAAGCTGGTGCCTGTCCAGATTACAGCAGAGAAGAACTCTCTGTACCTGGCACACAGTGGGTATTCGAGCAGTGTTTGCAGAATGAACAGCAGCTCAGGGCAGAAACCCTCTTGAGCAGCTCAGGGCAGAAACCCTCTTTGAGATACTGGGAAGAGTAAGATAGGCTTATTTCCTTCTTTATAAAGTTTCTGAACTACAAAATAAGAAGGTTACTGGGAATCAAATATATTTGAATTTTAGCAAGGCTTCTGACAGAGTATCTTATGATATACGTGACAGCAATATGGAGAAATGTAGGATTAATATTGATACAGTTATTACTCATTCATTCATTTGCTATTGGTTCATTCATTCATTCGTTTCTTCCACAAATATTTATTGAACCAAGCATTGTGTTTGGTGCTAGGAATATAATGAGCAAAACCAGAAACAGTTCCTCTTCACGTGGTTGCCTACAGTTTAGTAGAAAAGCAAGATAGTGATCAAGTAATCATACAGAGAAATGTAAAACTAGCTATGACAAGTGCTACAAAAGAGAGGTTCATGGTACTTTGAGAGCCCATAACAGGACCAGCCTAAACTGAGATCTGAAGAATGATATAATAGATTAAAAAGAAACACATATCCTTGGCTACTCCTCCTCCCATGAAGAGGTAGAGTTGGATCTCCTCTCTTTGAATCTGGGCTAGCCTGAGTGACCTGTTTGACCATAGAATACAGTACAAGGGATATTCTGGGACTTCGAGAGCTTGGTCATAAGAAGCCTCACAGCTTCTACCTGTCTCTCTGGGAGTACCTTATCTGGAGTTCTGAGCCACCACGTAAGATGTCCCACTACCCCGAGACCATCATGCTGGAGAGGACTGTATAGCTGTTTGGGTCAATGGTCCCAGCTGAGCCTTCCACCTATCCCTGCCAAGCCACCAGACATATGAATAAAATCTTGGATCTTCTAGATCAGGGGTCAGCAAACTACAGCCTGTAGGCCAAATCTGGCTACCACCTATTTTTATTAATAGTTGTACTGGAACACTGCTATGTCTATTGTAAATTATTATCTATGGCTGCTTTTGCAGTGCAATGGAAGAGTTGAACAGCTATGATGGAGACTGCATGGCCTGCAAAGCTGAAAACATTTTCTATGTGGCCTTTCATAGAAAAAACTGCTTGACTCCTGCTCTAGATCAGCACTGTCCAGTAAGAATATAAAACAGGCCAGGTGTGGTGGCTCATGCTTGTAATCCCAGCACTTTGGGAGGCCGAGGTGGGCAGATTACCTGAGGTCAGGAGTTTGAGACCAGCCTGGCCATTATGGGGAAACCCCGTCTCTACTAAAAATACAAAAATTAGCTGGGCATAGTGGCGGGCACCTGTAATTTCAGCTACTCAGGAGGCTGAGGCAGGAGAATCACTTGAACCTGGGAGGCAGAGCTTGCGATGAGCAGAGATCTCGCCACTGCACTCCAGCCTGGGCAACAGAGTAAGACTCCATCTCAGAAAAAAAGAATACAATACAAGCCACAATTACAAGCCACAGATATAATTTGAAAACTTGTAGTAGTCACATTAAAGAAATTAAAAAGAAATAGGTGACATTAATTTTAATGACATTTTATGTTATCTGATGTATGTGAAATATTATAATCTCAACATGTAATCAGAATACAAATTATTAACGAATATTTTAAATTTTTTGGTGGCACCAAATCTTCAATAATCATGTGGGTGTTTTATAGTTATAGCACATCTCAATTAGGACTGGCTGCATTTCAGGTAACCAGTGGCTACCAAACTGGACAGTGCATCTCCAGATCAGCCCATCCATCAGCTTAATAACATCAGGTGATATCAATTGATGGCATGAGGAACAGAAAAATCAGCCAAGGCCCGCTCAAATTCCTGACCCCAAACATTGTGAGAGAGGGTAAAGGATTCATTGTTCTAAGCTGCTAAGTTTGGAGACAGTTTGTAACATACCAAGAGGCAAACAGAACAGATTGAATAGGTAGGTGCTAAGTAGGTGAAGGGCTTGGGAGTTGACAGGAAGAGTTCTCGGCAAAGGGAACAGCATATGCAAAGGCGCTGAGGCAGGAGGGCACGTGAGAGAAGGTACGAGGAGGTCCCTGTGGCCAAAATGAAGAGACAGGTGAAAGACAAGGCTGAAGAGGTGAGCAGGGGCCAGATCACACGTGTGTTATTGGTCAGTTAAAGATTTCAGTCTTTATATGTGAACCACCAAAGAAATTAGAGCTGAGACTGATATCATCAGATTTGCATTTTGAAAAGATGACCATGGTTTCTGTGTAGCAAATGGATGATAGGGAAGCCAGGACAGATGCAGGAAGACCAATCAGTTGGCTACTGCAATTGTTTGAGTGAAAGAAGATGGCTGTTTGGTCTGGGATAGTAGCAGGTGAAGTAAGGGAAAAGTGGATAGATCAAGAAATATTTAGAATTATAATTAACAGGATATGGTGATAGATCAATATGGGAAATGAGGACAAAGTATTGTTTGATTTATTCATTTATTCATTTGACTCAGCAACTGCATCATTCTTGTCTAAAAGACTGATCCCACAGTGGATGCTACAAGACTCTGTGTTTCACTATTTCACTTTTATGTATTTAGTAAAACTACTAATAAAAGCAACAGAAATCAAACTTATGCTGTGCAGATGGCACAAAATGAGACAGATAGCTCAAAAATGAGTTAGCTGAATTAACATTCATAAAGCCTGAAAAGAGAGACTAATACTAACATGATGAATCTCCTGAGGGTAAGTGTAAGAATCTGTACTTCAGTTTTGAAATAACAACTGTGTAAGAGGAAGAAGTGGACACAGGAGAAATAGTCTATCCATAGTAAACATAAAAATCACATAAGTGTTAGTGTGGTATGGCTAAGTAAATTTCATCCAATCCTAGTGTAGGATTCATTCACTGAACTCTGTGCTAATCAGACCACATCGCTTGTGGTATCACGTTCTGTGAGGTCAGTTATACTTGAATGACACTGACAAATTCGGTTTATCAAGGGGAAGGGCAGCAAGGTTCACTAGTGAATAATGAAATTATGTCAAATGAAGAACAACTAAAAGGACTAGGGTAATGAACCTGAAGAAGAAAAGATTGCAAGTATATGCTGGGTGTCTGCAAATATGTAAGGGCCCTTCCATGGGAGGATACATACACTGTTGCTGAAGGGCAAGTAGTTCCAATAACTAAAAGTTACAGGGAGCCAGATTTCAGTTCCAGATGATGGAAAACTTTTAATAGAGAGCTACAAGCAATGACTGGATTTTCTTGTGAGGTGATAAGCTCCCTGTCACAAGTACTATTCAAACCAAAGTGGGGGTGATAACACAGAAGAGACATTTTAGGAGCGAATCTCGAATTGAGTAAGTGGTTGAACTCATAACTTTTCAGTTCACCTCTAAGATTCTCATTACATTTCCAGGAATAAGGAGAAATAAAGGAGAACATCTGGACACTCCATCGCTCTCACCCTGAGTCAGTTCCTCTCATTTTTAACACAGTAGACAATATGGTACATTTAAAGGATCCCTGTCTGGGTAGAGTCTGCTGAGCTGGCTACAAGTGATCCAGGGCTTCAGAAGACATGGAGAACAGCAAGCACTCCTACAGCTTGGAAGGGTGGTGTAAAGGTGGTAATAGTTGAGCTGAGCTTTGACAGGTGAGTCAGACTTGGTCTCAGAACTGTACCCTGCATGTTAGAACTTGCACGAGTTGATTTCTGTTATAGCAGATGAAGTTCCACCCTGTATTGGTTTTAAGTAATTAAGTCCACTCATTCTGATACTCCCACTTATGAGGGCTGTTAGCCTGGGCCACTGCACTGTTTAACAGTCTTCCTCTGAGAAACGCTGTCTTCCTTTAACAATAACAATGGTTAATTTCCTAGAACTCAACGTGGTAGCTATCGTCCTCTGTCCTTGAAAGGCTTTGCAAGCTTCCAATAATTCTTCCCTAGACAGATTCCTGATAATATATAACCCTGCATCCGAGGCATCTGTTTAATGGGTCTCAAAGAACTGATGCTTCCGAAAGAACCACTTTTTAGTGTTGATTGAGTTTCACTGGATAAATATTTCAGCCATATTTTTGATACACACATAACATCAAGTATAACCTTTTTGATGCTTTTCATTGGTATATATTCTTTGACGACTTTCTGAGACACAATCAAATAACAGTTTTTAAGGACACATGGAAATGGAGGAGTGACCATGGAATTTTTACAGGACAGTAAGAAAAGCTGACTGGCCTGCAGCAGAGGTTGTCTTTGGATAAATAATGGGAGATTAGTTTCTATAAGTAAAGCAAGGAGCAAGATAGCCTAATAGGGCATGGAAAGTCAAATAAGGAATTCATATTTAATTTAACAGAAAATTGGAAGTTTGGAATTAATAGTTTGGGAGCAGAAAAATGGTGTAATGACAGCTTAAAGAAAATAAGCCTGTCAAGAGGTGACGGCTGGTATCAGGGTGATCAAGAAAGCCAGTATTACAGGCTCGTCGACTTGAGATGGTGAGCCTGAAGCAGTAAAGAGGCAGTCGGCATGATGAGGAAGGGATGGGTGTGAGGGCTGCCTCGATGGAACATGAACACTTCTTGGTGTCTGGTGGACAGAGGACATGACTGGAGGTGGAGACGTCCTCCATCCTGAGCTCTGTTTTCCTCAAGCTCCCACCAGCCATGTCTCCTTCTAGCTTAGGCTGGATTTTATGTCTGACTTGGTTTCCAGTCTCTCCTTGGAGCAAATCCCCCTTATTCCCCATTTGTGGAGATTTTTCTGACCGAATGCTTGTTTTCTTTCGTGAGTTGTTCTTTCTGAAACTCATTTGAGAGCACAGTGTTTCCATACAGACATGAGGAGAGCTGCATCAAGGATGAGTAGGTGCAGAGAAGAAATGTCTTCGCAGATTTAGAAGGAGCAGAGGGTGCTTTTATCCACCTTCCAATATTGTAGGCAACTGAAATATTAAAATGAAGAATGCGTTCCCCTCACTGGCCTAGAAGAAGGAGCATAGCATGGCGATAGCATTTAGCTTTTCCGGTCCCCCAAGAGCAAATCTGTGTACAAGACACGCCTAGTTCTCCGAGTTGTATCTAGAATCGAAACTTTCTGAATCAAGGCACACCCTATTTCAAACTATTGATGAATTTGAGAACGATTTTTTTTCCTTTTTGCCAAAAAGGTAAGGATCATGCAAAGTTTCACAGTGCTTCTTCTAGTCTGTGCTCATCCACTCGAGGGCTCTGACTGTCAGGTATGAGGCTCATAGAACTCACTAAAAGGGAGCCATGCCCATCCTGGTCCCCTAAGGTAGCCTGATTCTTGTTTTCTCAGAAACAGCATCATGGTCAAAGAGAGGAAGCCAACATTTCAGGGCCACAACTTGAGGGGCCTTCTCTCCCCATACTGTGCACCAGTCCTACCCTGCTGCTTGGAATTCCCACATTACTCATTCCTTGGGCTAAGGCATTTTTTGAAAGCCCCTGTTAAAATGCAAATGCTAGCTGGAAGGAAGAGGGTTTTTTTTGTTTGTTTTTAAGCCATTAGGCATTAGGTTCAAGTTAATTTATCTAAAAAGGACATGGAACTTAGAAAGGAATCATATCCGTCCATGAATAAAGGAGGACCGATAGGGAACGAGATGCTTCCCGGTGTTGAGGTCTCAGGGCCGTGATGGGGAGGTGGAAAGTGCTGAAGACACACTTTTCTTCCTCCACACATATTCAAAATGGCGCCTATTTCCCAAACCTCAGCCCGAGTGTAAGCCAATGTACAGTTCGGAAACAGCACTGTATAGGAGAAGAGAGGAGAGATAAGGGCCAGTAAAGGGCTGTGTGCCCAGCCTATGGCCCTGTCCTTTCTCCCACCCCACAAATACTCTTACCTGCCTGGCCATGAAAGGTGGATTGCCAGCACTAGAATGGACTGTGGAAAAATGCCCAGGGACCTCTCTGCCACTCTCTGTGCTTGCTTTTGCTCTAGTTTTATCTCTTTGAAGCTTCAATCCCCTGGCCTAGGGACCCCTAACCTCAACTCCCACCTCAGTCTGATTTTTGAAACATGGTATTTCAACCTTGATTTTTCTGCTGAAGAATCTGGCTTGGCTTATCTCTTCATCTTTCTCATGTTTTCTCCCTACCTGCCCTAGCCTCAACTCCATAAAATCCCATCCTCACCCCCACCCAGGAAGAGGCATATGAAATTCAAGAAGAATAGACTAACCAAAATATCAAATGCAAAGGCTTGGTAATTAATCAGCTGATATAGTCACATAGAACAATTTCCTTCCCTTTAAAGCACTATTGCTATGTAGTCATGTTTAGTGTGATTAAATTAATGTGATTTCCCCACTAGGCTAGAAAACAAGAGTGCAGCTTTTCCTTATGTCTTTTATGCTACCTGTTAAGTCCCTAGTACCTGGAACATAGCAAGCACTTAATAACTATATTAGGAATAAATAAATAGAGATTTATAAAAGCTTCCATTATACACAGGATAGCTCACATAAATAATATTAACGGTATCTGCAGCAGCAGACATAACACGAACTGCAAGTCTGAGCACATAAATAGACGCATTTTAGTACAGGGCCTTAGTCCCAAGATTGAGGTTACATGTAAGATAAACAGTTCATTTCCTTCATTATTACAGTTTAAGGGGAGTAGGAAGTTCCCTTTGTCAAAAACTATTTTCACCTGGCTCTCCAGAACCTTAAATTGCTATTAATAGAGATGATATTTTAAGCCCGTTTGCAAATGCAAATGCAAATAGGTTCACCGTATGTGAAACACATTATGTTCAATCACTTGCTTGGGCTCTTTTTTGACCCAAGAATATTTCTTTTTAAATTAGATCTTGGTCTCTGGTGCCAAGTGGGGCTAATATTGGGATGGGGCACTTGGATGGGAAGAAATATTGGGGAAGGGTCTCTGGACCAGAGAAGGGAAAGGTCAAACAGGAAAGCCAAGTAAGTCCATTGCAGAGAGGCTGCAAGAGGAGGAAATCCCCCTTCTCTGGATTTCCCACTGGCACAGGGGACTCAGGCGAGGCGAGCTGACATCTTTGGACTGCTTCTTCTAGAGCAGAGGCTGCTCGGAGACCCCAGCACCCCAAAGCCAAGAACAGCTGCCAATTATTTGGTAAGTGGCACCTTCTATTTCCTGCCTATTTTGTCTCTTAGCTCACGAAAAACAGATGAAGGGATCTGGCAGGAAGAGACAGATTTTTGTAATATCCCACCTCCAATGTAGTCAATCTGAGAAGCAAACCTGATGGTCAGAGGTTTTAAGCATGCTCTCTGCAATCCCTTTTACTCATTCTCTGGCCGGCCATTAGCACATCAGCATTTCTGCCCCAGATGCAGCTTGCAGCTTTATCTCATGCCACTCCCTAGGCGTCTGAGCCTCCACAAACATACCTGTCACAAATGCCTGTCCACTGTAGCTCCAAAAAGAGACCAGATGCATAAGCACAGCAGCATTCCCAAGGAACACAGAAGCAAGGTGGTAAGAATAAACCAAAAGGAGTATTTGCGAGCTCCCCGTACCTCCTAAGGCTCCTTGTAGAGAGAGAAATAATGCCAGGACTGACGGTAGAACTCAAATACAGAAAGGGGAACTGACTAGAGAAACAACACCACAGCCAGGGACAGTGCTCTTGCTTGGTTCCAAATAACTTCTGCCGGCAGGTGGGCATTTCCACTGATGAGAATGACTACAAACGTACCCTCGGAGCATGAGTGTAAAGCCCTGGGAAACCCCCAAAGGGAGCCCCATCCACAAACATGACAAAGACACCTTCCCTGACAGATTCCCAGAGATCCCAGAGTACACACAGCCTTTGAAGCCCATAGATGAAAATGCAGTTCAGTTCAACAAATGTGGGCAACCATGTGACAGGCACTGAGCTCCACGGGGCTTCAGAAGACAGCCTTCAATGAGTGAGGGCAGAGAGGCCATGTGCTTCACTTCTAGCCCTTCCCCAAAATCATTCATTAAGTACATCTCTCCACCCATCCTGTTAGAAGGCAATTGACATACACAACCTTCATTTTCAGATGATCCTAATCTAACCCCAATTGTATGAATCTAGAATGTTTCTGTTACCTTGGTACACTATTCCTGGAAGTGGGTGGTACTCTTGAGTTTGGCTACAAGTCATAAGCAGAAGTGGGAAAGGTGTGTAAATGCCCAGTAGATTTCTCCAAACCTAGTGCTTCAGCGGGGACAGGTTTCACTCGTATGTGATCCTCCCCCAGGTGCATGCCTCCTTTTTCTGCCCTGATCAGGCACTGCAAAGTCCTCTGCTCAGTGTGGGGGACATTTATGTGCCTCTGAGGTCTGTGGCACTTGAGCTTCAAAAGAGAGAAGCAGCACCCTCTGGGCATGCCTCCCTGATCTCTTGGAGGCTAGCTGTGTCCTGTGAAGCAGGAGACATTAAAAGTGACAAAGTGACAGTTTGTTGTTGACAGGGTTGGGGAGGCTCATCCACACAAAAGCGTGTGGTGCAAGGGAAGGGGTGTGGGTTTGGAACTGGTGGTCCGAAGTCCAGTCCTGGCTTGACCACTGGACCCTGGGCCAGTTATTGAACATGTTTGAATGTCAGTCTTCTCACTTATGAAATGTGACTCATAATCACTTCTTTGCTGCATTGTTGTGAAAAACAAAGGAAACCTTGCCTGTAAATCATGTGGCAGAGTATGCCAAGTAGTTATTTCATCTTCATTATTACTTTCCTGTTTTCTTTTCAGACTTTCCCAATTCTTACTTTGACCTTTGCACAAAGATCTCCCTTCTGTCACTACAGAGGTCTGTAAACAGGCCTGTAAAACCCTTCACCTTTCACCCAGGGCTTCTCAAACCCACAGGGCTCCCCCAGGGTCCAGGGTCTTGACTCACAGGGTCATCACTTCCTCTCAGCCATTCTATGTTCAGACCTTGGAAATTTCATCCTTCATACAGATAGATCCCACCTGGGGTTTTCCTCTGGATTTTACAATCACAGATTTTGCTGTTGTTTGAAAGGGTTCATTTGATTTTCTTATTGTGACATATGATCAATTACCCACCTATCAGAGCACAGGGGAAGTAACTCATATTTCACTTAATTTTCATGTTTCCTTCTTTTCCTTGTACTCAGCAGTCCAAATATAAGACAGGCTAAATTGAAAGGCTAGCTATCAAAATATTTGGAGTAGTATTCCCCAAACTTTCATCATTCTAGCTACTAGTACCACTTCATACTCATGTAAAATCTGTTTCATTATTTATATAGTATTTTTATAACATACTTTAAGTAAATCTATTTAGAAAAAAATCTTTGTGTTAATACTAAATTAGAAAGCAGTATCATTTTCCATAAACAGATCAGTAAAAATAACATATCACACTGCACTTTGGAGTCATAGAGACCTGTGTTCAAACCCTGCTCCACTACTTAATGCCTGTGTGTTCTTGGGGCAGTTATTTAACCTCTCTGAGCTTTGGCTTCCTCACAGAAGTAATACTAAATATCTCATAGGCATGTCATGACGGTTAAATAACATGGCATATATATGGTGCTTAGCACAGATCCTGGCAATAGTAGGCTCTTAAAAAACAAGTTGTTTTATTGTTTTCCCTTCCATAGCACTTCTTTAATCTACTTATTTCAGTTCCTATTTAGAGCAGCCTCCTCCAATGCTGTAACGTAGAATGATATTAAAAGGAGTAAAGAGAGATGAATGGTGAGGCAGGCAGCAGAAATGAGGGGGTGATATGGTGTCATGGAATTCTCTTATTCTCCAACTTAGCTAGAGTTGCTGGACTGTAAGGGACCTCAAAACTCATCATTCCAGTCTCTCACTCAAGCAAGGACCCCTTCAGTGTCATGACAGATGCGTGTCTAGCCTGTGCTTTCTTACTTGTCAGGTTGGGAAATTCACTATTAGAAAAGAGAGTTAACAGAAAAATGTCTTTTTTATAAATAATCCCCAAACTACTGCCACTCACTCCTCCAATCCATAAGTACCAGCTACTTGTCTCTGTCCTGTTTTCTAGAACTACCAGAACATATTATTTTATCCTTTTATATAAACCCTTCCAAATAGCTGAAAGCTGATTTTGTAAATTTTATTAATAGTCTCTCCTCTCAGCTAAATACTACAGTGTTCTCAACTGCCCCTCATGTCGATAGTCTCTAGGACCCTCACCCATTGGCAGCTCTGCCACCAGCACCCTTCTCCCTGAGTCAGTCAACCTACCTCCTAGCAGAGAAGGCTCTCAGGGCAGAACAGGCAGTGAACAAGATCACTTTTGTTAAAGAGTCAGAGATTGAATTAGCCTTTCAACAGTTGCAGGGGGTTGCTGACCACGGCTTTTTTTTTTTTCACATGTCAAGTCATATCGCAACCCCCTTGCCCCATCTTGTTTGTGTGACAGGCCAGCAGTCAGCCAATCAAAATTCCTCTGACTCCCACATATGTCATCAGAGCCAAGGGTGGAGTGGGGCCAACCGTGATGGTGGTCAACAGTGTTGTCCTTGGCTGACCAGAGGCCGAGCCCAGTGGAGAAGATCAGTTCCTTGTGTTTGGTGAGGAGGAAGTTGCTGAGGTTACTTCAGAAACTGCTTTCTGTGTGGGGCTGCTTCCTCCACTGCCTCATTCTCCAACGCTCTCAGGACTGAAGAGGCCAAGGCTGCAAGTAGAAGCAACCAGAGGAGGACAGGCTACACACAGTAGCTGGTGTGTGTGGGTGTGGAAGTTGACCTCACCAAACTTCACCAGAGAGAGTCCCCTGAGGACCACACAGTCAGGATCTACTCCATGTGCCAGAGCCAGAAACCCGTGGGAGTCTAGAAACATCTGAACATTTAGCTGAGTTTTCCAATTTCAGCCATCTGTTTGTTGTTATATGGAAGTGGCCTCCTGCGGCCAGTGGTCAAGTCTAAAAGCACTCTAGGAGGCGGTGCTGATGGTAGTTCTAATACAGAATAGTTTCCACAAATAATTAGAGCAGCATTATTTATTGAAACGTTAATTAGTGTTTGTTTTCTAAGCTTTCTTGATGCAAGGGGGAAAGCAGAAGAGATACAAGTTCAAAGGTTCATCCAGACTTTTGTGAAAGCCCATGGAAGAGATGATACCGGTGGCTTAGAGGTGAAAAGAGAGGAAGAGAGTGCTTTTGAAGTGCAAGAAGAAGGGAGGGCAGGGGATGGTTGTCTGGGTCCTGTGAGCAGTAGAAACCCAACTGCCCCTCCATCAGTGCTCCCGAGGGGGTAGCAACCTCAGGTGTGATGGCTCATGCCTAGAAAGGCAGCATGCTTTGCTCATGGGGCCCAGCATCAGTAGATATTCTCATTCCCCACTGTGGCATGGGGGCAGGGAGCTGCCGGACTTCACAGACCACTATGGGCTCAGATAGTAAGGGTGCCAATGGCAACCAGGACAGACTAGGGACTTGAGGCCCTTCCATCATTTTCCAGTTACCAGGTGAACTTCTTGAATTCTGACTGGGCTGCAGGAAAGGAAGGAGACTCCTGCATGACCCAGTTACAGTCTCTTTTTCAACTGGCAGGATTGAGGCTCACCAGTGGGATTAAGTTGAGTTAAAGGAAATTTTCAAAGTGATGATTTCATATATACTTGGATTCATGGACAGAAATTCATATCCTATGCATAATATAATCTATGTGAGAAGGGCCAGGATTTCACCGTAAACACAGTTCCTGAATTATTCTTAATTTAGAAGTGATGCAGCTCAGGACTGGGTTGTCTTCTTACTCCCAGCCCTGCTGCACAATTGCCAATAAAGGAGGATTGTCAACCACAGCCCCCAGGACTTGACACTCCCCTTTAATTAAACCCTGCTGGGTCCATAGTTCCCTGACATCACCTGAGAGTGAACATAAGACATTTGCAATAAATTTTTATTTTTACTGCTACTGTAAATTGTATTTTTAAAACCCTTCCTCCTTAAAGCAGAAACATGTATCAACCATTATATGAATAAAAAGACACGCCAAAGATTGGGGAAAAAATATTTGCAAAAGATATATCTGATAAAGGGCTGGTATCCAAAATACACAATGAACTCTTATAACTCAAAGATAAAAGAACAAACAGCCCAATTTAATAAGGAGCAAAAGATCTGAACATATACCTCACCAAAGAAGGTACACGGACAGCAAATAAGCATATGAAAAGGTGGTCAGCATCATACCTCATTAGAGAATTGCAAATTAAAACAGTAAGATACCACTACACATCTAGTAGAATGGCTAAAATCCAAAAATCTGACAATACCAAATGCTGCTGAGGATGTGGAGCAATGAGGCTTCCTGTTGCTCCACATCCTCAGCAGCATTTGGTATTGTCAGATTTTTGGATTTTACCCATTCTAGTAGATGTATAGTGACAGAGCCCTCAGAAATAAGGCCGCATATCTACAACTATCTGATCTTTGACAAACCTGAGAAAAACAAGCAATGGGGAAAGGATTCCCTGTTTAATAAATGGTGCTGGGAAAACTGGCTAGCCATATGCAGAAAGCTGAAACTGGATCCCTTCCTTACACCTTATACAAAAATCAATTCAAGATGGATTAAAGACTTAAACATTAGACCTAAAACCATAAAAACCCTAGAAGAAAACCTAGACATTACCATTCAGGACATAGGCATGGGCAAGGACTTCATGTCTAAAACACCAAAAGCAATGGCAACCAAAGCCAAAATTGACAAATGGGATCTAATTAAACTAAAGAGCTTCTGCACAGCAAAAGAAAATACCATCAGAGTGAACAGGCAACCTACAAAATGGGAAAAAATTTTTGCAACCTACTCATCTGACAAAGGGCTAATATCCAGAATCTACAATGAACTCAAACAAATTTACAAGAAAAAAACAAACAACCCCATCAAAAAGTGGGCAAGGGATATGAACAGACACTTCTCAAAAGAAGACATTTATGCAGCCAAAAGACACATGAAAAAATGCTCACCATCACTGGCCATCAGACAAATGCAAATCAAAACCACAATGAGATACCATCTCACACCAGTTAGAATGGCAATCATTAAAAAGTCAGGAAACAACAGGTGCTGGAGAGAATGTGGAGAAATAGGAACACTTTTACACTGTTGGTGGGACTGTAAACTAGTTCAACCATTGTGGAAGTCAGTGTGGCGATTCCTCAGGGATCTAGAACTAGAAATACCATTTGACCCAGCCATCCCATTACTGGGTATATACCCAAAGGACTATAAATCATGCTGCTATAAAGACACATGCACACGTATGTTTATTGTGGCACTATTCACAATAGCAAAGACTTGGAACCAACCCAAATGTCCAACAATGATAGACTGGATTAAGAAAATATGGCACATATACACCATGGAATACTATGCAGCCATAAAAAATGATGAGTTCATGTCCTTTGTAGGGACATGGATGAAATTGGAAATCATCATTCTCAGTAAACTACCGCAAGGACAAAAAACCAAACACCGCATGTTCTCACTCATAGATAGGAGTTGAACAATGAGAACACATGGACACAGGAAGGGGAACATCACACTCTGGGGACTGTTGTGGGGTGGGGGGAGGGGGGAGGGATAGCATTAGGAGATTTACCTCCTAATGCTAAATGATGAGTTAATGGGTGCAGCACACCAACATGGCACATGTATACATATGTAACTAACCTGCACATTGTGCACACATACCCTAAAACTTAAAGTATAATAAAAAAAAAATAAAGAAAAGAATGCAAAATGGTAAAACTACTTTGGGATATAGTTTAGCAGTTTCTTAAAAAAGTAAATATACTCTTACCATATGATCCAGCAGTCACACTTCTAGGTATATTTACTCAATTGAATTGAAGACTTATGTCCACACAAAACCTACACGTGAATATGTATAGCCACTTTATTCATAATTAGCAACTAAGATGCCCCTCAGTTGGTAAAGCTGTGGTATATCCAGACAATGGAATATTATGTGGTAATAAATAGAAATGAGCCATCAAGATGTGAAAAGACATGGAGAAAACTTAAATTCATATTGCTTAATGAAAGAAGTCAATCTGAAAAGGGTACATACTGTATGATTCCAAAGATAGAACATTCTGGAAAAGGCAAAACTGTGGAGACAGTAAAAAGATCAGTGGTTTCCAGGGGTTGGGGAGGGGTGGGAAGGGTCAACAGGCAGAGCACAGGGGATTCTTAGGGCAGTGAAGCTATTCTGTATGATACTATAATGGTGGATACATGACATTGTGTATTTGTCAAAATCCATAGAACTGTACAACCCAAAGAGAGAAACTTAATGTAAATTATGGGCTTTAAATAATAATAATAATGAAGCAACAATGGCTTGATCGTAAGAAATACATCACACTAATGCAAGATGGTAAAAATAGGGGAAATTGTGTTCCACAAAGGGAGTAGATGGGAATTCTCGTACTATGTGCTCAATTTTTTGAAAATCTAAAACTGTTCTAAAAATAAGTAAAGTCTGTTAATTAAAAAAAAACACACATGCTAACCACATACACGGATTTCTGGTAAAGTAACTAAATTAATAATGTGACATTTTAGAGGGCTGCTAGACTAGTGGGAAAGAAAATTAGCATCAATTTCACAGTCCACATGTTCACTTCCCTATGTTGCACCCTTGGAATCAATGCTATACATAGAACGTTGCTGCAAAAAGTCTCCTTTTGTATTTCTGCCTTTTATTTTGACACTTTCTGCATTTTTCTGGTGCAGAACCCTAGACTTTTATGTCAATTCCTTAGGTAAATTAAAGAAAAGGCCCCAGTTTTCTAAGGGCCAGATCAATTTTTAAAAATAGCTTTCAGTTCCATGTTTCTGAAGGAACATTCTTAGAAATGTAATGAGTTTCTTGTTTCTTTGAGGGGCGATACAATTTTAACTTGTACTTTAAAAGCAAATTTTACATAGTTAAGCATTAGAAGTTGAGTATTTTTCTTTGTGTGAGCCAAAATTTTGCATTTATACCATACCAGTGAGTTACCGAGGTGGGGTAGGATGGACCCTCACTCTCATAACCTCTAACATGTCCTCCACTCCCATCCTAGGCTGGCTTTTTCTGCCTCCCTAGCTGCCCTGGGGAATCTTCTTTTATTTACTTTCTCATGATGCAAATTCACACCTACCATTCATGCATGCTAAGGAAGAGGCAATGTGTATTGTTTTCTTGCATTCGATCAATTTCTGAACCCAGAAACTAGGACCCAGGGACACATTTTTGTCTAGATGTCTTCAAGCAAGAAGTCAGAAAGGCAAGGGACACCAAGAGGTATTTTCAGGATTCTACAAGTGAATGCAGAAGACTGTCTGTCTTCACTATCTCTCAAAATCACATGGTGGCTTCAGCAGCAAAATACACTTATTTGAATTGAAGACTGAATTTGCTTATATTAAAAGGTAGGTTCAGGAAAAAATTGTCAAAAGGGTAAGCATTAGGGTGTATGCATTTTAGAAAAAGTACCATTGTACTAGGGATAAGTATAGCCTTCAGATGTGCAGTTGCTTTAGCAGAAAGGGCAATGAGGAAGATGAGAAGGATGGACAGAGCTCAGGATAGAGCTCAGGCTAGTGACAACCGCAGCAAGTGGAGAACCAACAACCCCATACCCAGGGTCTAAGTGAGGTCTCTGGTCTGATGGAGACAGGGCAGAGTGGAGTTGCGGTGTTCTGGGGCATGCCTAGAATCAGGAGCTCCTGAGAAGTGTGTGGAGGAAGGTCCATCTCTGGAGGAAGGCCACAGGGGCCAGGGGTAACCTGGACCACAGGACAGGGAAGGAAGGCTAAGCCAGAGAAGGACTGTAGTGTGGGAAACTGATGGGCTCACAACTCACCCCATGGACATGGACACTAAAGACCACAGTCTAGCGGCAAGACTACATCCAGAGCACCCCTCCTTCCTCACCTGCCTGTCGTGTATCTCAACACCTAATGGCAGGGGTTGGCCAAGGTTTCAGAGGTGGTGCCAGGGCTGCATAGGAACTGGCAATCACTATTGACTCTAGCAACACACAAATATGCACATTTTCATGCTTTACCTTTGTTCCTATCCATCTTCGAATCTCAGTAATTTTTCCCATTTTCCAATAACACCTTAAAATTCACAGATGTAATTGCACAATTTGGAATTTCTAGTTTTTTTTTTTTTAATTTCCTTCATTCAATTAACAAATGCTTAACTAGCTCTGACTGAATGAAGGCCTTGGACTGGTCTTGAGATCCAAGGTGAGCTAAGAAGTGTGGTCCCTGCCCTCCTAGAGACCATAGTTGAATGCAGGAGACCTACACTGATTTAATAAAGTCAAGGTACTTGCCACCAAAAGATGTTCAACATTATACAATTTCAGTTATGTATGATATCCTCATGATTAAACACCATCTTAAGAGCATGAGGTAGATTCTAGCTAGTTGTGTAGGTTACAACTAAGAAAAGTTTTCCCCTGGTCTCTTGTCTCAGGAATAGTTTTCTCGATATATCTCTTCTCCTTCTCTTCGTATTTTAAATGGTTAGGGTGCCTGCATAAACATTTGTCATGGATAACACTGTAGAGAGGACTTCCTGGGGGAAGGACGGTCTAAGTGATTTAACTTCCTTTCCAATTTAATAATTCTGTATTCTAGTTATGCAATAGGATTTACAATCTAATCTTACAATCTCAGAACTTCTTCTGATAGGTTATACAAAAGATGGTCTATTATTTAACAAATAACATAACTATGTAACATATTTCTAATCAAATGAAATATATACAGCAGCACATTTAAAAATTAAATATCAATAAACTACCAACACCTGTGATGTCACCTTTCAGAACTCAAAGTAAACACCTGATTCCAAAACTTGTTATCCTTTCAATCTTTATCTGAGAATATTAAACCAATATTCAAAAGACTGTGATTCTGAATTTAAGTGGCCTATTTGTCTAAGGGTGTGCATTTACGTATTCTGAGAAACTGTCATTTCTTTACAAAGCACATGACATTTGCCATTTTCTTTATAACCTCAGTTAGAAGAAATAAAATGAGGTAATATTCTAAACGTAAAACTTGCTTGAAGGTTAAGTTCATATTTTTTTTTTCTATGTGTGCAGGGGAAGGGATATAATACATAACAAAACTAACACATTTTAACAAATGGGCAGCATATTTAATATTTAGGGAAGCATGAAGGTCCGTGAAAGCACCTTATGTAAAATATTTATTTGAGTATAAATTAAATGTACACTACAAAGTAAAATAAAATAGATTGGGGTATATAGAACACAGGCAATATGACTAAACTTGTTAAAAAACAAAACCAGTGGTTTTTTAAATCAGTGATTTTTTTTTTAAAGTTTCCATTTCACAACAGAGCTGGGGACGGGGCACTGCACATTCAAAAACTTACTTCCCTGTGGCAACTTTGTGACCAAAGCAAGGCACTTAAGACTTCTCTGAACACTTAAAATGTACATTTGTCAACCTGGGCTTGTAGTTTTCAAGTCGGTGATGCAGAATCATAGAGTTGCAATTTTTGCAGCTCCCTGCTACTTCCATCACATGCTTTATCTGGAAGACTTGAAGGGTCTGCCACCACACAAGAGGCATTACTCCCTGAAAGAAATTTTCTGATAAAAGAAGGTGTCAATCTTTCTACTCTTCAGCAATGTGAGTAAGGGATGGCCTCTTTTGAAAAGTGTCTCAATTTCAGCTTTACTCAAATCTTATTTAAGATTGCAAACAATCTTAACTTGCACTAGCTGGCTACAGTTTTAATGTGAGGAGTTGGAATTTTTAAGAAGGACAGCATTTGTAAACCAATTTGATCTTTGCATTTGGTGGACTGCAGATAAAATATTGCATTTGAGTTGCATTTTCACTGTGGATGGCCTATTTGCATACAAACAAAAGAGATTATTTTTAAAAGAGATTTTCTGTGTTTTTGTTTTGGTCTCTTGGGATGACTGTGGTAAGGACGAAGGGACCAGGCCATTTTCATACCTTGGATTTTACATATTGTGTTTATGTCACCCTGTATTCTTTCTTCCTCACCATCCACTTTCAATTCATTGGTGGCCAGTTTTAGAGTCTTTGTCACCTCTTGTTTGGACGATTGATTGCAACAGCCTTGTGGCTGGCTCCCTTCATTATCTTTCATGGAAAACAATTTGATTATGAAACTTCCTTCCTTTAAAGACCCGCGCCTTACTCCTCATGAGTTAGTGTTCACGCTTCTCAGCAAGACACACAAGGCCTTTCAAAGCGTGAATTCAATTTTTCTCTTCTGATTTTATCACCCAACCCATAAAACTGCCCTCACAACCCATACAACAGTTTCACTTGAACCATTCACTATTCCGTGACCATCTTCCCCACCATCCCCCACCCCTAGAACCTTTGAAAACGTTTTGCCTTCTTTACCTCTGTGGAAGCTGTTTCTTCTGCCTGGAATGTCTTCCCTGCTTTCTCTACTGCAATTCTCTACTCTTCCTTGCAGATCTAGATCATGCCACAGTTGGAGCCTGAACCCTCTTTTTTTCACCATATCTTTATCTTCCTTAGTCCCTCTTCACACTATTTATTTTTCCATTATAACAGTTTCCTCATCGTGTTAAAAATCTACTACTCATATAGTTGGCCTGCTCTGAGTTCCACAAGTTTGGGGAACGTGTTTCATTTCCCTTTGCACTCCTGGTACTTAGCATAGTAACAGGCCCAGGGTGGAGGCTCAGTTAAGTATCTATTTATTAAAGTCAATATCTATTAACTGATTACTATGAGCTACGAACTGTGCTGGAACTCTAAGGCACCCTAAGTATTTTAAATGCATTACTTCATTTAATCTTCACAATAAATATTTTTTAAAAAATTTATAGGTGAGGAAACTGCCTTTCAGAGGGTTTTGGCCAGCTGCCAAAGATCACACAGCTAGTGTGACCCTCAAGCTTTTAGCAGGATATAGAATTGAATCTGTTTTCATTTCTAGCTGATAATGCTATGTGACTGCTGTTAGAATGCTGGAGAGATGTCAGTGTCCCTTTTTTGGACAGAATGCTGAGCAGCTGGGCACCTTTTGAGTAAGTTCTTAGCCTTGTCCCTGGTCACTTCTTTCTTCCTACTCTGAGCTATGCACTTGATATTTCTTCATTCACTCTCGTATTCCTTACCCTCAGAATGTGGAAACCATTCAACCTTCTAAGTGACAAAGAAACTGAGGCTCAAAGAAGGTAATAACCTGTCCAAAGTTCCTTTAATCATAGGAAATATTTTTCTTAAGGCCCCCAAAACTGAATGGTTCTTGACTGGGACCCTCAGCCAATGCCTGAAGAGTGTGTAAAGGGATTACTCTGCCTGATTGTTTGAAAATAAAATTAGAAACATTTAAGGAGCTGGGTTTTGGCTTGTTTTTCTTTTTTTCTAACTTTTCCCCTGCAACCATGAACACTTAACAAGCCAGAGAGGTCTTCTGGAAACAGAATCTTGGGTCAGCCATAGAATGGACACATTAACTTTTCTACTGCCTGTCATCTAAACTCTCTGTTTCCTTCAAATTTACATGTCTGTATTGAGCCCCCAGTCAAGTTTCCCCCTCTCCCCCAATTCAGTTTCTTCCAACACCCAGAGATCTTGGAGAGCAGAATGCAAACGGCCTTTTCCTTAGAATCTTATTTCCTCAAAGGAGTTGGAATGGCTGGGTCCAGACTTACAAATAACCTTCATTTCTGGACTCCCAGTTCTCCTTGATCCATAGGTTATTCCTTCTTCCTTGTTAGGGCCTCACTTTCCAGACCAAAGCTCTTAGATTCAAGCATCTGCAGCATCCAAGCAGCTCATATAAATGAGGCAGGCAGGTTGCATAGGAAGAGGAGAGCTTATACACCATTGGAAGCTGGGCAGCCTCTGCCAGATTCACCAGTTGTTACCATGTGGGATTATTAGCACACTGTTACTAGATATTCTAATTCTCCAGAAGAGCTGGAAATCTAAACTTATGTGAATTCTCCAGACTTTTGAAATATTGGCAATTAATTATGATTAAGGTTTTTGTTTTGTTTTGTTGTTTTGATGACTCTCTGTCTATGGACCATTTTTAGTCCACCAGCTTTTACTTTTCAATCTCTGGCTTTTACCTTTATCGTATGGTTGCCAAAAATTGTTTTGGACATGGCTCAACACAGCTCTCTCCAAGCTCAAATCTTTTCATCCACAAATGTTTCTTGCTGCTAGAAGTAATGTCTTCCTTCCCTGATCTGCCATAATATATAGCATGGTTGTTCATAGCTTGGCTCTGGGATCAGACTGGCATTTGGAATCCTGGTTGTGTTGTCAGCTATGTAACTAAGAGAGACTCAGTTTTCACTTATGGAAAATCAGGGATAATACTACTTACCTCCTGCAGTTATGATGATTAAATGAGATCATATATGATACAATATAGTTTGCCATAATTCCTTTTAGAGGCTAAGACATATTAGCTATGGTGATATCTCTTCCCATAGAAGCTTCTAAACAGGATTTCTATCTGATTCATCTTCATCTTTCCAACATTAAATAAAACTTTATTGAATAAATTAATAGTCAAATAGTTTCAGCCCCCTACTTTCTCGCTCTGACTCACTAAAGCCTGGGCCCCAATATAATAGTCCTAAAATATTCCATTTACAATTTTCTCACTCTCTCCTGAACCTCTGATGCATTAACAGAGGTCAGAGGTAAAACTGGTGATTTATACCAAACCAGCCCCTCCAGATATTGAGCTATTATATAAATATTAGGATTTCACTGGTAAGTTTGTCTTTCTGGCTCCTCTTGAAATATAAGACTTGGCTGTTCTGAACCACATCCTTATACACAGGACAACAGAGTGGTGACCAGAAGCACTTCTTGAAATGGGGCTCGCCTGTGGACATACACAGCTTCTGCCATTCATACGTCATGGAGCTGTACGTAAACCACAGGCCTGCATCACTCACTTCTGTCATCTGAGGATCTATGTTGGCCATTTGCAGCATACGGGCTGTACCTCACTACTAGATTACTTTTCAACTTGATTTCATCCTGCTCAGCAGAGCAATGTAATTGTACTGAAGATCTGGCAATTTTAGTCAAAGAAATAACCCTATTTCCATAATCCCATCAATCAAGAGGTAACTACTATGACTATCTTATTTTTTACTATGCTATCTTATTTTTATGCTTTTTTTTTTTCCTCTTGGTGCTCCCCCTTGCTCCAGCATCATCCCCACCTTAGGAGCAGCTACCCTTCGTTGTCCTGCTTTGTCAACCCTGTGTCACAACTGTCTGGTCTGGATGGTGCAGAGGCATGGTTTATGCACTGCCTCAAAAGCTGCCTGTGAAAAGACACTTTCCCTTCCCCTTTCTCTCTTGTTTGGCTGATTCATCTGTCCTTGGATGGTTTTGCATGAGCTGACTTTTTGGAGTTGTTGGGCAGCTCCTGATCCAAGATTAAAGGACATTACTTTGTTTGTTTGTTTTGTAAACCAATATTTATGCCAAGATTTTTCTGTGCAAATATATTCTCAATTAAAACACCGGCTTCTCAATTCCTGATATGGAGCTTTCTTTCTAAAATTCTTCCTAGGCCAGGTGCGGTGGGTCACACCTATAATACAGCACTTTAGAAGGCCAAGGTGGGCAGATCACTTGAGGTCAGGAGTTTGAGACCAGCCCCATGATGAAACTGTGTCTCTACTAAAAATACAAGAAAATTAGCTGGGTGTGGTGGCGTGTCCTGAACCCGGGAGGTGAAGGCTGCAGTGAACTGAGATTGCACTACTGCACTCCAGCCTAGGTGACAACGTGAGTGAGACTCTGTCTTTAAAAAAAAAAAAAAAAAAATCTTTCTATGTACTTACTTAGTTTTAGGAACCATTTACCAAAATAAAACACACATTCTGTGGATTATTTTCTTTACAATTCTGTATGTAGCCTTATGTTGTCTTCTCTCATTAAGGAGTCATTATTAACTTCATTTTTAACTTACTTACCTATTCTTCTACTTATTTAGGTTGATTCTTATTTTTCATTACATTAAATAATGTAATAAACATTTTGGTGCACAAATATGTTTCCGTAGCTCTTGTTATTTAACTAGCTAGATCCCTAGAGGTGAAATTATTAAAGCAAGATATATAAACATTTTTATAATTAAAAAATGGTAGTTTATATATCTTCTAGAATTAGAAGTGTAAGTTTGAATACAGTTCATGATTACTAATGAGCAAAAAAATCTTTGTAAATGAAAAGCAAACTTAAAATATTTGAAGTCCAGAAAGCGAAAAAGAAAGTTTTCATAGACAACTTCATGAAAGCACTTACGTGATTACAGTTATAGAATAGAATTTTATTTTAATGATTTTGGCACCCTACCTTACATAAAATTTATTTTAGGCAGCTTTGTTGCTTGACTTTCACCTGATTCAACTGCATTTGGCATGCCCTTCTCTTATCTATAGTTAGGAGGTCTACTATAGCAACTTCTAGGTTATAGGTAAGAGTCCATCTGCTGGAAATCAATCAGAAAAGGCAGAGCTAAAGAACTCTGACAATTAAAAATATAGGAAATAATAGATTTTAAAGCAAAGAATGTGAGTCCTAAAATATCTTATATCCATAGGACTTCCTGTCCATTATAAATTGTTATATTCCTCATGGCATTGGCAAGTGCTTAGTAGCCTCATCTTACAGAGGACACTGAAGTTCAGGAAGCTAATAGGCTTCCCAAAGTGATACCACTAATAAATAGAAGATGATTTATTAACTACTTATTATTTGATACCAACCAAACTAGCTCAAAACCCTGGCATTTATCTAAGACATCATACTGCCTACAGACAAATAGGAAACAGCTACCTTCATGCTCCTATGAAACGTCACACCCTGTTATAAAAAACTCTTATAAAAAATCACCTTTGATATATTTACCACAAAACTGAAATTCTTGAGAACAGAAATCATGTTTACTCATACTCATCTTTGGTGTATTTTTAATGTTTAGCACAGTGCCTGGAACAAAGATGCTGAATGAACTGAAAAAAAATGTACTAAGGACATGGAGAAATTGGCAGTGCCCAGAATGGGTGTCTGCTTGTACAACCATTTTTAAGACTCTTGATATTGTTGACATATTGCTTTCCAGAAATGTTCTCCCCATTCATATTCCCACAATCAGTAGTATACGAAAGTATCCTCTTATTGCATACTTATTAGCATGATTACTCCCAACCCTCCCAAAATCCATATAAATTGTTAATTTGTAAAAGGAGAATATCTTGTGTTTGAATTGGCATTTTTTTTAATATTTAGTGAAGATGAACATTTTTAGTTTTTGTTTTTTTTTTTTACTTTTTAAACTTTTCATTTTTAAATAATTATTGATTCAAAAGAAGTTGAAAAAATGTACAGGGAAGTCCTGTGTACCTTCACCCAGCTTCCTTCAGTGGTAACATCTTGCACACACAGTTTGTGTTACGATTCACCCACTGAGGGACTTTTTTCCCCAGTTTTTTACTATTATGAATAAAGCTGGTATAAATATTCATATACTGATTTTTGCAGGAGCATAGGCTTTTATTTCTCTGGGATCAAAACCCAAGAATGCAGTTGCTGGGTCATATACTAAATGCATGTTTGGTTTTATAAGAAACTGCCAAACTGTTTTCTAGAGTGGCTTGACCATTGTACATTCCCAACAAGCAATGTATGCATGATCCAGTTTCTCCGCATCCTGCCATCATTTGGTGTTGTCATTATCTTTTATTATTTTAACCATTTTTATAGGTAGGTAGTGGTTTAATTTTTTCATAAAGGCAAATGATGTTGACTCTCTTATATGGTTGTTCACCATCTGTATATTTTCTTTGGGGAAATGTCTTTTTATATCTTTTGCCCATTTTTCTGATTGGATTGTTTGTTTTACTGTCTAATCTGATACAGGAAAATATCTCATTGGTGTTTGAATTGGCATTTCTTTAGTATTTGGTGAGAATGAACTTTTTGTCATGTTTATTTCTTTTTAAAAGTTACTGAATTATTAACTGCATTAATTGTTTTTGTCATTTCATAATTGTGGGTTTCTATTTCTAAATAGACTTGAAAAAAAGTATCAGCAATTTCATTTGTATTCATCACAGTACCTTAAACTATCAGGCTCTTGATAAAGATTTATTGTTTAGTTGGTTGAAAATAGTTGTAATATTGGGGTGATAATCTAGGTTGGCCTTGATTAATCTAGGTAGTTGAGTATTTTAGGTTTATCCAGTTTTACCATTTTCTGGCGTGTATTGACTAATTGGTTCACTTAACCAAATGTTCATTCCTTTTATTTTTACTTGATGTTTTAGTGCAAATCTGATTCGACACCTAATAATATAGAGCTGTGACATTAGGGTTGTTTGGCTTATCATATTCCTGCCACTACAGAAAGATTAATTTTGACTCAAAGCTTTCTAAGAAAGTGTTTTAATACTTCTCTATTCCAAACTCTAATGGGTTTTTTTTCCCATTCTGTTTATTGATGTAAATTATAAATGATCCCTGAAATTCCTCTTGGGCTTGTTTTCTTCTTTATCTCACCAGATTCACCAGAGGCTTTACCTCTGCGAAGCCTCAAATCTCAACTTGCCTCTGAACTGATAATACAGAATAGAATCTGTATGTTATGTGCACTCAAAATCCAACATGTAAAATGACTGCAAAAATTATTTTCTTCCAGAAATCCTTCCCAAACTAGTTTTGGGTGGGAAAAATAAAGTATTGGATTTTATTTTTGGTTAGCCTTTTTTTTTAATTTAAATTAAAATTTTTTTAGGAATGGGAGTCTCGCTATGTTGCTCAGACTGGTCTTGAACGGAACTCCTCGCCTCAAGCCATCCTCCCACCTCCGCCTCCTGAGTCACTGGGATTACAGGCATGAGCCATTGACCTCAGCTCTGTTTAACCTTTAAAATGGAGGAAGGAAGAACTCTGGGTCTGGCTGGCCTGACTCCAGATTATTTCCACCGACAGCAGAGGTGAGTTTACTCCAGTGAGGAGGTCTCATTTTATCACCAGACTTTCTGCAGGAGACCATCTGTGCTGCCTCCATTTTCCAAGCTCTCCAAAGTCTACTGCCTCCACTCAACTGGGAGTGTTCTGCAAAGGTCAAGGTCACTGAGGGCCTCTGGACTGACATTTTCAGTCATTCTCCTACTTCGCCTTTCTGCAGAATTTGACCTGTGACTACACTCTGCTTTGTGAAATGTTTCTACTCTTAATTTAAGTGATGTAATCCTGTTTTGGTTTCTTTCCCTCCTCCCTGATGCACTTATTCACAGCTTCTTTCTCTGGCTGTATGCACTCTCACCAAGTGTATTAGTTTGCTGGGGCTGTGGTAACAAAGTACCACAAACTGGGGTGGCTTAAACAAAAAAAATTTATTTTTTTTCTGGAAGCCAGGAGTCCAAACTTAGGGTTTCCACAGGGTTGGTTCTTTCTGAAGGTTGTGAGGAAAGAATCTGTTGCGAGCCTTTCTCTCTGGCTTGTATGTGGATGGCCGTCTTCGCCCTGTGTCTTCACACCGCTTTTCCGCTGTGTGTTTCCCTTCCTTACAATAAGCACAACAATTGTCTTGGATTAGGACCCACCCTAATGACCTCATTTAAATTTTATTATCTCTGTAAAGACCCTATCTCCAAATATGATCAAATCCTGAAGCCCTGGGAGTTAGGATTTCAACATATGAATTTTAAGGGAGCCACAATTCAACGCTTAACATGTAGTCACTACAGTTACCTTTCATGTCACATCTCATGTGTTCAACATGGAAAGCTTGGTAAATATGCTCTTTCCATGAATGCATTCTCCTCTTTCTTGCATCCATCTCCCCACTTGATTTCTTTCTTTTTTTTTTTTTTTTGAGACGGAGTCTCACTCTGTCACCCAGGCTGGAGTGCCGTGGTGCTATCTCAGCTCACTGCAACCTCTGCCTCCTGGGTTCAAGCTATTCTCGTGCCTCAGTCTCCCAAGTAGCTGGGACTACAGGCCCACTTGATTTCTATGACACCACTTTTCTCCTGGGCTGCTCCAGTCTCTCTAGCCCCTCCTTAGTATCTATTGTAGATTCTTCTTCCTCATCTCCCTCCTTAGATGTCAAGGTTTTCCAGGTTCTGTCCTTGGCTTCCTCTCAATCCTCCAACCTCTCTGCTACTGAATTGACCCACAATGAGAATTTCAACTGTCAACCATACTTATGCAGAAGACTCTTCATGTGCATTCCAGGCCATCCCTCTTTTTTGAACTTGCACCTAAATATCTACTTGTCTGCTTGGACATCTCTATCCAGCTGCTCCACAGGCACCTCAAACTCAACATGTTAGAGAAGGAATTCACCATCTGTCTTTTCTCTCTGCCTGGCGCAAACCCACTCTGCTTCCTATACCTTCCATTTTGTGAAGGATGCCACTATGCACTTAGATCTCTCCTCCTCTCCCAGTGTCTACATCTGTCAAAAACCAAATTCTGTCAATTCTGGTGCTAAAATATCTCTTAAATGCATCCTCTCCAGTCTGATCCCACCATAACTGCCCTGGTTTCATGCCCTCGCCATTTCTCCTTGGCTTACTCCAATAGTCTCCTAAATGATCTCCTTGTCACTCCAAATCAGTTTTCATTCTTCTGCCAAGGGATTTTTTTTAAAGTAAATTTTATCATGTCTCTATTTGTTTATGATTCTTCAAACTTAGGCTGTTCCTTTAGGATGATCATAGCTGGATGCCTGGACTGTGGGCTCCTTGTTCTGGCCCCACCCAGCTTCTTTCTCTATTATTACTCCCCATTAGGCATCTTCTCAAAGCTATACTTAAAATTCCCCCATGCACCTAGACCCCATTTGTCTATTTAATTACCCAGGTCTTGAGACTTTAAACCACATTAACCTCCCGTGAAGCCCATAGCTGGTGGCCTACAAAAGCCCCAGTAGCTCTGAGTCATCTGCTCTCTCTTGCACTAGCTCTTTGCTCCAGGCTTCATTCCTGCTCCTAAGTTGACTCTCAGTTTCCTTAACTTCACCTGCCTTTCTACCATTTGGCTTCCCACTGTCATCAGTCACTCCCTGGAGGCTGGCCTTGTCCTGGGTACTGCTTGTTTTAGATCAGCTCCTCCATCCCAAAAGCACAACTTGGGGTTGTCCTGCCAGGCACAGAGGATACTGAACATTTCTGCTGGAAAAAACCTTCCTCCATTCTGTTCTTAGTAATGCCATTAAGTGGTTGTATAATCTTGGACAAATCACTTTTCCTCTGTTTCTTAATCCAAACAGTAATAGTAATAAAAACTACTAACAATTCCTGAGTACTTAGCAGGATATGGATTATCTCATTAAAATCTCACAACTACTTTACGACATATTACCATACTCCCATTTTACAGACAAGAAACTGGGAATTACAATGGTTAAGCAACTTGTCCAAAATCACATAGCTAGGAAGTTGGGGAACTGGTATTCAAACCCCAGCAGCCTGGCTTCAATGTGCGGCCACTTAGCCACTGCACTGTCCTCCCTCTCAATATGCAACTCACCCTAGAGAGCCATGCAATCACTTCTGTAAAATAAGGGAAGAGTGCTGCAGCCTGTTCTAAATATAAAATTCTATCAGAACATGCCTTTCAAGATCTAATGAGTTATGGGTAGAGTGGGTGTATTTTGAAGAGGATTCAAGAGATGAAGAAAGATAAATGCAAAGGGCTAAAGCCCTAACTATGGAATCTCACAACTTATAAATTATCACACATCACTAGATGGTTACTTCTCTGAAAAAAACCAGCTATTGTTTTTTTTAAATCTTAAATATTTAACTTTATTTTTCTGCCTACAGATGGGATTCAAATTGAAAAGCACACAGTAGAAAATACAAACTACCTATATTTCTGATTAATATTGTTTGTATACATGTATCATGTATAAAAGTGATAGCACTGTTCGTTCTGCATTTTTCCCCTTTAACTAAACACATTATGAATTGTTCTACAGTGGAATTTTAAATAATTACATGGTATTCCATTATGGATGTTCCATAATCATCCAATCACTTGTTTTTAAACACGTAAATTGTTTCTAAGATTTTCCTTATTAGAAACAATAGCAAGAAAAATATCCATCACTAAAACTTTACAAACATGTATTATTATATCTTAGAATAAATTCCTAAAAGGTGAATTGCTTGGTTAAAGGGCATATACATTTTAAAGGCTTTTGATATGTATCACTAGATTATTGTCCAGAAAGATGATATCACCACTAGTGCGCAACTAGGGTACAAATAATCCTCCCTTCTTAGCAAGATAGAGGGTTCTTGATTGCTTGCTTTTTAAAACTTAATATTTATCTCTTTGATAGAGAAAAAATGATACTTCACTGTTGTTTTAATTTGTATTTATTTCATCTCTTATGAGAACAGACATTGTTTAATGGCTATTACTGGTTCATGACCAATCTTCAGGCACTGTGAAACAAAAGGAATCTTAACAAGTTCAATATAGACAGCAGCCTATGGTTTTTTAGACCTCTGCAGACAGTGCTAGCATAATTAAGTAGTATCCCCTCTATGGTACCACAAAAATTATAAATTTTGAAATTCTTTTTTTCTTCATACAAGTATAACGCTTCAAAATTCCACTGGAGCAAAAGGAATCTTTACTGGAAAATTAAATTTTAATCTTCTGAAATAAAAGCAACAAAGCTTTTTCTCAAACCAGTAAGCACTGGGTAGATGAAAGTTACTTCGATTTTCAAAGAACAGTAATTATAAATACATAGTGACGGCCGGGTGCGCGGTGGCTCACGCCTGTAATCCCAGCACTTTGGGAGGCCGAGGTGGCCAGATCACAAGGTCAAGAGATCGAGACCATCCTGGCCAACATGGTGGACCCCGTCTCTACCAAAAATACAAAAATTAGCCGGGCGTGGTGGTGGGCGCCTGTAGTCCCAGCTACTCAGGAGACTGAGGAAGGAGAATCGTTTGAATCCGAGAGGCGGAGGTTGCAGTGAGCTGAGATTGCGCCACTGCACTCCAGCTTGGCGACAGAGCGAGACTCTGTTTCAAAAATAAATAATTAAAAATAAATAAATACATAGTGACTGGCGCCAGCTGCCACCACCCAAGAGAAGGGCGGGTGTGACTCCTTCCAGGAAGTCTCCACAGCATGGAGAAACCTTCTGGCGCACCACGAAGCGGGCAGGAAAGATTTTAGCTCTACCCCTTATGAATAGTGTGAACTTGGGCAAGTTTTTTAAGCCACAGTTACCCCATCTGTCAAAAAGAATGATGATGTCTTTCCAAAAGTCATTGTGAAGAATAAAATTCAATGAAATAGCACTAGTAAAGTACCCAGCACATCATGCATGTTCAATACATGGTAACTAATTTAATCACTCTACCTCCTTCCACTACCCAACCCTGCCCAGAATCTCCCATGGCCTGATTATGACATATTAACTGAGTTTTGCATTTTCTCCTTATACCTCTTTTTTCTCTTTCTTTTTCTTGATCTCTCTCCCTCTACCTTCTCTATCTCATTCCTCCACCCTCAGACCAAACTGACCCTGGTAGACAAAAAACATATTCCCTGTTATTTGTCATTCTTATGCAGATATTTTAAAAATTCCTGATTCTTCACTAAAATCAATGACTGTAACATTCAGTATTTGAATAACAGATTTACAAAACCAAAATTAGGCACCTAAAAATATATATAACTACCACCAATGAACTGCTTTGGGCATTGCAAATAATTCTTGCCTTTATGTGCCAAAGATCTTTTGTAGAAAAAGAAAGCTTCTCCACTTAGGAACTAAGTGAAGGACACACATCAAAGCACCATCTTCAACCTCAGCCTTTCACTGCAGTCACAACTCATAACTTCTCTGCAAAGAATAAGAATTATTACTCACCACTGGGGATCCATTTTGGCTGCTTCTGCTGTGACCTAATATCTGGAAATGACCCCACTCATCCGTGTGTCTGTGCTAGTCCCTGTTACAGCAGCAGAGAAGCAAAGCTTTCACCCTGTGCAAGCCTTCCTCGGCAATGACTGTATACCTACCCAGCTAACTTTCTTTAAGAGAAGCTGTTCCTCTTTTCTCTACAGATTTTGACCACACTTGAGGAAGAAATTTAACCCTTTCCTTGCAGTTTAAACTCATTGACGTAGGTCTATATGTATTAAAGAATATATAATTCAGTAGCTTGAGTTCCAGACATGACGTTAAGATGAGCCTGAATAAAAAATCTCCCCTCTTGAAATTCCCTCAAAAAACCTAGAAAATAAAATAATTAGAAAGAGAAAACAAACCTCCGCAGCAACAAAATAGAATAAAGAGGCATTCTACAGATTTTGATAAGATAATAAAAAGTGATTTATTGTGGATGTGGATTGGGAGTGAGTAGCCACCTAACCCTGCCAATTTCCACAACCAAAGTGTGGAGAGTTTCACTGAGCTGGGGTGGGGGGATGGGAGATGGGGAGATGTTCTGTAAGGACTGCATAACCAAGGAGGGCAGACAGAAGCTACTGCTTTTATTATTTCATTCCTACTATAGCCAAGGATTACATTGATGAAAGCGAATATTCTGAAACAGAAGTCTGAAAAAAAGGCAGCATTATAAAATTAATAGATGTCCCTAAGAGACAAACATAGAATTAATCAAGCAGAAACTATACTAGAAGATATTTCCTCGTATGAATTAAAATGGGCATCATCTAGAAACTCAAACTGTTTAGTGTATCAAAGCAAAAGTTATGAAAATCGATTCTCATCCAGACAAATCATTTTGAACATTTTAAATTCCAAAGGCAAAGCTAAAAACAAAATGAAAACAGAATGACTACAGAGAAACAAAAAACAACTTGGCATCTTACTCAACCCTAAATGGCAAAAAACAACAGAACAATATCTGCAGAATTTTGAATTAGCATTATCTACCTAGATAAGATGCCAGTTAAGTGTCAAGTCAATAGAAATATGTCACCAAGCAGGCAAGAAAACAACAACTGCAACAGAAATACCACCACCAAGACAGCCTTCCTAAATAAATTATTTAAGGATATATTCCAGAATAATAAATGAATTAAAATAGCCTTAAAATGGAGAAGCCATGGCTGAAAACACCAGTGCTGAGCTTTAAAGCAAGTTAAACATGGAGAAATAAGGCTAAATAATTATAAATTAGTTTAGACCAAAATGCTAAATAAGAAAAACTTATTAGAAGTAGATTACATATATTATTTCAAGGAAGTTTAAAAATAGCAGATGACATCACTGCTAACTAGAGCAAGGAAGCAAAATCAACACAATTATTAATCTTCAAATAAGAAGATAGAACAATGATTATTTTATCAACTTTGATAATTTCATCTGGATTTGAGAATTTTAAAAAATGAAGACAGCAATAATATAAGTTATCTATCTTCAAAATTATTGCAGAGCAGGAGTGCAAATAAAATAGTATTTATAACTACATAACACATCAGAAATAAGATGAGATAAAAAAATCCATGTAAACCTCATTTGTTATAAATATTAAATATTAAAGGTATGGGATGTCATTTTTCAGTTTCTTGGTAGCAGTGTACACACTCAAATTTCCATTTCTTGGTATCAATGCATACACTCAAATTTTTATTTAAGATAGCATAAGCATTTTCTCCTGTTATCATAAACTTTTTAGTAGTCATTAAATAGTACATTAATAGTACATCAAGTATACACTGTGAAAGCTGGCTGTAATGGCACATACCTGTAATCCTGGCTACTCAGGAGGCTGAGGTGGGAAGATTGCTTGAACCCAGGAGTTTGAGAACATCTTGGGCAACATAATGAGACCTTGTCTCATACACACAAAAAAGGTATATATTGTAGTAAAATTATCTTCCTAATATCAGACAGTTTTAGCTTTTAGTATTTTTATATTACAATTTTCTAATTAATATATTTAGTATATACATTTAGGAGTTTTTAGTATTTATTAGTTATCCATTGCTGTATAACAAATTATCTCAAAATTTATTTCCTTAAAACAATAAATGTTTAGGGATTGATATCCAGAATATATGATTAAAAAAACTCCTACAACTTTGCAGAAGAAACAACAAACAATTAAAAAGTAGGCAAAAGAGTTGAACAGACATTTCTTCAAGGAAGATATAGAAATGGCCAATATCACATGAAAATGTGCTCAAAACCACTAGTCATTAGGGAAATGCAAATCAAAACCACAGTGAACGTCAGCAAGATGGCAGAATGAGAAACCCCAGCCTGTGCTCCCTCCCAGAGAGACACTAACTTAACTATACACAGACCAATTCCTTTTGTGAGAAATCCAGAAGCTGGCTAAGAGGCTACATCACACTAGGTGAGCAAAAAAAACAACTGCACTGAAGCCAGTAGGAAAATTCACGGTATACCCTCACCATAGTCTGTCCTCTCGGCACAGGGCCACATGGTTAGGAGGAAATTCCCAGTTTTTGGCTTCTCCCTGAAGAAGAAATGAGAAGACTAGACCATATATCCAAAGTTCTGACTTTTTGGCCGGGCGCGGTGGCTCATGCCTGTAATCCCAGCACTTTGGGAGGCCAAGGCAGGCGGATCACTTGAGGTCAGGAGTTTGAGATCAGCCCGGTCAACATGGTGAAACCCCATCTCTACTAAAAATACAAAAATTAGCCAGGCATGCTGGCACATTCCTCCCAGCTACTTGGAAGGCCGAGGCAGGAGAATTGCTTGAACCCGGGAGGCGGAGGTTGCAGTGAGCCGAGATTGCGCCATTGCACTCCAGCCTGGGCGAAGAAGCGACGCTCCGTCTCAAAACAACAACAACAACAAAAAACCAAAGTTCTGACTTTCCTGGGGGCTGCCTGAGGGACTAGCCTCTGTCTTACCTGTCTTAGAGAGTTTATAGGACCCACCATACTCTAGATGCCTGGGGGACACTGAGAACAAAAAAATACTGGGTGATATATTGCTGTCCTAGAGGGTTCTTGCTACAGCAGATACAGACTGATACAGTTCAGTGGCCTATCCCTAGGGGACATGGAAAAGAGTGAAGCATGCAACCAATATTCCTGCTTTTTGGGGAAATGGGGAGATGCCCATAGGATTGGTTTCTTTCTTGTCTGTCTTGAATCACTGGCATACTCTAGATGCCTGGGGCCCCATGAAAAGAAACCAAAGAGCTAAATAGCATGATGCTATTTCAGAGGACCTGTGGCACAGCAGAGGCCAATACAGCTCAGTGCCCTCTTCTTCAGGAGGGCAAGAGAAAAATAGAACATGTGTCCAGAATTCTGGCTTTTCAAAGGGCTGCCAAAGGGACTGGTTTCCATGTAGCCCCACTTAAGGCAGAGAAGGTCTAACATACTCTAGAAGACTAGGGGCTGCCAAGATCAAAAAAAAAGAGCTGGACAGTGTGCTGCTACTTTGGAGGACACACACTATAGAAGATAGACAACAGATGGAGCAAGAGATAATGAACTCTTAAAAAAGAGAAGCCAGAAAATCTCTCTACTTAGGAATCTACGTGCATAAGCCCAGAGAAAACGTATCCACAGAAAATGTTTGAGAGGTCCCCAGAATCTTTAGCCAGGCTAAAGATTATGAAGGTCTTTCCCAGTACAAAGCCGGCTGGTAAAGACTGGAAGAAGTGGCTGGTTTGTTGTTGTTGTTGTTGTTTGTTTGTGTGTTTTGTTTTTTAATATGCAGATACCAACACAAAGTTCTAAGAAATATGAAGAAACGGGAAATGGTCAAGTCAAAGAAACAAAATAAGTCTCCAGAAACAGATCCTAAAGAAACAGAGGTATATGAATTATCTGACAAAAAATTCTAAATAACCATCATATTGATGCTCAATGAGTTCAGGAAAGTGATGCATGAACCAATGAGAAATTCAATAAGGATAGAAAATATTAAAAGGAACCAAATAGAAATTTTGGAGCCAAAGAATGCAATTTTAACTGAACTAAAACATTCACTAGAGGGGTTCAACTACAGACTTGATCAAGCAGAAGAAATAATCAGCAATTCAATTACAAGTCATTTGAAATTATCCAGAGGAGCAAAAAGGAACAATAAAAATAGCAACAAAGAAAATAAGTAAAGAAAGCCTGAGAGACTTATTGGACACCATCAAATGTACCAATATATCTATTAGAGCAGTCCAAGAAAGAGAAGGGTTGGAGAGCTCATTTAAAGAAATAATGGCTGAAAACTTCTCAAATCTGAGGGAGAAAATGGACTACAGATCCAAGAAGCCCAATAGGCCTAAATAAGATGAACCCAAACAAATAGACACTGAAGCACATTATAATCAAATTGTCGAAAGCCAAAAAGAGAATTTTGAAAGCAACAAGAGAAAAGCAGTTCATTACATACAAGGACACTCCTATAAGATTAGCAATGGATTTCTTAGCAGAAACTTTGAAGGACAAAAGGGAATGGGATGAGGTATTAAAAGTGCTGAAAGAAAAGAACCAGCCAACCAAGAATACTCTCTCTGGCAAAACTAGCCTTCAAAAATGAGAAATAAAGACTTTCCTAAACAAACAAAAGCAGAATAAGATCATCACTAGAGTTGCCTTTCAAGAAATGCTAAAGAGAGTCCTTGAAGTTGAAATGGAAAGATACTAAACAGCAATACAAAAACATGAAAGTATAAAGCTAACTGGTAAAGATAGATATATAGACAGGTACAGAATACTGTAATAGTGTAACAGTATTGTGTAAATCACTTAATTCTGGTATAAAAGTTAAAAAAAACAAAAGCATAGAAGTAATTATAATTATAAAAATATATTAATGGCTGTACATTATTAAAAATATAATTTGTGACATCCATAACTGTGGGGGGGGGGAAGTAAAAGCAAAGTTTTTATATGAAGCTGAATTTAAGTTTTATCGGCTTTAAAAAGATAGTTATATCTATAAGCTGTTTTATGTAAGTCCCACAGTGAGCACAAAGAAAATACCTATGGAATTTCCACAAAAGAAAGTAAGAAAGGTATAAAATCATGTCACCATAAAAAATCCATGAAACACAAAGGAAGATAGCAAGAGATAAAAAGAGCAACAGAATAGCTACAACACAAAAAACAAATTTCAAAATGTTGATAGTAACCCCTTTTCTATCAATAATTACTTTAAATATAAATGGACTAAGCTGCCCAAATGACATAGCACAGTTGAATGAGTTTTAAAAAAATAAGATCCAACTATGCACTGTCTACAAGATTCACTTTAGATTTAAGAACACACATAGGCTGAAAGTATAAGGATGGAAAAATATTCCATGCGAATGATAACCAAAAGAGGGCAGGAGTAGCCATACCTACAAAAGATAAAATAGACTTTATCTTCGTCTGTTTGTGCAACTGTAGTAAAATATCTGAAACTGGGTAATTTATAAATAACAGAAATTGATTTCTTACAGCTATGGAGATTGGGAAGTCAAAGGTTCTGGCATTCAAGTCTTGTGAAGGCTTTCTTGCTGTAACCTCACATGGTGGAAGAAGGACAAAAAGAGATGAATTGCTGTGTCCTCACATGGTGGAAGAGTAGAAGAGAAAAAAGGGCCTAAGCTAGTTCTGTCTAGGCATTTGATGAGGCTATAATCCATCCATGAAGGCAGATATTTCATTATTTAATCACGTCCCAAGAGGCTCCACCTCTTAAAACCACCACAATGGGGATTAAGTTTCAACCCATGAATTTTTGGGGACATTCAGACCATAACAGACTTTAAATCAAAAATTGTCAAAAGAAACAAAGAAAGACATCATATAATGATAAAAGGTTCAATTCACCAGAAAGATATAACAATGATAAATTTATATGCACCAACATCAGAACACCTAAGTATATGAAGCAAACATTGGCAGAACTGAAGGGAGAAATAGACAGCAACATGATAATAATAGAGGATTTTAATACCCTAGTTCCAATAAAGGTTAGAACATCTAGACAAAAGATCAATTAGTTAACAAGGGGCTTGATCGACACTATAGACCAAATGGACCTGATAAACATACACAGAACATTCTACCTAATAGCAGAAGAATTCACATTTTTCCCAAGAACACACAGAACATTTTTTTTTAATAGATCACATGCTGGATCACAAAACAAGTCCTATCACATTTAAGATTGAAATAATACCAAGTACCTTTTCCAATCACAATGGAATGAAACCAGAAATCAATATTAGAAGGAAAATTGGAAAATTCACAAATATGTGGAAATGCAACAACATACTCTTGAACAAATGGGAAATTAGAAAATATCTAGAAACAAAGAAAATAACATACCAAACTTTATGGAATGCAGCAAATGCAATACTAAGAGGGAAGTTGATAACAATAAACATATTAAAAATATCTCAAATAAAAAATCTAACCCTACATGTTAAATAACTAAAAAAAGAAGAACAAGCTAAGCCCAAAGTTAGCAGAGAAAGGAAATAATGATTAAAGCGTAATGGTGGCTTATGCCTGTAATCCCAGCACTTTGGGAGCCCAAGGTAGGAGGATCACTTGAGGCCAGGTGTCCAAGACCAGCCTGGGCAACGTAGCAAGACCCTGTCTCTATAAAAAAAAAGAGAAGACTCAGATAAGATGAAAAATGAAACAGGAGACATTGCAATTGATGCCACAGAAATTAAAAAAATATTGTAAGAGACTGCTGTGAACACTTACGTTCCAACAAATTGGATAACCTAAAAGAAATGGACACATTCCTAGAAACAGAACCTACCAAAGCTGAATCATAAAGAAATAGATAATCTGAACAGACCTGTAACTAGTAATCAGATTGAATCATCAATCAAAAGCTTCCCATTAAAGAAAAGCTCAAGACCAGATGACTTCACTGGTGAATTCTATCAAACATTTAAAGAAGAATTAACACTAATCCTTCTCAAACTCTTCCAAAAATTTGAAGAGGATAGAACACTTCCAAACTCATTTTACAAGGCCAGTGTTAACCTGACAGCAAAGCCAGAAAAAGACACTACAAGAAAAGAAAACTACAGGCCAATATCCCTGATGCAAAAATCTGCAATAAAATACTAGCAAACCAAATTCTATAGTACATTAAAAGGATTATACTCTATGACCAAGTGGGATTTATCCCTGGAATGCAAAGATGATTCAACATATGAAAATTAGTATGGTACATCATTAAAATCATATGGTCATCTCAATAGACACAGAAAAAATACTTGGTAAAATTTAACACTCTTTCATCATAAAACCCTCAACAAACTAGGAATAGAAGGAAAGAAGGAATTTACCTCAACATAATAAAGGGGATATGTGAAAATCCCACTGCTAGCATCACACTTAATGGTGAAAAACAGAAAGCTTTTCCTTGATGAGGAACAAGGTAAGTCTGCCTACTTCATCACTTCTATTCAACACAGTGCTGGATGCCCTAGCCAAACAATTGGGTAAGAAAAAGAAATAGGTGGGAGGAGCCAAGATGGCCGAATAGGAACAGCTCCGGTCTACAGCTCCCAGCGTGAGCGACGCAGAAGACGGGTGATTTCTGCATTTCCATCCGAGGTACCGGGTTTATCTCACTAGGGAGTGCCAGACAGTGGGCGCAGGCCAGTGGGTGCGTGCACTGTGCGCAAGCCGAAGCAGGGCGAGGCATTGCCTCACTTGGGAAGTGCAAGGGGTCAGGGAGTTCCCTTTCTGAGTCAAAGAAAGGGGTGACAGACGCACCTGGAAAATCGGGTCACTCCCACCCGAATATTGCGCTTTTCAGACCGGCTTAAAAAACGGCGAACCACGAGATTATATCCCACACCTGGCTCGGAGGGTCCTACGCCCACGGAATCTCGCTGACTGCTAGCACAGCAGTCTGAGATCAAATGCAAGGCGGCAGCGAGGCTGGGGGAGGGGCGCCCGCCATTGCCCAGGCTTGCTTAGGTAAACAAAGCAGCCAGGAAGCTCCAACTGGGTGGAGCCCACCATAGCTCAAGGAGGCCTGCCTGTCTCTGTAGGCTCCACCTCTGGGGGCAGGGCACAGACAAAAAGACAGCAGTAACCTCTGCAGACTTAAGTGTCCCTCTCTGACAGCTTTGAAGAGAGCAGTGGTTCTCCCAGCACGCAGCTGGAGATCTGAGAACCGGCAGACTGCCTTCTCAAGTGGGTCCCTGACCCCTGACCCCCGAGCAGCCTAACTGGGAGGCACCCCCCAGCAGGGGCACACTGACACCTCACACGGCAGGGTATTCCAACAGACCTGCAGCTGAGGGTCCTGTCTGTTAGAAGGAAAACTAACAAACAGAAAGGACATCCACACCGAAAACCCATCTGTACATCACCATCATCAAAGACCAAAAGTAGATAAAACCACAAAGATGGGGAAAAAACAGAACAGAAAAACTGGAAACTCTAAAATGCAGAGCGCCTCTCCTCCTCCAAAGGAACGCAGTTCCTCACCAGCAACGGAACAAAGCTGGATGGAGAATGACTTTGACGAGCTGAGAGAAAAAGGCTTCAGACGGTCAAATTACTCTGAGCTATGGGAGGACATTCAAACCAAAGGCAAAGAAGTTGAAAACTTTGAAAAAAATTTAGAAGAATGTATAACTAGAATAACCAATACAGGGAAGTGCTTAAAGGAGCTGATGGAGCTGAAAACCAAGGCTCGAGAACTAAGTGAAGAATGCAGAAGCCTCAGGAGCCAATGCGATCAACTGGAAGAAAGGGTATCAGCAATGGAAGATGAAATGAACGAAATGAAGCGAGAAGGAAAGTTTAGAGAAAAAAGAATAAAAAGAAACGAGCAAAGCCTCCAAGAAATATGGGACTATGTGAAAAGACCAAATCTACGTCTGATTGGTGTACCTGAAAGTGATGGGGAGAATGGAACCAAGTTGGAAAACACTCTGCAGGATATTATCCAGGAGAACTTCCCCAATCTAGCAAGGCAGGCCAACGTTCAGATTCAGGAAATACAGAGAACGCCACAAAGATACTCCTCGAGAAGAACAACTCCAAGACACATAATTGTCAGATTCACCAAAGTTGAAATGAAGGAAAAAATGTTAAGGGCAACCAGAGAGAAAGGTCGGGTTACCCTCAAAGGGAAGCCCATCAGACTAACAGCGGATCTCTCGGCAGAAACCCTACAAGCCAGAAGAGAGTGGGGGCCGATATTCAACATTCTTAAAGAAAAGAATTTTCAACCCAGAATTTCATATCCAGCCAAACTAAGCTTCATAAGTGAAGGAGAAATAAAATACTTCACAGACAAGCAAACGCTGAGAGATTTTGTCACCACTAGGCCTGCCCTAAAAGAGCTCCTGAAGGAAGTGCTAAACATGGAAAGGAACAACCGGTACCAGCCGCTGCAAAATCATGCCAAAATGTAAAGACCATCGAGACTAGGAAGAAACTGCATCAACTAACGAGCAAAATAACCAGCTAACATCATAATGACAGGATCAAATTCACACATAACAATATTAACTTTAAATGTAAATGGACTAAATTCTCCAATTAAAAGACACAGACTGGCAAACTGGATAAAGAGTCAAGACCCATCAGTGTGCTGTATTCAGGAAACCCATCTCACGTGCAGAGACACACATAGGCTCAAAATAAAAGGATGGAGGAAGATCTACCAAGCAAATGGAAAACAAAAAAATGCAGGGGTTGCAATCCTAGTCTCTGATAAAACAGACGTTAAACCAACAAAGATCAAAAGAGACTAAGAAGGCCATTACATAATGGTAAAGGGATCAATTCAACAAGAGGAGCTAACTATCCTAAATATATATGCACCCAATACAGGAGCACCCAGATTCATAAAGCAAGTCCTGAGTGACCTACAAAGAGACTTAGACTCCCACACATTAATAATGGGAGACTTTAACACCCCACTGTCAACATTAGACAGATCAACCAGACAGAAAGTCAACAGGGATACCCAGGAATTGAACTCAGCTCTGCACCAAGTGGACCTAATAGACATCTACAGAACTCTCCACCCCAAATCAACACAATATACATTTTTTTCAGCACCACACCACACCTATTCCAAAATTGACCACATAGTTGGAAGTAAAGCTCTCCTCAGCAAATGTAAAAGAACAGAAATTATAACAAACTATCTCTCAGACCACAGTGCAATCAAACTAGAACTCAGGATTAAGAATCTCACTCAAAGCTGCTCAACTACATGGAAACTGAACAACCTGCTCCTGAATGACTACTGGGTACATAACGAAATGAAGGCAGAAATAAAGATGTTCTTTGAAACCAACGAGAACAAAGACACAACATACCAGAATCTCTGGGATGCATTTAAAGCAGTGTGTAGAGGGAAATTTATAGCACTAAATGCCCACAAGAGAAAGCAGGAAACATCCAAAATTGACACCCTAACATCACAATTAAAAGAACTAGAAAAGCAAGAGCAAACACATTCAAAAGCTAGCAGAAGGCAAGAAATAACTAAAATCAGAGCAGAACTGAAGGAAATAGAGACACAAAAAACCCTTCAAAAAATCAATGAATCCAGGAGCTGGTTTTTTGAAAGGATCAACAAAATTGATAGACCACTAGCAAGACTGATAAAGAAGAAAAGAGAGAAGAATCAAATAGACACAATAAAAAATGATAAAGGGGATATCACCACCAATCCCACAGAAATACAAACTACCATCAGAGAATACTACAAACACCTCTACGCAAATAAACTAGAAAATCTAGAAGAAATGGATAAATTCCTCAACACATACACTCTCCCAAGACTAAACCAGGAAGAAGTTGAATCTCTGAATAAACCAATAACAGGAGCTGAAATTGTGGCAATAATCAATAGTTTACCAACCAAAAAGAGTCCAGGACCAGATGGATTCACAGCCGAATTCTACCAGAGGTACAAGGAGGAGCTGGTACCATTCCTTCTGAAACTATTCCAATCAATAGAAAAAGAGGGAATTCTCCCTAACTCATTTTATGAGGCCAGCATCATTCTGATACCAAAGCCGGGCAGAGACACAACCAAAAAAGAGAATTTTAGACCAATATCCTTGATGAACATTGATGCAAAAATCCTCAATAAAATACTGGCAAAACGAATCCAGCAGCACATCAAAAAGCTTATCCACCATGATCAAGTGGGCTTCATCCCTGGGATGCAAGGCTGGTTCAATATACGCAAATCAATAAATGTAATCCAGCATATAAACAGAGCCAAAGACAAAAACCACATGATTATCTCAATAGATGCAGAAAAAGCCTTTGACAAAATTCAACAACGCTTCATGCTAAAAACTCTCAATAAATTAGGTATTGATGGGACGTATTTCAAAATAATAAGAGCTATCTATGACAAACCCACAGCCAATATCATATTGAATGGGCAAAAACTGGAAGCATTCCCTTTGAAAACTGGCACAAGACAGGGATGCCCTCTCTCACCACTCCTATTCAACATAGTGTTGGAAGTTCTGGCCAGGGCAATCAGGCAGGAGAAGGAAATAAAGGGTATTCAATTAGGAAAAGAGGAAGTCAAATTGTCCCTGTTTGCAGATGACATGATTGTATATCTAGAAAACCCCACTGTCTCAGCCCAAAATCTCCTTAAGCTGATAAGCAACTTCAGCAAAGTCTCAGGATACAAAATCAATGTACAAAAATCACAAGCATTCTTATACACCAACAACAGACAAACAGAGAGCCAAATCATGAGTGAACTCCCATTCACAATTGCTTCAAAGAGAATAAAATACCTAGGAATCCAACTTACAAGGGATGTGAAGGACCTCTTCAAGGAGAACTACAAACCACTGCTCAAGGAAATAAAAGAGGATACAAACAAATGGAAGAACATTCCATGCTCATGGGTAGGAAGAATCAATATCGTGAAAATGGCTATACTGCCCAAGGTAATTTACAGATTCAATGCCATCCCCATCAAGCTACCAATGACTTTCTTCACAGAATTGGAAAAAACTACTTTAAAGTTCATATGGAACCAAAAAAGAGCCCACATCGCCAAGTCAATCCTAAGCCAAAAGAACAAAGCTGGAGGCATCACACTACCTGACTTCAAACTATACTACAAGGCTACAGTAACCAAAACAGCATGTTACTGGTACCAAAGCAGAGATATAGATCAATGGAACAGAACAGAGCCCTCAGAAATAACGCCGCATATCTACAACTATCTGATCTTTGACAAACCTGAGAAAAACAAGCAATGGGGAAAGGATTCCCTATTTAATAAATGGTGCTGGGAAAACTGGCTAGCCATATGTAGAAAGCTGAAACTGGATCCCTTCCTTACACCTTATACAAAAATCAATTCAAGATGGATTAAAGATTTAAACGTTAGACCTAAAACCATAAAAACCCTAGAAGAAAACCTAGGCATTACCATTCAGGACATAGGCATGGGCAAGGACTTCATGTCCAAAACACCAAAAGCAATGGCAACAAAAGCCAAAATTGACAAATGGGATCTAATTAAACTAAAGAGCTTCTGCACAGCAAAAGAAAATACCATCAGAGTGAACAGGCAACCTACAAAATGGGAAAAAATTTTCACAACCTACTCATCTGACAAAGGGCTAATATCCAGAATCTACAATGAACTCAGACAAATTTACAAGAAAAAAACAAACAACCCCATCAAAAAGTGGGCGAAGGACATGAACAGACACTTCTCAAAAGAAGACATTTATGCAGCCAAGAAACATGAAAAAATGCTCATCATCACTGGCCATCAGAGAAATGCAAATCAAAACCACAATGAGATACCATCTCACACCAGTTAGAATGGCAATCATTTAAAAGTCAGGAAACAACAGGTGCTGGAGAGGATGTGGAGAAATAGGAACACTTTTACACTGTTGGTGGGACTGTAAACTAGTTCAACCATTGTGGAAGTCAGTGTGGCGATTCCTCAGGGATCTAGAACTAGAAATACCATTTGACCCAGCCATCCCATTACTGGGTATATACCCAAAGGACTATAAATCATGCTGCTATAAAGACACATGCACACGTATGTTTATTGCGGCATTATTCACAATAGCAAAGACTTGGAACCAACCCAAATGTCCAACAATGATAGACTGGATTAAGAAAATGTGGCACATATACACCATGGAATACTATGCAGCCATAAAAAATGATGAGTTCGTGTCCTTTGTAGGGACATGGATGAAATTGGAAATCATCATTCTCAGTAAACTATCGCAAGAACAAAAAACCAAACACCGCATATTCTCACTCATAGGTGGGAATTGAACAATGAGATCACATGGACACAGGAAGGGGAATATCACACTCTGGGGACTGTGGTGGGGTGGGGGGAGGGGGGAGGGATAGCATTGGGAGATATACCTAATGCTAGATGACGAGTTAGTGGGTGCAGCGCACCAGCATGGCACATGTATACATATGTAACTAACCTGCACAATGTGCACATGTACCCTAAAACTTAAAGTATAATAATAATAAAAAAAAAAAAGAAAAAGAAATAAAGGGCATTCAAATTGGAAAGGAAGAAGTAACATTATCTGTGTTCACAGATGATGTGATCTTATATATAGAAAGCTCTAAAGATTCCACCAGAAAAAAAAAAGTTAAATCTAATAAATGAATTCAGTAAAGTTGCAAGATACGAAATCAACACACAAAAATCAGTTGCTTTTCTATACACTAACAATGAACAACCTGCAAAGGAAATTAAGAAAACAATTCAATTTATAATAGCACCAAAATTTCTTAAAAACTTAGGAATAAACTTAAACAAAAAGGTAAAAGACCTATATGCTGAAAACTGCAAAGCATCAATGAAAGAAATTAAGAAGACAAAGATAAATGGAAAGATAGCCATCTTAGTCTGTTTTGTGCTGCTATAACAGACTACCTGAAACTGTGTAATTTATAAACAATAGAAATTTATTTCTCATGGCTTCACATGCTGGGAAGTCCAATAACAAGTTGTCAGCATCTTTCAAGGGGCTTCTTGCTGCATCATCCCATGGCAGAAGGCAGAAGGGCAAGACAGGGAGACAGTGAGAGAGAACAAAAAGGGACCTAATTCACTTTTATAACAAACTTATGGCAGTGATAACAAACCCACTCCTGTGATAATGACATTCATCCATTCATAAGGGAGGGAGTCCTCATGACCTAAAATTATCCCATTAGGCCCCATCTCCCAACACTGTTACATTGGTAATTAAGTTTCCAACCCTGGCTTTTGGGGGGATACATTCAAAGCACAGCATTTGCCATCTGCATATCTTCTTTGGTAAGGTGTCTGTTAAGGTTTTTGACCCATTTTAAATCAGTGGTTCATTTTCCTATTGCTGAGTTTTAGGAGTTCTTTATATATTTCGGATAACAGTTTTTTAAAAATTAAATATGTCTTTTGCAAATATTTTCTCCCAGTCTGTGTCTTGTCTTTTCACACTCTTGATGGTGTCTTTCACAAAGCAGAGATTTTTAATTTTAATAAAGTGTAACTCATCAATTCTTTCTTTCATGCATTGTGACTTTGGTGTTGTACCCACACAGTCATGAATGGACCCAAGGTCATCTATATTTTCTTTTATGTCATCTTCTAGTATTGCAGTTTTTCATTTTAAATTTAGGCCTATGACCCATTTTGAGCTAATTCTTGTTTTTTTTTTTTCTTTTTTTTTTTTTGCATCTGGATTTCCAGTTGTTCTAGCATTATTTGTTGAAAATGATATCTTCTTCATTGTATACCATTTGCTCCTTTGTCAAATATCACTTGACTGTATTTTTGTAGGTCTATTTCTGGGCTCTCTATTGATCTATAATCTATTCTTTTGCTAATACCACACTGTCTTGACTACTGTAGCTTTATAATAAGTCTTGAAGTTAGGTGTATCAGTCCTCCAAGTTTACTGTTTTTCTTCAGTTTTCTAAGATATTATTTTTTATATTTTCCTTTCCAAACATGTTTGCATTAAGACATTTTTTAAATTCAGATATTTTATATATTTTTAGTAAAACTATGGATATTTTTTATGCAACTTCTTCCAACCCCTTTGAATCTGACAAAACCCATTTCCCAACTTGAAATAAAATTTTTCAATTTTATCTTTTTTTGGTTTCCAAGATTGCAGTTTTACATGTAACTTTATGTAAAATTGACTTTACTAAGTTGGTGAGGTGAGAATGTAAATAAATCCTTTCCCTCATTTTAAACCAGTTGTTCCCTTGTTATTTGTTTAATTCTGGTTTACTCCTCCACTGATTTGTGATGTTTTCTTAGTAATATTATAAAATCTTTCATGTATGTGAAATAATATACAGCTTGGGGGCAATTATGTATCATACTCTTAATTAACATAGATTTAAAATATCTTATAATAATTTTAGTATCCATTAAGGCTATCTCTTATTAATTTATTTTCAAAATCTTCAAAAGTCATAGTAATTATTCTTTCTATTTACATTCTGAAGTAATTTTATGGTATTTTAAAAAGTAGTCTCTCTTTAACTGAGTCTTTTAAGAACTTGTCAGTAAATTTTACAATTGTGCTATTATCATTTATTTTATTTTTACCCATGTTATAAACACATAATACATTGTTATAATTTTGCTTTAAACAATCAATTCTTTTAGCACATTGAAATATAAGTAACAATAAATTTTATCTTACCCTCATTTATTCTGTTTTCAAATCTCTTCATTTCTTCGTGTATATTCTAGTTTCTAACCCATATTATACATCATATTTCTTCTGCCTGAAAAACTTTTTTTCTTTTAAAATTTCTTGCAGTGTATGTCTGCTGGCAATGAATTTTACCAGTATTTGTCTGAAAAAGTCTTTATTTCTCCATTGCTTCTGAAAAATATTTTTGCTGCATAAAGAACATGGGGTCAACAGTTTTCTTTCTTACAGCACTTTAAATATATCCCTTTACTGTCTTCTTACTTACATGGTTTCTGGAAGAAAATGTCTGCTGTAATTCTTATCTTGTTTTTCTACGTGTAATATCTTTTTTCCTCTACGTGTAATATCTTTTTCTCTCTGGCTACTTTTAAAATTTTCTGTCTTTGGTTTTTAGTGGTTTGAATCTAACGTACCTAGAAGTGAGTTTTTTGCTTTTGGTTTTTGGTATTTATACTTCCTGGTGTTCTCTGGGCTTCTTAGACCTGTGGTTGGAGGCATGCTATTAATTTTAGCAAATTCTTGGTTATTATTTCTTCAGATATTTCTTATGTCTTATATTCTGTCTCTCTGATCCTCTTAAATTTCAGTACGTGTATGTTATATCACTTGATGTTTTCCTCCAGCTCTTGGTGGTTCTGTGTTTTATTTTCACTCTCTTTTTCCTCTCTGCATATCTGTTTGTGTAATTTCTGTTGACCTATTTTCAAGTTCTCTTTCTTTTTAAAATTTTTTCAAAATTTTATTTTTTAATTGGCAATTAATAATTTTACACACAGGGTAGATAACAATATTTTGCTACACATAATGTATGGTGATCAGATCAGAAGTTCCCTTTCTTTTGCTCTGGTCTGACAGGCTGGTTTAAGGCATTATTTATTTCTGTCCATGCAATTTTTTATATCTAGCATTTCTATTGATTCTCTCTTATAGTTTTTGTCTTTCTGCTGAAAATATCTGTCTGAGCTTACATGCTATTTACCCTTTCCAATAAGTCATTTGATATATTAATTATAGCTATTTTAAATTCCATGTCAGTTAATTCCAACATCTTTGTTATATCTGTATCTGATTCTGATGATTCCTTTGTCTCTTCAAATTTTGTTATTTCTTGCCATTTTGTGTGCCTTATAGTTTTTTGTTGCAAGTTAGACGTGTTGTATAAGATAGTAAATACTGAGGTAAATATATTCTATGCTGCAGATAAACATGCCTTTTCTTCTGCAAGGCCTTTAGTAGTATGGGGATTTACATTAATTTAGCGTGGAGTTCAGTTGGATTTGAAGTTTGTTGTTAGTATCATTGACCTCAGTGCACTATAGGCTTCAAATTTCTTTAGTAATACCTGTGCTAGGGTATGGGCTATTTGCCAGAGTGTTTCTCTAAATGTCTGCTCCCCACTTGGTTTTGTGTTTCCCTGCTTTGTTTTGGATCTTCCCTTCACACTGCTCCACAGAATGAATTTGTCTCTTGCAACTCTCTGAGCTATATTCTGTTCTTATTTTACTTGGTTTATTAGAGTGGTTATGATGGTGGGGGAAAGTTCTCTGATGTTCTGATCAGGTTTTGTAGTAGTCCATTTTCACATTTCTATAAAGAACTACCTGAGACTGGGTAATTTTTGAAGAAAAGAGGTTTAATTGATTCACAGTTCCACAGGTGTATAAAAGCATGGCTGGCAGGCCTCAGGAAACTTACAATCATGGTAGAAGGTGAAGGAGGAGCAAGCACATCCTACCATGGTGGAAGAGGAAAGAGAGAGAGAGAGAGAGACAGAGACAGAGAGACAGAGAGAGAGAGAGAGGAAGTACCACACACTTTTAAGCCATCATACATCATGAGAACTCATTCAATATCATGAGAACAACAAGGAGGAAATCTGCCCCATGATCTAGTCACCTCCCATCAGGCCTCTCCTCCAATTCAACATGAGATTTGGGTGGGGACACAAAACCAAACCATATCATTCTGCCCCTGGCCCCTCCAAAATCTCATGTTCTTCTCACATTGCAAAATACAATTATCCCTTCTCAGCAGCCCCCTAGTCTTAACTCATTTCAGCATTAACTCAAAAGTCCACAGTCCAATGTTTCATCTGAGACAAGGCAAGTCCTTTCTGTCTACGAGCCTGTAAAATCAAAAGTAAGTTAGTGACTTCCAAGATACAATAGGGGTACAGGCCTTGGGTAAATGCTCCCATTCCAAATGGGAGAAATTGGCCGAAACAAAGAGGCTACAGGCCCCATGAAAGTCTGAAACCCAGCAGGGCAGTCATTAAATCTTAAAGCTCCAAAATAATCTCCTTTGATTCAATGTCTCACACTCATGGCACACTGATGCAAGGGGTGGGCTCCCACAGCCTTGGGTGGCTCCACCCCAGTGGCTCTGCAGGGTACAGCCCCTTTGGCTGCTTTCATGGGCTGGTGTTGAGTGCCTGAGGCTTTTTCAGGTACACGGTGTGAGCTGTTGGTGGGCCTACCATTCTGGGGTCTGGGAATGATGGTCCTCTTTTCACAGTTCCATGAGGCAGTGCCCTAGTGGGGACTCTGTGTGGGGGCTCCAACCCCACAATTCCCCTCTGCACTGCCCTAATAAAGATTCTCCATGAGGGCTCCACCCTTTCACCAGACTTCTGCCTGAACATCCAGGCATTTCCATACATCCTCTGAAATCTAGGCAGAAGTTTTAAAACCTCAGCTCTTGCCTTCTGCACACCTGCTGGCCTAACACCATGTGGAAGCCACCAAGGCTTGGGGCTTGCACCCTCTGAAGCCATGGCCTGAGCTGTACCTTGGCCCCTTTTAGCCATGGCTGGAGCTGGAGCAGCTGGGATGCAGGGTGCCATATCCTGAGGCTGCACAGAGGAGTTGGGCCCTGGGCCTGGTCCATGAAACCATTTTTCCCTCCTAGGCCTCTGAGCCTGTGATGGGAGTGGCTGCTATGAAAGTCTCTGAAATGCCCTAGAGACATTTTCCCCATTGTTTTGGTTATTAACATTCGGCTCCTCTTTACTTATGCAAATTCCTGCAGCAGGCTTGAATTTCTCCCCAGAAAATGGGTTTTTCTTTTCTACCACATGGCAAGGCTACAAATTTTCCAAATATTTATGCTCTGTTTCCTCCCTTTTTTTTTTTTTTGAAATGGAGTCTTGCTCTGTCACCCAGACTGGAGTGCAGTGGCATGATCTCGGCTCACTGCAAGCTCCACCTCCCGCGTTGACACCATTCTCCTGCCTCAGCCTCCTGAGTAGCTGGGACTACAGGTGCCCACCACCATGCCTGGCTAATTTTTTGTATTTTTAGTAGAGATGGGGTTTCTCTGTGTTAGCCAGGATTGTCTTGATCTCCTGACCTTGTGATCTGCCCACCTCAGCCTCCCAAAGTGCTGGGATTACAGGCATGAGCCACCACACCTAGCATCTGCTTCCCTTTTAAATATGAGTTTCAGTTTCAGATAATCTCTTTATTCATGCATATGAATGTACGTTTTTAGAAACAGCAAGGTCACCTCTTGAATACTTTGCTACTAAGAAGTTTCTTCCACCAGATGCCCTAAATCATCTCTTTCGAGTTCAAAATTTCACAGATCTTTAGGGCAGAAGCAAAATGCCACCAGTTTCTTTGCTAAAGCATAGTAAGGGTGACCTTTACTCCAGTTCCCAATAAGTTCCTCATCTCCATCTGAGACCACCTCAGCCTAGACTTCATTGTTCATGTCACTATCAGCATTTTGGTCAAAACCATTCAACAAGTCTCTAGGAAGTTCCAAACTTTCCCACATCTTCCTATCTTCTTCTGAGCCCTCCAAACTGTTCCAACCTCTGCCTATTACCCAGTTCCAAAGTCACTTACACATTTTCAGTTATCTTTGTAGCAATCCCCCACTTTCCTGGTACCAATATTCTGTATTAGTTCATTTTCACACTGATCTAAAGAACTACATGAGACTGGGTAATTTTTGAAGAAAAGAGATTTAATTGACTCACTGTTCCACAGGCTGAACAGAAGCATGGGTGGGAAGCCTCAGAAACTTACAATCATGGTGGAAGGCAAAGGGGAAGCAAGCACATCTTACCATAGTGGAGCAGGAAAGAGAGGGAAGAGGGAAGTGCCACACACTTTCAAACCATCAAATCTTGTGAGAATTTACTCACTATCATGAGAATAGCAAGGAGGAAATCTGCCCCCACGATCCAATCACCTCTCACCAGGCTTCTCCTCCAATTTGACATAAGATTTGAGCAGGGACACAAATCCAAAACATATAAGGTGTCTTTTTTTTGGGGAAAAGGCATACAGATTTATTAATGTATACATAGGGAGAACCATAGAGTGATTATCCTAGGTTTCCATTCTAATCAGGCATTGTGAACCTGCTTCATGGGGGGCCTTCACTGGTGTTACAAGCCCTCCTCTAGCTCTAGTACTAAGCCTAGAACTTATACTTGCCCTTCTCCCAGGGATAAACTTTTTTTTCTTGTTTTCCTCCCCCAGTGGCAATGGGTTGCCACAAGCACCCTAAGAACGAAATTTTTGTTTCCTTTATGCCTACAGAGTAAGCGTTCTGTTCCATAGGGAAGATAGAGTAGATGAGTCTGGGCAGAGTTTTGGCAGTAGTTGCTGTCCCCTCACCAAGCCAGCCTGGTGATGAAAACTTTCTAAGAATTTTTTCCAATTTTTCTCTTGAGCTCCTAGTGGGATTTGATATGGTTTGGCTGTGTCCCTACCAAAATCTCATCTTGAATTCCCACACGTTGTGGGAGGGACCCAGTGGGAGGTGACTGAATCATGGGGGCAGGTCTTTCCCATCCTGTTCTCATGACAGTGAATGAGTCTCACAACATCTGATGGTTTCAAAAAGGGGTGTTCCCCTGCACAGCTCTCTCTTTGCCTGCTGCCATCCACATAAGATGTGACCTGCTCCTCCTTGCTTTCTGCCATGATTGTGAGGCTTCCCTAGCCATGTGGAACTGTAAGTCCAATTAAGCCTCTTTCTTTTGTAAATTCCCCAGTCTCGGGTATGTCTTTATCAGCAGCATGAAAACAGACTAATACAGGATTCTTATAGAAAAAACAACAACAACAACAAAAAACCTGCGAGAAAGTGTGAACACTAAGGGGTTTACTGTATTACACTAGCCCATACTTAGCATTTAAAAATTTATTAAAGTTTTCTAGCTTGATTCTTGTTACTGGCTTACATGGCATCTGGAAGCATCAGCTAAGGTAATAAAATGCTCTGGTCTTGTTTTTCTGTATATGAGCTTGCTTTTTCCAGATTTTGTTGAATTTTTGCCCTGTGACCTCAGTTCTCTTAGGGATTCAAGAAATTTCATTTGTTTGCAGTTTGTCCAGGATTTTCTTGTCATATGGATGAAAATAACTCTCTTTCTAGCTCTCTACATCTCTGAAGTGAAATCAGAACTAATATCTATAACTTTTAATATATAATTTCTAGAACTCAATGAAAATTAACCAGACACAAGAAGTTACTGGATTTAACCTTGTGGTCAATATATTTAAAAATCAACTGTACCTCTATATACCAACAACAAATAAAATGTTAAAAATTAAACAATACTATTTAACATAAAGGGTATGTGAAATTTCTTTTAAGTTCTTACATTGGAAGGCTTAATAACATAAAAATTCCAATTCTTCCCAAATTGATCTATTGATTTAATGCAATCCCAGTGAAAACCCTAGCGATTTTTATGGAAATTGACAAGCCAATTCTAAAATCTATGTAGAAATGCAAAGAACCAAGAATAGTTAAATCATTCTTAAAGAAGAAAAATGAGGTGGAAGGACTTGTTCTGGTAGATATCAAGACTTTTGTAGAGTCATAATAGTTAAAAGAGTGTGATACTGGCACAAGGACAGGCAAATAGACCAATGGAAGAGAATCCAGAATCAGATTTACACATGTATGGTCACTTGATTTGGGGTAAAGGTGACACTGCTGGGCAGCAGGGAATAAATTTCATTTTCAATGAAAATGTGCTCAGAAAATTGTTTATCCATAAGAGAAACAATAATTAAACTTAACCCCTATCTCACAGCTCAGTTCCACGTGGATTGTAGATCTAAACGTAAGAGGCAAAATATAATAGTATTAGGAGATACTAAAGAAAAAAATCTTCATGACCTGGGGAATACAGCATTCCTTATATAAAACACAAAAATCTTGAGGACTTTAAAGGAAAAGATTGATAAATTAAACTTTATTAAAATAAATAATAAAAATATCTGTTTATCAAACAATAGCATTAAGAGAGCAAAATGGCAAGTCACTAATTGAGAGAAGGTACTTTGAACTTGTAAAATCACAAAGGCACTATATCCAGGACACATAAGAAACTTCTACAAACTCCAGTAAGAAAAAGGAAAGTGAATAAATAAAAAAACAAAAGATTCCACCGAGACTCAAGAAAGGATATCCAAAAGTTCAAGAGTCCAATAAACATGAAGTGTTCAATGCTATTAGTCATTAGGGAAATGCAAATTAAACCACAGCAAAATACCATCTCACACCCACCAGCAGAGCTATAATTGAAAAGACTGTTAGCTCCAAATGTTGCCAAGGATGTGGAACAACTAAAAATCTCAAACACTGAAAATGTGTAGGTAAATTTGGAAAAATCTTTGGCATATCCTACTAAGTTTGAACATATGCATACTACATTGGTTATCTATTGCCACATAACAAAGTACCCTAAGACTTAATGATTTAAAACAACAAACATGTTTCCTCACTGTTTCTGTGTGTCAGGAATTTGACAGCAGCTTGGCTGTATGGTTTTTAACTTAGTGTCTCTCATGAGTTAGAAGTCAAGGTGGCATTTCTTCCGAAGACTGGACTGCAGCTGGAACATTCCTTTTTAAGATGGCTCACTCCCTTGATTATTGGCAGAAATTCTTGGTTCCTCAGATGGGAGTGAGCCATCCTTTCTCACCATGTGGACTTTCCATAGTACTGCTTGAGCATTCTCATGACATGGCAAATGACTTTTCCCAGAGTGGACAAGGAAGAAGCTATAGTACCTTTTATGACCTAGGCCTGGAGGTAATACACTACCACTTCTGCTATTCTATGTACTAGAAGCAAGTCACTAAGTCCAGCCCACACTTGAGGGTCATGGATTTAGTCTCCTCCTTTTCAAGGGAGGAGGGTTGAAGAATTTATGGACATATCTTAAGATCACCATACATATCCTATGACCAAACAATTTTACCCTGAACTATAGAAGCAAAAATGGATGGATGGGTGACCCTCAAAACAATGTAACATGTCAAAGAATGTTTATAGCATCATTATTCATAATAGCCAATTAGCAGAAATCAAATGTCTGTCAATAATAGAATGGATAAACACATTGCAGTATATTCTAATACAATGGAATACTATTCAGAAATGAAAACAAACTACAAATACATGCAAAACACAGAAGAATCTCACCAACATATTAAGCAAAAGAGATAAACCCCCAGAATGTGTACTACATTGTTGTTTTATATAAATGTTAAAAGGAGGCAAAGCCAATCTAAAATATAAGAAGTCAAAATGGTGGTTACCTTTGGGGAGAAGCAAGGAGGGAATAATTAAGCAGGGTTACAAGAGAGTTACAAGAGGGAGCTTCTGTTCTATATTTTGTCCTGAGTGGTGGTTGCAAAGGTATATTTACATTGTGATGGCTCATTCAGCCATGCATTACTGATTTGTACATATTTCAGAATTGCCTTATACTTCAATTTTAAAAAATTGTTAAGATATCAAGGAAATAAACAGTACTCATCCAGCAAGAAAGAAAACAAGTATGTGTGCAATTTGGCATGAAAGTAGCCAGTGTGTAATGTCTGCTTTAGACCCAGGGTTGGTGTCCTATTGCATTTGGGCTGCTATAAAAAACTACTATAGACTGGATGGTTTATAAACAACAGAAATTTGTTTCTCATAGTTCTGAAGGCTGTGAAGTCCAAGATCAAGATTCTGGCAGATTCAATGTCTGGTGAGGACAGACTTCCTGGTTCATAGATGGCTATCTTCTCTCTGAGTTCTTACATGGCAGAAATGGTCAGAGAGTTTTTTGGGGGTCTCTCTTATAAGGGCACTAATCCCATTCATGAGGGCTCCAACCTCATGACCTAATCACTTCCCAAAGATCCCATCTCCAAATACCATCACCTTGGGGACTAGGTTTCAACATATGAATTTGGGGGCACAGAAATATTCAGTCTCTAGCAGTTGATAAATGTAATCTGTGGCAGGCCTCAAAGCATATAGTTGTGGTAGACTTTGGTGGTAAGCATCAGTCTATTCCCACAAAGTCTGAGTTGTAGAATGTTGGTTCTGAAAAGAACTTCTGGATCATTTGGTCCAGTGATTTTTCAAACTGACCTCCCTGGCAGAGACAACCCCTTAGGTACTCCACAGGATGTCAGAAATTCTCAGAACACAGTGTGAAAACTACTGATCTAGTTAACTCCCTGGTGCTACAAATAAAGAAACTAATATTTAGAGAGACTGTTACTTATTTAGAGTTATGCAGCTACTTGTGGCAATGTCCGGAGATTCATTCCCATCTGAATGTAATATCACATGTTATGCTGTTCTGGTGGAGAAGGAAGAAAGGGGAAATGTTACACATCTCAGGGCCATGAGCTTTGGAGTAGATACTCTCCTAGTCTGTCACTCTAGGCGACGAAAAAGAGAAAGTTAGCAAAGAGAAGCTGAGATAGAAAACATGTTAGAAAGTGTTCCATTTAGGGGCTGCCCTGGGGAATGCCCTATTTTGTCACCAAGATGCAAGACATTCTCTCATTCAACTCATGCTTTAACTAGCTTCTCAGCTCTGGCTGCAGATTAGAACCACCTGGGAACTTTAATAAGCTACTGCTTCCTGGGCCTCCCCAAATACTAATTGAAACAGACTTTCTGGAGTGAGCTGGAAAGAATAGGATATTTTGATCCTCATTGAGCTTAACCGAGATGTATGTGGACTGACCTCATAATTTCAGAGTAGTTCTGACTCTGAACATCAAACTGAGCCTTGCCAGAAGAGTAAGAAACACTTAGAGAGAGAGAGAGAGAGAGAGAGAGAGAAAAACCCTTGCCTCTTTGTTCTGGGACTGAGCTCACAGAGATAATGAAAGGGAAACCATTAAAACCATCCATAGTTGGCTGCAGAGTGGTGGCATGATTCAGCAGAAGGAATTCACATCCACCAATCACAGCCTCTTGCATTTTGGTCAAGAAGAGGTGGCAAAGAGATGGGGGAATGTGGGGACAGTGGCAAGTGGCAATGACAGGGAAGGGGAGAAGCATGTGGCTGAGTGGTATTGTGTCTGTTTCCATACTGATTAATAATTTTCTCTCTCTCCCTCCCCTCCCCCTGCTTCATGTTGTCAAAGGAGGTGGTGGCAAACTTCAGACACTCTACCTTTGTTGCTATGACTTGAGGACTTGAACCTCTTCTCTGCGGCTCTAGTCCTAGGAATGCAGCCCCCATTTGTCCTTGGTTTCTCCCCTTATAATAAAATGTTGAAAGAATTAGATTCTTAGGCTGTGCATGGCAAGTGCAATTAAAGTTCCTTGGTTTTATAAGTGGCTTTTGGCAGACCATGGAGTCTACACTTCTACTTAGAATGGGTGGATCCTAGCAAGACTTTTCTCTGAGAGAGGTCACCCTTAAAGATACTTTAGTTCTCCATTCCTTTTTCCAGCTAAGGGAGCCTGACATCTTCCTAACCTGGATTCTTCTCCCCTCCCCTTTGAAGTGTAGAATGCCAGAAGTGAAAAGAACCAAAGAGATTATTACATCCAGTTTCCATTTTGTAGATTAAAAACACACTTGAACAAAAGTGATTTATGTAAGGTTACCCAGTATGTCAGGGGAAATGTCAAGGCACAAACATACTTGGTTTAATTCTATAGTAAAAGGTCACTAGTTTTTGTCTTTAAAATATTTATAATGATAAAATATGCCAAAGATACATAAAACTACATAAAATAATAGGCACCATCTATCTTATATCACCTAAATTTAAATGATTTTGCATGTCTAGTGTGTTTCATATGTTTGTAAAAAAATAAAATGTTAAGGATTCAGCTAAAGCACCCGCTAATCCATCTCTCTCCTCTCTCCCTCCTCAGGAGTAACAACATTTAAGACTGGTGAGTCCCATTCCCCTAAATATATATATATATATATATATTTTTTTTAGACGGAGTGTCACCTGTTGCCCAGGCTGGAGTGCAGTGGCTGGATCTCGGCTCACTGCAAACTCCGCTACCTTGGTTAAAGCGATTTTCCTGCCTCAGCCTCCTGAGTAGTTGGGATTACAGGTGTGCACCACCACGCCTGGCTAATTTTTGTATTTTTAGTAGAAACGGGGTTTCACCATGTTGGCCAGGCCGTTCATGAACTCCTGACCTCAAGTGATCCACCCACCTCTGCCTCCCAAAGTGCTGGGATTACAGGCATGAGCCACCACACCCGGCCCCCCTGTATATTTTTATACTTTGTTCTACATACATATGTATCTTCCATAATACTATACGATATTGTTTTGTGTCTTAATTAGCATAATGCTTTAGTCTTTTACAGCTTCTTTATTCACACAACATTATATTTTTAATATTCACCCATGTTGTAAATCTAGTTAATCCACTTTAACAGCTGCATATTATCTCACTCGTGAATAAACACCACTCTGTTTGTCTATTATTCCTCCATTGTAAAGTTGTTCCCAAGTTTTGCACAAATCGCTTTGCAATGAACATCCTTGCACAGGTACCTGTGTCCAAGAATGAGTTTCTATAGAGTAAAGACCTTGAAGGGAAATTACAGGGTCCTAGGATATATACACCTTTAATTCTACAAGATATTGTCAAATTGTTCAACAAAGTGGTTGACTCAATTTACACTTCTCACATGTTTGCCAATACTTAGCTAGCTCAGACTTTCACATTTTAACCAATTTGATGGATATGAAATACCATTTGTTGTTTTGGTTTCCATTGTCCTGATTACCGGTACAAGTTGAGTGTCTTCTAATGTTTAATAGTGAATCAGATTGCTTCTTATGTGAATTACATGTTTATCTGCCTTAGCAGAGGGTTGTCTTCTACTGATTTTTAAGGAGTTCTTTATATATTTCCAATTATAACTTTTTTGCCTTTTTCATGCACAGCAAATATCTTTTCCTAGTTTGTGACTTTTAAAAAAATTTTATGTAGTCTTTTGGTTATAGAACTTTTTAATTTAATATAGTTGAATGAGAATAACAAACTGTTTTTCCTTTCACACAATACTTCACTTCTGACACAAGATATGAGGGTATTTTTTCCATACCAAGCAGTTTTCCTCCTTTTTTTTTTTTTTTTTTTTTGAGATGGAGTCTCGCTCTGTTGCCCAGGCTGGAGTGCAGTGGTGCGATCGCGGCTCACTGCAAGCTCCACCTCCCGGGTTCACGCCATTCTCCTGCCTCAGCCTCCTGAGTAGCTGGGACTACAGGCGCCCGCCACCACGCCCAGCTAATTTTTTTTTTTTTCCGTATTTTTAGTAGAGACAGGGTTTCACCATGTTAGCCAGGATGCTCTCGATCTCCTGACCTAGTGATCTGCCCGCCTTGGCCTCCCAAAGTGATGGGATTACAGGCGTGAGCCACCGCGCCCGGCCAGTTTTCCACTTCTTGGTGGACATCAAGTGAACATCCTACAATTTTACTCAATTCTAATACAATTACCTGGAGATAGCATCAGATCCCAAAGATTAAGGGTTCAGCCCCATGAGACTGTCCCTTCCAATTTCAGATGCTAATTGCGAGTCAAGGTTATCACCTATGTCTCTGACCGTCTGGCTATAAATTGGAGGTACTCACAACCCCCTTGTCAGGTTCAATAATTTTCTAGAATTGCTAACAGAACTCAGGTAAACAGTTTACTTCCTAGATTACTAGTTTATTATAAAGCATACAACTCAGGAACAGCCAGATGGATAATGCAAATTATCTCTTTCTTCTTCTTCTAAATTGTCTTGTCTATTTACTACCTTATAATTTCCAGTTAATTTTAGAAACGGTTTGTAAAATTCTGAAAAAATTTCAGATTCTTATTAGAAATACGTAGAATTTGTTAATTTGGGAAGAATTGTCATCCTTAATGATACTGAGGGTTCTTATCCAAGAACACAATATATCTTTGCATTTATTTAGGTCTTTAAAAAAAAAGTTTCAGGCCAGGCGCAGTGGCTCACTCCTGTAATCCCAGCACTTTGGGGGTCCAAGGCGGGTGGACCACCTGAGGTCAGGAGTTCAAGACAAGCCTGGCCAACATGGTGAAACCCCATATCTACTAAAAACACAAAAATTAGCTGGACGTAGTGGTGGGCGCAGGTAATCCCAACTACTCAGGAGGCTGAGGCAGGAGAGTCTCTTGAACTTGGGAGGTGGAGTTTGCAGTGAGCTGAGACTGCGCCACTGCAGTCCAGCCTGGATGACAAGAGTGAAACTCCGTCTCAAAAAATAAAACAAAAAAAATGTTTTCATTGAGAATGCTGGCTTGATACTAACTTAAAACAGTAACAAAAAAAGAAAAAAATGTTTTCAGTAACGGTTTACAATTTTCTTCATTAAGCTATTCCACATATTTTGTTGGACTTATTTCTAGTTACTTAATAGATTTATTGTGTATTTTAAAGTCATATCTTCCAAATATATGTTGCTGGTATATTCAAATGTCAGTGACATTAATATATTGATCTTGTTTCCAGCAACCTCTCTTGTTAGTCCTTATATATAATGTATAGATTCTCTTTATATTCTGTGTAGATAACGTAATATTATCAATAATATTTTTACTCTTCATTTTCAGCCTTTTAATTCTATTTTATAATTGTGTTGGCTAGAATATCCAGTATAATGTTAAATAGGAGTTGTAATAATAAACATACTTGTTCCCAGACCCCTTTCATTAGCTTCCACCACCTCCTGCTTTTATCCTTACTCCAGATTGTTTTGTTCTAGGCCACTAGCCAAGAAGTAAGTCTCTCAGTCCCTGCCGACCCAGACTTCCCTGTACAGGCATGCAGCTCCTACAAACCTCATTCAGCCAGTTGTGCTTAATAAAGGTGTCCAACCATCCTTAGGAGTTTTATTTTGGTGGTCCAGTACTCTCTAGCGCAATGTGTCTGAGGTGCTTGAAAACATTTTATTCTTTCTATATGTTTATGTTCATTAAAGGAATCACTATCTATCTAGGGTCAATAGTCAGAAACCTATATCCTTGTCTCAACCCCCACACTAATTGATCATCAATTATGTCAGTTCCACATTCTACATAACTGTCAAAATATTCTCTCTGCTCCATTTCCAACACCAGTTATTGACTTGGGCCCTCAGTTCTCCCACCTTAACTATAGTAACAGTTTCCTAACTAGTCTCCCTGTCTTTCATCTAAGTTCCCAAACACCATTCTTCTCACTGCTGCCAAGTTTATCTTTCGAAAATGCAATTCTCATTATGCCTCTCCGGATTCAAAATTCTTCATTGGCTCTCCATTGTCTCCTGCATGAAGTCTTAGTTCTCCAGCTGGTCATACAGACTCTTTATTTATTCTGGCTAGCTCTCTAACACACCAGCCTAGCAAAACTTAAGTGCTTATTGTTCAGCTATGCTGTTTATTGGTGCTGTGATTTTTGTATAGGCTGGTCTCTCTGCTTGGATTGCTCTGGCAAAGTCATATTCATTTTCAAACCTAGAGCAGATGTCCCTTCCTCCAGGAATTATTGATAAAGAGTGCAACAAATATTTATTGAGTATATCTATATTTCAGATACTATGCTAGATGCTGGGAATACAAAATGCATAAGACATAGTCTGAATCTTCTAGTGTCAATCAGCTACTTACACTTCTTACCTCCCTTTAGCTTTAAGTAGCTGGTGCATGATTTTTACTTACCTGATTCTTCATTCTTTTCCCTGTATGTCTACAAAATCTTCTCCATTCTTGATAAATACTGTACACATATAAATGTACAAATATTACATTATTCTAACACAGATGCACATATATAGTATTCAGAAAACACACAGTGTTCAGAAACATTCATAGACACAGTTTCAACTAGGAAGTATGATTATAAATGATGAGATAACAGCTTAGTACTTTGTGGTCAGATCCTAGCTCAGTCAACACACAGAAGCATTGTACAGCTAGGGTGGTGAAGGGTATTGTGTTCTGAAAATAGATTGCCTAAATTTGCATCTCAGCTCTGCTACTTACAAGCTGGGTAGGCTTGGGTAAGTTAATGAACCTTTGCACCTCATCTGTAAAATGGGGACAATGATGATCCCTGAGTCATAGTGCTGTTCAGTACAAATTATTGAATTTGTATTTACTTCAATAATGAAAGTGCTTGGAAGCTAGTTTGAGCGTAGTGAGTTATCTCAATTGGTTATTCCCAGTCAGCTACAGATGGAACTCCTTGTTGTCTTTCCCCCATTCTCACTAGCACATTTAGCTAGCATTTTTTTAAAAGTGCCTAGAATAGTGCCTAAGACAATGTGTTTAATACATGGTAGCTATTATCATAACTTTGTATAGGAGGAAGTCACTATCAGCAGGTCAAGTGATTTTTACTTTATATCTAGCAATGAAAGAACTGCTGTTGTTCTGAGCCACGTACATGCTCTTATCTAATCTTTATTGGACGAATGGCACATGTGGGAAGAATGACTGGCCCAAGAGAGCCCAGAGCTGTGGGATTCAGTTTTCCCTTATGTAGAGCTGAATAACATATGTGGAAAGAAATTGTATTAGCACACATTGACAGAGCCAGCTAGCTGTAAACACAGACAGATGGAAATATATTAATAGCTATGTGAGGGTCTATAGTGTTTCAGCTAAGAGCACAAACTCTGGAGTCAGATCACCTCACCTAGGCTCATTATTCTGCCATTTACCAGCATCGTAACATTGAGCAAGTTATCTCTTTGTACCTCGGTTTCCACATCTATAAAATGGGATTGATAATAATAGCCCTTATTTCATGCAGTTATTGTAAGACTTTAATTAAATAAAGCATGTGAAGCACTAAGAACATTGCTTGGTACATAGTACATAATAAATCATGAAGAAAAAAGATGCACACAGTAGACAGAGAAGCAGGTGAAAATAAGTCATCTAAGTGTTCACTTCAAGAGAAGCCATGAAGGTAGATGTTCAACTGGATAAGTAATTCCCAAGGGAAAAATAAGGAAATTCTAATTCTAATGCACTTGAGATAAACTTTATTAAAGCTATTTTTCATTTGTTTACATAGAAGTCTCCAACTTATCTTCCCTATTATGTTTGGTTTACAGCACCAGTATTTCCCAAAATAAGTTCTGTGGAGCATCTGCCCTAAACCATATGTGAGAAAAAAGGGTTTTGTGGCTGAATGACTTTGGGGGAATGCTGAGTGCCATATTTCTTTCTATATTCAAATGTACATTAACACTCTAAGGTTTAATATGTCCTGAAAAATTGTTTCATTTAGTTTAATCCAGCATTTCTTGAATTGACTTAATAATAGAGCCCTTTTTTCATATACTGTGTATTAACATTCCGGGGAACTACTGTTCAACGGAACAAACATGGGAGAAATGCTGGCTTAGATGAATATTAAAATGGCCTTTATACCAAAGCGGGGGCTGAGGGGTATGGGGGGGAGGTATGGGAAAGACAGGGCTCACATGTCTTTTTAGACTGGAATTGAGCACTTGCCGAAGACTATTCACAAACCCGGAAACTATGCAAATCCCTCAGGATCACAGACATCCAAACATACACAGTGTTGCTGGGAGCATGTACAGGGTCTTTAGAGGGGGTTGAGGGACCTGACCCTCAACCCTCACACTGCAGCTTCCTCCTGCTGCTGCTGCTGCTGCTGCTGCTGTGCTAGGATCCCTCCACGGAAGACCTATGAGGCTCCTAAACATTTTACCATCTATCTTTGGCCACTTACTTCCTGAATTTACTCTCTGGAAGAGAAGAGGCCCACTGGGGAAAAGAGAAGTCAGATCCAGGAGGGAACCGGAAGAAGGAAAGACAGGGAGAAGAGACTGGGTTAAGATCCCGCATCAGATCTAGGACAAGGATGCTCCTCTGGGTAGAGGCGAAATGAAAGATATCAGCAACGCAGGGTAAGGGGCCCCCTCACAGCAGAGCAGGGCATGACATGCGCTCAGGAGAAAAAATATCGACTTCTAAGGTTAGTGACCAGAATGGGAGCTTCCTGAAACTGTGTTTAATGAATTTAATGAATTTTTATTCATTTATTTTTCTTGAAGAAAAATGTGATGGCTGGTGGGCTTCCTGCCGTGGAAGGAGAGACTGAGATTACATGCTACGTGGCCTGGTGCAAAGAGACCTAAAGTCTTTGCAAAGCAAAAGGTCAAAACCTTGATCTGGCAAGGTCAAAACCTTGGTGGGGGTTGAGGTCTGTGAGTGGCTTCTCAGTGACAATGAAGGATAAGAAAAAATAAAATAAATATGTACCTACTTATAATATTTTTATAAGAAAAAATAAATAAACATTAGAATATTAGAATAAATAATAGAATAAATAAATAAATATACCTACTTGAACAGTGCCTAGCTATGGAAAGCTGCAGCAGGATTTTTTTAAACTCCCATAACTTTTTATTTTTCTATAATATTTTACTTTTATAGTTGTAGAAACTTGAGTCAACTTCTCTAGTTTATCTCTACCTTCTAGAAACAAATATTTATTTATTTATTTATTTATTTATTTATTTATTTATTTATTTTCGAGACCGAGTTTCGCTCTGTCGCCCAGGCTGGAGTGCAGTGGCGCCATCTCCGCTCACTTCAACCTCCGCCTCCCAGGTTCAAGTAACTCTCGGGCCTCAGCGTCCCGAGTAGCTGAGATTTCAGGGGCGTGCCACCACGCACGGCTGTTTTGTATTTTTATTAGACAGGGTTTCGCCATGTAGGCCAGGCTGGTCTCGAACTCCTGACCTCGGATGATCCACCCGCCTCGGCCTCCCAAAGTGCTGGGATTACAGGCGTGAGCCACTGCGCCTGGCCTAGATACGAATCTTTATTTCCTAGAAAATCTGAACAGACATTACGTGTAAACTTCATATTACTGTGTTTTTAGTAAAACAATGTTTTGCAAGTATTTATAAGGGAATGGAAATATAACGCAGGAAACACACCCTAGAAAGTTATATCCACATAATTCTAGAAGGAGAGGGGGATACATTTGCAGGGGATGAGATTTCCCGAGAACTTCTGGAGGAAAGTGGGAATCTTCTCCGTCAGCGGGGTGGGGGACGGTGTTTCAGCGAGCAGGAGGCGGCAGCAGGTAGGGAAGGTGGCCGCAGTCCCCCGGGAGGCGGGGGCGGAGCAGGAAACGGCGGCGCGCGGGGCGGGAGGCGGAGCCGTGGGGAGCGCCGCAGGTGGGGACGAGCCGGGCGGCACCTGCCCCGGGACCAGAGCGGACGCTCCCTCCCCGCTGCGCCGAGGGAGGGGAAACCCGAGGGGTTCCTTGGAGAAGGTGGTGCGTCCTGGGGCGGCAGCTGAGGAAGAAAGACGCAGTGCCCCGAAGCCCCTGAGCTGAAAAGGGCCAGAAAGGGGGCGGCATGGCATGGCCCAAACTGCCCGCACCTTGGCTGCTGCTCTGCACCTGGCTCCCAGCAGGTGAGCCTTGGAAAAATGGTACCCACCCTGGACCCAAGGAGACAGGAAGCCATTGTGGCGTGGCCTTGCAGAGCTGGCCGCGGGCAGGGCAGTGGAGGCCTGGGCCGCGCTCTGGTGGCGCTTGGCATGGGCGCCAGGAGGTGCGGGGACTGGATCGAGTTTCTGCCTGTGGGAACCTGTTGCTTTTCTCTTTTGTTAGTCCAGGCCCTTCCCAAACAGGTGCAACTGAGAAACCTGGAGCCTTTGAACTTTCGTTCCTGCAGTCATTAGGCAGTTCTTGATCTCTGAAGCTGAACTGATAGGGGCAAAAGCACCGTTCTTTAAAATTCCTAATTACTTTTTCCTTTCATCTGATATGGTGACAACCATATTGGCCCAGAAGTGCATATATTTCATTTCTGGGAGGTTATAATGTGTCCTCAGTATGTAAAGCAATGTTTGGCCAGAATCTGAATCTACTGTGCAGGACCACAACATGTACTTCTGGGCTAACCATGTTCAATGTCACTTTTCTACTTTCTCTGTATCCAGTCACTGCCCTAACTTTACCCCTTGCTCATCCTGCATCAGGTGTCCAACCATCTACCCTCTCAGGCTTCATTCTCTTACCCTCCACACCAATCTCCTCTCTGTTTTGGAAAACATGATTTTGTGTATCTCTGTGTGTGTCCTGGAAATCTGACAGAAGTGTGTATCTCCACGAGTGAAACCAGGTAGGAAAGGGTAGCTGAGGGACAGAATGGGCAGGCTCTTTCAGCTCTTTTCCAATTAGGATGTAGGTGTGACCTTGCAAAGAAGAATTTATAAGTTCCCTTGGAAGCTCCACCCTGTTTTATTTCATTTTACCCCTCCCCTCCCTTTCAGAATAGCTGCCCTCTTACCTCTAAGTTGTCAGTGGAAGGTCAACTTAGAGTTTGCTCACAGACCAATTTGAGTCTTGTATTTTTAGGTTGGGAACAGATGCAATATGAAGGTGTGTTGGCAGAATGTTCTTTCTACAAGCTCCATAAGACATAACGAATTTCTCAGGTATAATCAAATCTTATTCAGACAGGATTCTACCATAACTTAAGCGTAATGCTGAGAATAAAAGGGAGAGAGGCTTGCAAAAGGGTAGGGAAACTAGAAAATTGATATCCCCCAAGGCCCTCTGGCTTACAAGATTTTCTACAGGATATAGACCCTAGAAACTGTCTGAAGTTGACAAGACTAGATGTTGGACACCCACGATGCACAGGGAAATAACTAAACCTCACCTCAATTTGTGTCCAAAATTTCACCAAACACCATCTTAGGCTATGAATGCAAATTTATAAAAATCCCACAGCTTTGCACAGTCTTCTCTCCTGTGGCTCCCCTGCTCATCTCAAACTCCACAGCAGCTGGGGATTTCTGAAGCTGCTTGAGCTACCTTTTTAGAAAAAATAGAGTTCTGCTCCCACCACTGCCCCTGGGTATTCTATCCCCAGAATTAAGACTTTGTAATCCTAAGCAAACCTCTAAACTCACGTTCACTTTATAGATGAGAAATTGATATTTCAACTGTTTGACTCCAACACTTGGAGGGGAAATAGCTATTTTAGCAGATAGTTTTCCTATGTGTAGAAATGTAAATAAACTACATTCAGCTATTTAATGTGGTTTGTGTCAATGATGTTTATGTGACACTGGGCAAGTTACGAAACTATTCAAAGCTTCCAGTAAATAGCAATTATTATAGTACATATCTCATACAGCTTTTGTGAGGATTAAGTGAAATTAAGGTTTTAAAGTGCTTAATAGAGTGCCTGAACAAAGTGAGGGAAAGCTTAATCAATATTAGCTAGGGTGATAATAGTAGTCAGGAATTAGAGCCAGGTAGGATTGTTTAAAGCTAACTTTAAGGAAACAAGTTTCTCTATTCCTCCTTCCCCTATGGCTAAGAAATGTGAGCTATAGTAACAGGTGATTATCAGGTTGGAATTCTGAATCTCCTTCTTACTAGTTGTGACTTTGGATGGATTACTTAAACTGCCTTTGCCTGGAAAACAGGTGAAATTCCTGACAAGCCAACTCCCTGTGCCCTCTCAATAAGGCCAACTATTGTTGGGTGGATTAAGGTCAAGCACAGTGTCAATGACACGCTGCAACTGTGATATGCACTTTGGAAAACCCTGTACTAGAGTGTGTTCATTTTGGTCCATCACCTTGTTCTCTCCTGTCTCTGAAGAAGAGTCAACCCAATTCTCTGATTAGCCTCCAAGTTCCCACAATTGCAAAGTGTGAGGCAGTAGTAAAATTGTGTCATATTTAGGTATTTGCTGGTCACTGTGGCTTGGGGCCCCTAATGAAGCTTCTGAGGCCAGGGAGTCTTGTGATATTATCACAGTCCTTGTGCTCTGAGCTGTGTAGAGATCACTTGTCAGAAGTAGGTGTGTGTGGTCTTCACTCAGGAAATACTGGGCATAAGTCCTTCTCTACTCCCCCACCTTTTCCTTAATTTTTAAGCCAAACTTCCCAAAGTGTCTGTCAAGATCAAACTGAAGATCAAGCTTCCTCTCTTGCTCTCAATATCTATCAAAGCAGTGGTTTCTGATTTTTTTTCACAGCTCCCAGAAAGATCCAAGTACATTGTGACATGTATGCACACATATACAGTTTATAAAATGGAAGCAAAATGATCACAAAAATTTTATTACTAAGTTGAATAAAATAATAACAATGGATATTACATATTATCTTACTGATATTAAAATTCATTTAAAAAATCATCCCCACATTAACAATATCACAAGTGATATGTGAATATCTGCTCCTTAAAACATTAAAATAAGGCTAAAGTAAGTACCATTGTTGGCTAATAGCTCTAGTTGCCTTCATCCAATGTCAAAGTTTATTCTCAGAATGAAAGTTTAGTGTCCCTGCCGATCCCCCAAACTCTAAAAGGATGTGTGTCATTTCTGCTTTAGTGAATTTTTTTTAACATCACAGTGTGGTGTTAACTTGCAGATCCACACAGCTATCAACTTGTATTATCATTCTTTGGGAAATCAGACAACCGACCCCTAAGTAAGAATATCCTTAGAGAGACAGCATCTAGAACAGTAATTTTTCCTGGGTGGTGGGGGTGGACGTATGGACCATACCGTAGACTTAATGAAATCTTACAAAGTTCCCTGATATATCTCAGGGTGAGGGGGTATGGGTGATGGATGGGAGACTGTCCACTCAGCTGCTCCCTTGTCTCCTTGGGAGCTCCTGAATACCTCCCCAGAATCCCAGAGCTCTGTTGAACACAGGTAGAAATCACTCCCAGCCTTTATCTTCCCCTCCCAGCCAGTTTTACAGATAAGGAAATCTGGACCCAAGTCATGTGTCTCAGGTTGACAGAGTGGAGTTAGTTTGAGAACTGGGACCAGAACCCTGGTGTCTTCACCCTTTCTCCATTGCTCTCTCTCCTATTTCATACTGTGGAGCAGGTTTTTTGTTTGTTTGTTTGTTTGTTTTAATTATACTGGGTTACATGTGCAGAACGTGCACTTTTGTTACATAGGTATACACGTGCCATAGTGGTTTGCTGCACCCATCAACCCATCACCTACATTAGGTATTTCTCCTAATGTTATCCCTCCCCTACCCCCCCCCCACCCCAACAGGCCCTGGTGTGTGATGTTCCCCTCCCTGTGTCCATGTGTTCTCATTATTCAACTCCCACTTATGAGTGAGAACATGCGGTATTTGGTTTTTTGTCCTTGTGATAGTTTGCTGAGAATGATGGTTCCCAGCTTCATCAATGTCCCTGCAAAGGACATGAACTCATCCTTTTTATGGATGCATAGTATTCCATGGTGTATATGTGCCACATTTTCTTAATCCAGTCTATCATTGATGGACATTTGGGTTGGTTCCAAGTCTTTGCTCTTGTGAATAGTGCTGCAATAGACATATGTGTGCATGTGTCTCTATCGTAGAATGATTTATAATCCTTTGGATATATGCCCAGTAGTGGGATGGCTGGGTCAAATGGTATTTCTAGTTCTAGATCCTTGAGGAATCACCATACTGTCTTCCACAATGGTTGAACTAATTTACACTCCCACCAACAGTGTAAAAGCGTTCCTATTTTTCCACAACCTCTCCCGCATCTGTTGTTTCCTGACTTTTAATGATCACCATTCTAACTGGCATGAGATGGTATCTCATTGTGGATTTGATTTGCTTTTCTCTAGTGACCAGTGATGATGAGTATTTTTTCATATGTCTGTTGGCTGCATAAATGTCTTCTTTGGAGAAGTGTCTGTTCATATCCTTTGCCCATTTTTTGATGGGGTTGTTTGCTTTTTTCTTGTAAATTTGTTTAAGTTCTTTGTAGATTCTGGATATTAGCCCTTTGTCAGATGGATAGATTGCAAAATTTTCTCCCATTCTGTAGGCTGCCTGTTCACTCTGATGATAGTTTGTCTTGTTTAATTGAATTCTAGTATACAGAAATAGAAACAGGTGTCTGCTTCCTGGATGTCTAACTAAATGCTAATGTTTAAACATCTTGCCCCAACAACAATGCAGTGAAACAAGCCGTTGGGTGATTAGTGTACAGTCTACCTGGGTTTCTTTTACCATAATAATTTATTTCATTATCTGAAGTCCTTGGTGGAAAATAAAATTGTGTGTTTTAAGAATTGAGAAGACTCTGGCCGGGCACGGTGGCTCACGCCTGTAATCCTAACACTTTGGGAGGCCAAGGCAGGTGGATCATTTGAAGTCAGGAGTTCAAGACCAGCCTGGCCAACATGGCGAAACCCCTTCTCTACAAAAAATACAAAAATTAGCCCAGCGTGGTGGCAGATGCCTGTAATCCAAGCTACTCGGGAGGCTGAGGCAGGAGAATCAATTGAACCCGGTGGGGCGGAGGTTGCAGTGAGCCGAGATCGCGCCATTTCACTCCAGCCTGGGCAAAAGAGACCCCTTCTCAAAAATAAATAAATAAAATAAAATAAAGAATTGAGAAGACTCTGGCCATGTCCCCAGTTCTTTCTAGATCTCCCAATCTGCAACTCTTGAGATAAGGAGGGATCAGAGGAAAGCAATTTTGACACTTTCTTTATTTCTCATAACCAGGTAATCACTGAGTTCTGTTACTTAGTCCCAGGATCTGCCCCTTCTTTTCTATTTTGGGTGACAATTCTTATACTAGCCTACTTTAAGCATCTTCTTGCCTCTAGTCCTGCTACTTCTGTCTACTTCCAACCATTCTCTATGCAGATGATAGGTTAAACCTACCTGAGTTAATCATTCCCACTTTCATTTTAATCTTCCATCCAAAGAAGCTCCATTAGATCCCTATAGCTTATGAGACTGGGCTAAAGCTCTTTGTTTGAAATTCAAGGCCAACTAATTCTGGGCTCACTACTTTGGGAAGCCTTGTCCCCCCAGATACAGGCATGGTCTTATTGTATAACCTTTCTCCTCAACACACACCCTTCTTTCTTGCTTTTTGTCTGGCTGTACTAGACATGGTTAATGTTAACCATTTTTTTGAACTTTTAGGGCACTTAAAATTTGTTCCAAGCAATTTAGTCTATCTTGCATGAATGTATCTGTTCTTTTGTTTAGCAAATGTTTAATGTGCACTTGGTGCAAGACCTCGTGCTGGCAAACAAAAGCCATCATGGCCCTGGCCCCCGTGGTGCTTATTGTCTAAAGGGAATTCAAGTGAATGTAGAAATACAACTGTGACAAGGCCAGGAAAGAAGGATACAAGGTACCACAAGAGCACTTAGTAGATGGATTTTGCTCAGTCAGAAGACCCTCCCTGAAGGGATGATGCATGAGTACTGAGGAACGATGAATTCAAACCAAAGTAATAGCATCTGCAAGACTGCTGGATAGGAGCTTAGTGTGTATGAGAGATGAGAAGAATGTTAGCGGGACTGAGTGAAGGAAGCCACAGGAAGAGTGGTGGAGTTGAGGCCAGAGAAGTGGGTAGGACCAGATGTGCATGGCTGCATGGGTCATGGTAGGAAGTTTTGTGTTTATCTTAACAGAAATGGACAGCTGTTAGAGGTTTTTAAGGAGGAGGAATTGGGAGACTAACAGCAATGTGGAATCCACCTAGCAGGGGGAACCAGAGCATGCATGAGTACAGTACTAGGTAAGCACAGGTGATATGGAGGCTGGACATAATAGTAGCTTGTGCTAGGATAGTAGTGAAATTGGAGAGAGAGAGAGATTCTGGAAATATTTCGGCGATAAATAAGCCCAATCTGATTGTAGACTGTGTATTAGTCCGTTCTCATGCTGCTATAAAGAACTGCCTGAGATTGCATAATTTATAAAGGAAAGAGGTTTAATTCACTTACAGTTCTGCAGGGCTGGGGAGGCCTCAGGAAACTTATAATCATGGCAGAAGGGGAAGCAAACATGTCCTTCTTCACATGGTGGCAGGAGAAATGATTGCCCAGTGAAGGGGGAAGCTCCTTATAAAACCACTGGATCTTGTGAGAACTCACTATCATGAAAATAGAATGGGGAAACCACCCCAAGATTCAATTATCTCCACCTGGTCCCTCCAACAACACATATGGATTATGGGAACTACAATTCAAGATGAGATTTGGGTGGGGACACAGCCAAACCATGTCAGACTGTATATGAAGAGCAAAGGAAAAAAAGATACCAGGATGATTCCTTCCTAGTTTTTGGTCTTTTCCATTCACTGAGATGGGAAATGTGGGAGAGGCCCAAGTTTGTATGGAAGGATGATGATTTAGATTTTGGGCTTGATTTAGAACTTGAAACAACCAAGAAGAACTATCAGGAGCATTTGGATACATGTGTCTGTTTTAGTCCCTTATTGTACAGGAGTAAGATTTAATATTCAATGCTCTCGTAGTTTCTGATCAATGCTTTAAAACTCATCCATGACAGGAACTACTTTGTCTGTGTGTTTACTTGTTTATCATTGACTCTCCTACCAGGAGCACAAGTTCCAAGAGTGCAGGGACCTGTATCTCTTATTTTCTACTAATGACTGGCTCAGAGTGTGTACTCAATAAATGAATGAATGTGTGTGTTCTGGTCATGCCTAAATTTGCATGTGCTCTGAGATTAGTGTGTGGAGACATGAGTCACTAACCTGGGTGAATGACTTTGGGAAACCCCAAGCATCTGCCCCTCAACCAGGTCTTGGCCTCTCCCCCGGTAACCAAAAGGATGTTAAGTTCAAACCACCTGAGTGGCTATTTATTTCACTTAGTAGTTTATCAAAAAAAAATTTAAAGATTGATATTTTCCTCTTTTGAATAGGTTGTGGTGAAACATGGGACTGTCACTGGCTATTTATGGGAATATACATTTCTTTCCTGAAGTATCTATTCGAATAGAAAAGGTTTATTCCCTTTAACTCACTTTGAGATATATATTCTACTGGAATAAAAGAACGCATGTGAAGACGTACTTATATAATCATATTCATTTCAGTAATTAATGCCAGCATTGCTTATAATACTTAAAAGTCAGAAACAACCTAAATGTCCATAATTTGGAAAATGTGTAAATAAAAGTGGCTCATTGATGGAGTGAAATGTTCATGCAGTTACTAAAAAAAAATAGATCTGCATATACTGATATACAATATATCATTAGTTTGAAGAAAAAGTCACAAATCAATGTACATAATATGATTAATTTAAAAAAAACAACATAGGAAAAGATGTGAAGGGATGTAGACCAAATTGTCAACAGCAGTACCTCTGGAAAGTGGAATTCATGGTGAGCAAGGAGGAACTTTTTACTTGATACCCCCTCCACTGTTTGAAGTTTCTCACTTATTTATTTTGTATTAACAAACAAAAAGGAAGAAGAGCTTCTGTACAAAATGATTAAAATAAATTTGTGAATGTCCCTTAAGTGCGTGAATATTCCTCAAAGGGTTAAATCTCAACCATTTAGAAAACTTATCCAGAAGACATGGTAGTGTAGTGGAGGTCTAAGCTTAAATCCAGCTTTGCTACTTTCTAGCTGTGTGGCCTTAAGCAGATTACTTAATCTCTCAGAATTTTCCTCATCAATGAAATTGAGAGAAAGTAAAGCTTATCTCATCAGTTTCTTGCAAAGGTTAAATGAGATAATGTATAATAAAACACCCAATACCGTGTCAAACAACATAGTAAGTGCTCAGCACATAGCACTTTCCTTCTCGGGGTGCTGCACTGTTAAGTGTTGCATGCCAGACCTTGGGTAAACACACAGTACCTAGACATCATTCCGCTCCCCACCCATCTGCTTTCCTGGTCTCCTCTCTCTGCTCTCCCTATCCTTTCCTTCTTGTTCGTGACCACTCCCTCTTGTCTTTGTCTCTTCTTGTCCATAGCTAGTCACTTCTTGTCTTGCTCCTTCTTGTTCATAGCTAGTCCCTCTTCTCCTTGATTCCGCTCATATTTGCACTGTTATCTGAGGAAATGTAACAGGCACTGATGGTAAATATGCTTGGTGAGATAGCCTGCTCAGCCATAAACTCTGATAGCATTGAACCTGTGTGCATTTTGTTAACCTGCCACATGGAGTCAGGGTGCTTGTATACCTGAAAAACACTCAGGAATCAATTCCTGTCAGTCCCAGGCCACTGCCCCTTGCCGGCAAAGACCTGCCTTCACCCTCCTGCCTACCATCCCTTCCAAGCAGGCCTGTTCATAGGAAAGGAGGGGAAGTGCCATCTAGTCCTTCAAAATAGTTCTTAATTTTAAAAATATTTTAAAATATATACCTGTATTCCTATACTGTGTGAGTATCTTCTACAAACTAAAACTCCTTCTTGCCAAATCTAATACTACACAGGAAATGAGGAATAAAAAAATGTGCAAAGATGTGCATGTATTTAGGAACAGATGACATTTAGTTGTAAAGATACTCTGCCCTGGTTGGTGTGTTTCCTTCTGTTTTAGTGTAGGATGGTAGTCCCCACTCAGCACAGCAGCCTGGCCTTGGAAAGTACCTGATGGCGGGAATCAGAGAATCCCCTTCCCCTTCTCTCCTTCCCATGAGCTCTGATATCTCATCTGAAGTTTCCTTTCTACCCATGTGACAGGTCTCCTTCCCTTCTTTCACAGAGCCTGGCAAGCTGTGAATGAGTCCACCAGGGTACAAAGCTATGAAACTTTTGAAGCTTTTGAGGCACCAACTCATTTTGCAAAGAGAAGACAATCATGATAGTTTACATTTGTATCATTTTTTCAAAATGCTTTTACATGCTAGTCTCAGTGGATCTGGAACTCCTGAAGTAGTCAAGATAAGTACAAATGATACAAATGATAGCTTAGGTTTGTTGAATGTCTATATGTGCCAGGCTCTTTGCTAAATGGGGGACATTTTTTTATGCTCACCACAACCCTCTGAGGCAGGTATTATCTTCATCTCAGTTTTGCATACAAAGGAAAACAATAGTTTGGAAATAACTTGCTAGGTCAACTTCTGACTCTAACCAAATTCCCTTTTCTGACCCCCAGCAACTAATGTTGACTAGAGTGTTTAATAAACTGCTGTTTATATTACATTACCATTCAGCTGTTAGGGATTGGAGACAGAATCTGAACTCAGGGAGTCAGGTTCTAGAATTAACATTTTTGAGAGAAAATGATAGAGACAGCTAGGAAATGAGGAGTCAATGAACTGGGGAGGAGAAAATTCCACAGGATAAAGGAATTTTAAGAATAGAAAAAAAATTAAGAATTTGAAAACTTGTAGTAAGCCTGAAAGAGCAAAGTTGCAACCAGGATGACTACAATCAGGACGTTTCTCTTTTTTGATCCTGTTCACATTTTCAGCCTGATTTGCTGCTTTGGGTCCTTTCTTGAAAACTCCACCTGCTTAGTTCTGTGCATGCCCAGTGTGGTTAGGTTTACAGAGAAGTTAGAGGATATAGGAAAAGAAAGTGGGTGATTTTTGCCTTTGAGATGGACTGTCTTGCTACTGCCTTTCCTTCCCAATCTGGAAAATCTGACTGCTTTTTAAGAGCCTGGCGCCTGACTTCTACTTTGGAAGATCAAGCTTGCTTGCTTGGGAAAAATTGGGATTTGTTGTCAGCAAGGCCCAAGCTCAAATCCTGATGCTGACACTTTTTAGGTATGTGATGTTGGACACGTGGGGGTGTGGCTTATACTCTGAGCTGAACTTCTGCCCACCTATATGAGCAGGGCTGTTGCCTAGCTGAGGGGGTTTGTGAGATTTAGAGACCAAGAATGTACATCACCCGGTGCATAATAGATGCTAAGGACCCACAGCAACAACTGAGATATGGGAGAAGAGTTTGCTGGGTTGTTCAGTACCTCTTCTCCTGGGACTCTTCCCGTGTGTGTGTGTGTGTGTGAAAGAGAGAGAGAGAGAGAGAGAAAGAGAGACAGGGCAGGGGGTGGACGTTTGAGGTCTGCACAGGATGCTGTGGGGCTGGCTGGCAGACCCCTGGAGAGAGTGTGAATGAGCTCAAGATGGCCAGAACTTGTTGAACCTGGCAGATATCAAGGCTTGATATTCACACAGGGATGAAATAGAAGAGAAGATAAAAGAGTACCCAAGCAGCAAAGTCAGTGCTGACGTTGGTAAAGGTGAGTTTTGTCACCCCAAATGTGGTTTGTCCACAATAAGGGCATTCATGGAAGGGGAGCTGAGTGATCACCTTTCTCCCCATTTCCCCTCCTCAAGGGTGTCAGATTCTGCAATCTTCAAAGCTACCCCACAGCAATTTCTGACTCTAACCAAATTCCTTTTTCTGACCCCCAGCAAACCTGGTCTCCCTGCTCCCAAATGCGCTACCTCTATACAGGTGATATTGACTAGAGTGTTGATTAAACTGCTATTTATATCAAATTACATTCAGCCAAATAAGGAGCCTACATGTTCTTTATTTTACTGTGTCAGAGTGACTGCACCAGTTATATTTTAATTATTGCTCACATAGCCTGGCCCCCAGCTCAAATTATTTGCAAACTTGTGAATACCAATTATCTTTTATTTAAAGAATAGCCAAGCTGAGAGGCAGGAGCACTGCTCAGGGACAGAATCTCGACTCTGACCCCCTTAGAAAAAACGAATGACCACAGACAAGTCCCTTAAATTTCCAAGCCTCAGATTTGTTGTACAGGAAGTGAGCACAGCTAATCTTCTCCCAGGTATCACATTTAGTATATAAAAGAATATATTTGAAGATGCTGTTGAACCTAAGATTTTATTTAGACCAATATCAGTGTTTTCCTCTCTCTTCTCATCGGTATGTGTGTTATGGAACAAAATAAGCCAGTGTTGACAATGGCAACCTATTCATTGTGAAAATCTTATCTGTGGCTGCTTCTACTATTCAGATAAAACTGTGGTTGGTGAGATCTCCAAGGTCTATTTCAGGTCAGTTCTGGAAGAAAAGAAACAAACAAACAAAAAACAAAAAACACACAAAGGGGTAGTCACAGAGAAAGAACAAGAACCAAAAATTAGATTAAGAAAGCCATGTTAGGCTTGAGATGCTGGTCACCGGCCCTTCCATTCTAATTGGCCTGATTTCTGGGACTCTACAGCTTACGGAGACAGCAGCTTTTTTTCCCAAAACCACTCAAGGTTTATTTTTAAAATGATATATATTTTTTTTTCATTTACAGCTGAGTGGGGAAGTCATCTATCTTCCTAAAAACACCACTTTCACTGTATTACTGTTCTTCAGAAAAGACTTCAGTGATGATCCATGGACAAGAAATTGAACTGGATTGTGATTTAGACTTCACCCCATCGCCCCACCTCCCACTCACCACCACCAGCCCCGCCTTATTTATCTTCTCTGTTTTCCATAAAGCTGGAGACACAGCTAGATTGGTTTCCCCCAGGTTACCCAAGTAACTGCCCCTTCCTAATAAGGCTCTTTGCTCCCTCCTTTCTTGCTTACTGAAACAATGAGTTTCTCTGCCTTCTTCCTACTTCTCATGCGTGATCTTAGTTCTACCTGCTTCTTGGAGCCTAGGTTAAATCATTTCCTTTCATGAAGTCTTCCTGCCCACAGCTCTCGCCTGCACTGCCGCAGAGTCTCTATCCAGCACATCTGCCATGGGGCATCTGCATCACAGCCCAGTCCTGGAGATAGGTGGTCAGGTCATTTCTGTGAGTGCCTGTCCTGAGCAGCATTCTGCTGTCTGTCTATGGATGTGAGAAACCCAGATGCAGGTGCCTATCAGAAGTTTAAGGGGACAGTCTTACAAGGGCTGTGACCAGTAGGTCAGGCAGGACCCAAGAATCATGTGCTCTAGCGTTCAAGACAGGCCCACCTAGCTGCTCCGTAGGATAATAACTACATTTGTTTTGTTTGTGGGAGTACCTTGGTCAAAATGAAGGTGGCTCCGTTTGAAAACTCTGTTGGAGAAAACCCCAACTCCAACCTCTTTCTCCTTGGCCCTCGTAATAAGGGGAAAAAAAGGAAGAGACTCACATACTGACACTAATGTGGCAGTGTATGTGCAAGGCTTCATGCCAAGGACAGTAGATTATCTCATTGCATTCTTGCAAGGACCTGATAAGGCTAGCACTATCATCATCTTCATTCATGGCTGAGAAACTAGCTCAGAGAGAGAGTAAATAACTTGTCCAAAATTCAAGTAAATATTAAAGTTTAATTTGAACCCAGCTGTATCTGAATCTAAAGCCTGTGTGTGTGTGTGTGTGTGTGTGTGTGTGTGTGTGTGTGTTTTAAATTGAGTCTACACCAGTGGTTCTCAGAGTATGGTCCTTAGAGCAGTAGCATCAGCATCTCCTGGAAATTAGTTAGAAATTTATATCAATTGCTGTGTGCAGTGGCTCACGCCTATAACCCCAGCACTTTGGGAGGCTGAGGCTGGAGGATTGCTTGAGGTTAGGAGTTCAAGACCAGCCTGGGCAACATAGCAAGACTTCATCTCTACTAAAAATTTAAAAAGTCAGGCATGGTGGTGCATGCCTGTAGTCTCAGCTACTTGGGAGGCTGAGATGGGAGGATCACTTGAACCCAGGAGGTCAACGTTGCAGTGAGCCATGATTGCGCCACTGCACTCTAGCCTGGGCAACAGAGCAAGACTGTATCTCAAAAAAAAAGAAAAAAAGAAAGAAAGAAAGAAAAAAAGAAGGCCAGGTGCAGTGGCTCAGGCCGGGCGCAGTGGCTCACACCTGTAATCCCAGCACTTTGGGAGGCTGAGGCGGGTGGATCATTTCAGGTCAGGAGTTTGAGCCTAGCCTGGCCAACATGGTGAAACCCTGCATCTACTAAAATACAAAAATTAGCCAGGTGTGATGGTAGGCGCCTGTGATCCCAGCTACTTGGGAGGCTGAGGCAGGAGAATCCCATGAACCCGAGAGGTGGAGGTGGCAGTGAGCTGAGATCGTGCCATTGCACTCCAGCCTGAGTGACAGAGCGAGACTCTATCTCAAAAAAAAAAAAAAAAAAGAAAAGAAAAGAAAAGAAAAGAAAAGAAATAAAAAATGCGTGTCTCTGGGCCTCACCCAAGTCCTACGGAACTAGAAACTCCTAGCATAGGGTTCAGTGATCTGGGCTGTCACAAGTCCTCTGGTGATGCATACTCAAGTTTGAGTACTAGTGCTCCACACTAAACCTCCCACTAGAGAACCCCTTCACAACTTGGCCTAGAAACCAAACTAACATAGGAATGTTCCAAGGTGCTGGTTATGTCTGGACCCCTGACTGTGCCAAAGTCCCACCTGACATTTTGGTGCTACCTAATCCCTTATCAAGGCACACCTGGAGCTTTAAGTATGCCTGTAGGTTTGGAGGGTAGGGAGAGGACATTTTTTAAAAGGAAAAATCTCCTCTTAATTTCTTCAAGTCTTTCTTGATCCAGTTTGTCACATCTGTTTTATTTGCTCTATGCTTATGCTCACTGCCTGTACTGCTGAATTTCCACTGGTTAATATATTCTTAGTCATTCATTCCATCATTTATTCAACAAGCATTTGTTGGGTGCCAAGTAGGTGACAGGCACAGTACTGGGCACTGGTATTTGAGCAATGACTTTGAGAAGGCCGACTGCGTTTTTCTCTGAGCCCACAGTTAGCAGACCATCAACAAGAAGCATGAAAAGTGCTGCCTAGGGGTAGGTTGGCGCACTTAGGAAAAAAATAGGGAGGCCCCTCTCCCAGATTTGCAGACAGGAGGGCTGCTGGAGAAGGTAGGGTTACAGACACAGAACCCTGTCTATGGGGTAGACAGAAGTAGAAACCCTGTTCAGCTGAGGTCCCAAGGCACGAATCATAATTAGCCCAGGGAAGAGAGTGGAGCAGTGGCAGGTGATGTGGAAGAGTGCTCCAGGCTGAAAGAGCTGCACCTGGAGAAGAGAATGGTCTTAGCATGGGAAGGACTGAAGAAAGCTCAGAATGGCTGACCCCTCGATGGGACGTGAAGGGACACGGGGCAGACGAGAAGGGCAGTAGGCTGACCTAACGGGTTTCGTAGGCCTGGTTAGGGAGCTTGAACTTTATCCTTAGGAAACGGGAAACCATTTTAAGAAGAGACATGATGTGAGGAAAAAAATATATTAGCAGTGTCACTTCTGTACAAATGTGGCTTTATTTTGATACAATCCTTATATTGTTGTTGGATATGTCATCACTGTTAATGCACTGTAAATTCCTGGGAGTTTTCCTCACTCCTTTCTTCCTATGTCCCTCTGAGGCTGCTGAGTGCGTTCTCACCCCACCCCACCCATAGCCTGCCCAGGTGAGTAAGAACCCAGACTCTGTCTGTGAGCTCCTAGCCAGGTCAGGCAGGATGGCAGGCAATATCTTTTGCCCATTTGCATTGTTTTTCTTACCCATGAGCAGAGTAGGTCACCTTCAGCATTTTCTCCTGCTCTTGGCTTTAGGGTGCCTGTCCTTGCTTGTGACGGTCCAGCACACAGAACGCTATGTCACCCTGTTTGCCTCTATCATCCTCAAATGTGACTACACCACCTCTGCCCAGCTCCAGGACGTGGTGGTGACATGGCGCTTCAAGTCCTTCTGCAAGGACCCTATCTTTGACTACTACTCAGCGTGTGAGTATCCTTACCCCCTTGGCCCTCTGTGGGTCCCAGACACCTCTGTGACATACTGCGGTTAGGGTTGAGGGATTATTTAGGATTACAAATCTTGGTAGTGAGGAGAAGACACAAAGATCACCTAATGTAGTTCCTCTGTTTTATAGATAAACAAACGGAGCCCAGGTAGATGAAATAATGTATTCAAGGTCACATACTAGTTTATTTTAAAATTTTTTCCTGCTTTGTTCTCAAAAAAATTTAAAGAAACTTAAACATTAGGGAAAAGTCCTGCCTCCCTGTCCATTCCTGGTTCCATGCCAATGTGCTGAGCTGATGATGCAGGCCCGCCTCCCCTCACCCCCACCACCTTAGAATGCAGGCAAGAAGACTCTACACTCAGCACAAATGATGAGTGGTCATTTGTGAAGTCTCTTGCTCCTTGCTATATTCCCTTCTTCAGTATGCCTTCGGGAAGATGGTCATTCCTCTGCTGACTAAGCCCTCCAGTGCCCCCCCAGGCAGCCCTTTAACTGTGGGAAGTCTCTTAGTGCTACACAACTCCTCCTTAGAGTTGGCCAGTCCTGCCTTTCAGTAACAACTGCCCCAGGCATATGGGTTGTGCTGTCTGGATCAGAGCCCTTTCCTAGTTGCCCATTTCTGCCTTCTCTCAAAGAACAAAGGAACCTAGAACCACCCCACTGTTAGCACCAAGACAATTAATTTTTTGGAGATTTTGAGAATAGAAGTAGACACCCTGTTCATAGGGAAAAGTGAGCCTCCTGAGAAGAAGCAAATGGAGAGGGAGGCATTAGTCTTCACCTTTTTGAGCCCTTGAGCTAATGTCTCACAATATGATTTGAGTAGAACCTCAAGAGCTGTCTGAGCCACCCACTGAGTCTGCCATTGTCCCCAAAAGACTCCTCTCTAAATTGAGGCATTGTTTCCTGGGGGTTACTCTTAAAATGCCTGGGTTAAGTGGCCAGGGAGGAGAGGCTAGGGTAGCAGGCATTTGCCAGGGGCAGATTTAACAGCTCTCAGACCCTATATTTTCTGTTTTGGTTTTTTTTTTGTTTGTTTGTTTTTGTTTTTGTTTTTGTTTTTGTTTTGAGATGGAGTTTCGCTCTTGTTGCCCAGGCTGGAGTGCAATGGCGTGATCTCAACTCATCGCAACCTCTGCCTCCTGGGTTCAAGTGACTCTCCTGCCTTAGCCTCCCGAGTAGCTGGGACTACAGGCATGTGACCTTATGTTTTAAGGGCAGGTGGATGAATTCCATGGGAGCAGAGAGAGGCTGGGGTGACTCTGAAAATGAGACAAAGGAAGTTGGAATAGGAGATGGGGAGTAGAGCCGGCATGAAAATGATGGTCAGGAGTCTGGCTGCTCAAAATGTGGTGTCTGGTATCACACAGATTCTCATTAGAAATGAGAATCTCAGACCCCACTCTAGACCTGCAGAATCAGGATCTTCGTGATTAACAAGAGTCCCAAGGGATGAATAGTCTTGGGAAAAATTGAGACACTTCACTGTGTCTCACGCCCGGAGCAGGAAGGGAACCTTTTTTTTGTGGGAACCCCCTATTGCTGTGTGACTCTAGTGTGCCCTCTCTCCTCAGCATACCAGGCAGCTTTATCCCTGGGCCAGGACCCATCCAATGACTGCAACGACAACCAGCGGGAAGTTCGCATAGTGGCCCAGCGGCGGGGGCAGAATGAGCCCGTGCTGGGGGTAGATTACCGGCAGCGCAAGATCACCATCCAGAACCGTGAGTGCGGGGGAGGTGTCAGGGGAACTGGGGGTGGGGGGAGGTGCAGACACCAGGCCTGGCAGGCTGAGTCAGCATGGGATTTCCCATTTCTTTCTGCTGCCTGTTGGTCTACTTGGTCACTGTCATTGTTTGAGGAAAGTGCCAGCTTCATAGAATGTGCTGCACCAGCTGAAGTGACTTCCCTGGAAGTTGGTCTCTGGACCAGAGGTTGTTCTGTTGCTATCTATAGCTTTGGCTAAAGGTCTAGGGGTGAATGGTTCCCTTTGCTTTCCTGAGATTCAGGGCTAAGTTGTGGATCAGGTTTCTTTGATTCCTTCCACAAATTGCTCTCAGGGCCTACTGAAACCCCAGGTCCCTGAGTTTCCTTCCGGCTATTCCTGTTGTTCACATGGAAGGAAATAGGGTCCTCTGAGCAGATGACCACCTTGAGACCACTGTCCTCCACTGATAGAAGAAAGAACACTGGGCTTGGACTAAAAAGCCCCAAGTGAGAATCCTAGTGCTTCCTCTCACTAGCTCAGTGACCAGTGATCAGTTATTTTCTTTGGCTTCTGTTTCTTCATCTGAACGACAGGCATCATGGTATCTTCCTCCCTACTCCAAAGTGAATATCTAGCGCGCTATGTGAGAGCTGTGTCTAAAGCCTATCTATTCTCTGTGCCCAGTGCAGGGAGTAGTGGTGAGAGCCCTGACTCTGGAGTCAGGTGCGGGTGTGCATCCCAATTCTGCATTTACAGGGTATATGAACCTGGGCAAGCCTCTCCAATTTTTTCAGCCTCAATTTCTATAAAATGGGACTTGCCATAGTACCTAGCTCATGGAGATTTGTGGGGACTAAGGTAATATGTATAAAGCATTTAGCAAACAGGAAGTGGGCAGTAAGCATTAGTTATCACTCCGTGTACTTTTGGATAAATGGCTTAGCTTAGCTCCTCATATTTCTATTGTGTAATCCACAGTTGCTGCCATAGAGTAGCACATAATTCAGAGCCTATTTCAATGGGCTTTATGTGCTGTGTTAAATAAATATTTGTTAGTTAAAAGGGGAAAAAGGGAAGAATACACCCAGTGGGCCACTCATGGTGGCCATCGCTACAATATCAAGGAATCAGTGAATATTCTGACTGTTTAAAGGTAGGTCACTTAAGGGGAACCAGTTTAATAATTGCTTTCAGTTTTGTCTATAACACTTAAGTCTGATTTTTTTTTTTTTTACATTCGGCATCTGATTTTCCCCAAGCCAGCCCTCAGTTTTAGGGTACATCTGTCCTTCTTTTCTAGTCTTCAGGGGCATCTTCAAAGATCCAAGGTGGTTCTGCCTTTTCCAAAGCCAGCAGAATTTGTTCTTATCTGACCTCAAAGTTTCAAGCCTCTTTAATTAGCAAATTACCTGAACAGTTTCTGAAGGATGGAAATCCCCATAGTAGCTAGTCCCTGCTCTTATTATTTTTTTTTTTCTAAAAACGTGAAGGTAAATACCTTCCACTACTCCCACTCCCAGCCACCTTTGGCTCAAACCCTGCTTCATTCTTACTACCACAGGAATGCATTAGTATTCTCCTCTGTTTTTATTTCTGTCTCCAGGCTTGTTGTGACTTCCTGAAGCCCTTGTTTTCTGACACTTTTTTGCCTATGCCTGCATCATTTGAGATGACCCTGTCAAATCAGTCCTTAGATCCTTTAAAATATTAACATATCTGAAAACTCTTCTTACTCTGACACCCCTAAAATACTCTTTATGTCACCAATAAAAATTAGAGCAGATTTACAATACACATCATGCCCTGAGGGGGAGTTTTTTAAAAGCACTTTCATCATTTTTCCAAGTCTGGGGTAAGCTTATTTCTGGGAAAGGTAGTGGGTTTGGAAAATAGCGGGTAGGAAAAAAATTGTAGATATTGACGTAGAAAGAGAAGGAAACAGAAGTCAAAGTTAGGTCCACTGGTGCGTGACCTTGCATTTTTGTTTCATTTCCTCAATAAACATTTCTTGACAAACAGATAATAAAGAATTGCAGATATTACCACCAACCTAGCAGGAGCAAGTCTGTAATGCTAAGGTTCCGTGGCATTTACTGTGGGTGGGGGAGCTGGAACTGCCTGCCGCTGCACTTCACACGGAGGCTGCCCTGATGCCTTTGACTGGATTTTAAACCCTTTCAGGACAGAAGAGGGTCTTGTTTCTCTTTACATCTCCTCGGTGCCTGACATAATGCTGGACCCACAAAAGGGCTTTAGTGAATATTTATTGACTTTGCTAAACTTGAACATAAATATTAACCATTCATTTTAAATTCCTTGTAGATGCTGGATATTAGACATTTGTCAGATGGATAGATTGCAAAAGTTTTCTCGCATTCTGTAGGTTGTCTGTCCACCCTGATGATCTTATAAGTGGAAGCTGGATGACGAGAATGCATGGTCACATGGGGGGAACAATACACACCGCGGCCTGTTGGAGGGTGTGGGGATGTAGGAGGGAGAGCGTCAGGAAGCACAGCTAATGGATGCTTGGCTTTATACCGAGGTGATGGGATGATCTGTGCAGCAAACCGCCATGGCACATGTTTACCTGTGTAACAAACCTGCACATATACCCCTGACCTTAAAATTAAAAAAAAAATGAATGTACAGCAAATATATATATAAACCATTCATCTATCCTAATGGAGGTACACAAAAAACCTGAGTGCCCACTAGAACTGAAACTCTTCTTGAGTTACATTTACTTTTAAAATACTGGCATTTTATCTTTATTCAAGTTCATCTCATACCTGTCCTTCAGGATCCAGAGATAACTGCTCATTTTAGGCTGATAAGGGACCCAGAATGTGGAGTTTTTCCACCCAATTTAGAGAAGACAGGAAAGCTTGGTGGTTAAGAGTACCAGCTTTGAGGCAGAGAGATGTGGGTTTGAACCTACCTCTGATGAGCATTGTCTCCATGTTATTAGGCCAGTTCCTTTGAGTCTTGATTTTCTTCATCTGAAATGCAGCTAAATAATCATTTCCAGTGTACCAGTTAGGATTAGGTTTGATTGCGAGTAAGTAAAAGCCCCATATACTGGCAACTTAAACAGTATTTTATTTTTAACTTTTTTTTGAGATAGGGTCTCACTGTGTTGCCCAGGCTGGAGTGCATTAGCACACTCATAGCTCACTGCAGCTTCAACTTCCTGGGCTCAAGCGATCCTCCCACCTCGGTCTCCAGAGAAGCTGGGACTATAGGCACATGCCACCATGGCTGGATAATTTTTTTTTTATTATTTTTTGTAAATACAAGGTCTTGCCATGCTGCCCAGGTCTTGAGGGTGTCATGGGTTAGAAACCAGTGCTCTCTCCTCTGACACTGGCACTTTCTCCCTCCTTACTGTGTAGGAGCAGATCTCGTGATAAATGAAGTGATGTGGTGGGACCATGGAGTGTATTACTGCACCATTGAGGCTCCAGGGGACACATCAGGAGACCCCGATAAGGAAGTAAAGCTCATCGTCCTACGTAAGTGCTACTGGAGCTTTCTATTCAGTCACCCTCACTGCCGTAACACTTTTACTCACAGGAAAAAAAAAAAAAAACCAGAAATAAGCAAGCCTAAGTTCTTGTCATTGGATTATCAACCTCTAAAGTTCCCTTATCAAAGCTAAACTTTTACCTTTTTGCCAGTATATTGCTCAACTTTAACCTGTAGGTCAAGAGCTGTGTTTATGAGACCTCTAGGATATCAGAACTGGAAGTATTCCCTCCCCCTGAATATTTAGTTCAACCCCTGCTTGGCTTCTCCCCTGCAGACTGGCTGACAGTGATCTTCATCATCCTGGGAGCCCTCCTCCTCCTGCTGCTGATTGGAGTGTGCTGGTGCCAGTGCTGTCCTCAGTATTGCTGCTGCTATATCCGCTGTCCCTGCTGTCCTGCCCACTGCTGCTGTCCTGAGGAAGGTGAGAGGGGACAGACAAGCAGTGGAATGGAGTGGATTAGGGACCAGGACGTCAAGCAGATCAGCTTCAAGTGCCAGGTCAAAGATTCTTCCAGGTTCTCCTCCATGCCCTTCTCCCATCATAGGGACAGAGGACATTAGCCTCAGCCCTGAAAATGATGCCTGGGGAGGCTAGGTAGCCACATGGAAGGACATTTGCCTGTCCACTCCTCAGGCTGCCTAAAGCATCTCTCAGATAGCTCTGCCTACTGATGGCATTTCCTCTGCAGCCCTGATGTACCTGTGCTTCGATCTTCATTCCTAGCACTGACCTCATTTAGACATAAGGTGGGCTGGAGCGAGTGGTTTAAATAAGCCAGTAAGAGAGAAGGCCACTTGTAAAGGAAAACAAAACTGTTTTTTCCTATTCTCACATGCCACTCGATACTTCTGACACCAAGTGTGTGTGTGTTTTCCCCACACAAAAAGGAATTACTCAGCGCACACCAACTGAATGTCCTATAATTTAACTCAATTCTGATGCTATTTACCTGGAAATAGCACCAGACCCCACAGGTGGAAGGCTTAGTCCCACAAGACTGCCCCCTACTTCAGATGCTAATTGCAGTTGCAACTAGTAGGTTGTCACCTGTGCTTCTGAGCAAATGGCTATAAACTGGGAGTTACAATGACCCTTTCCTCCAGTTCAATTAATTTGCTAGAGCAGTTCACAGAATTTAAGGAAACAGTTTACTTATGTTTACCCACTTATTACAAAGAATATTTAAAAGAATACAAGTGAACAGCCAAATGAAGAGATGTATAGAGCAAGGTATGTGGGAGCGGGGAGGGGCTTCCATGTCCTCTCCAGGTGTGCCACCCTCCCAGGACCTCCGTCTTCAGCAGCCAGGAAGCTCCTTGAACCTAGTCCTTTTGGGTTTTTATGGAGACTTCATTACATAGGCATGATTGATTAAGTCATTGGCTATCAGTGATCAAGTCACCTTCAGCCACTCTCCCCTCTCCAGAGGTCAGGAGGTAGGGATGATTTCTGTTTTTTCTTTTTTTTTTTTTTTCCTCCTTAACTTAATTTTTGGCTGCCATCTCCGTTTTCTGACTCAACCTGTCTGGGGCAGGACCTGAGAATTTTTATTTCTCTGGCAATCAAAATGAGTGACTGAGGCATAAGTCTCAGATCATTGAGGTTTATTGAGCTAGCTTGAGGGCATACCCAGGGAAAAAACATAAGTCACAGATGCATCTGTGGCTGTTTTTTTTTTTCAAAGAGGTTCCCAGGAGGTTTAGTATTTATACATTTTCCTTAAGAAGTGGGAGGCAGCAATGAAACAAATGATTATATACTTGTGAAACTTTAGTTAGTGCCCAGCAAATCTATATTTTACATAAGATAAGGTGAATATTAGAAAAGGGGAAAAGAAGAATTAGACCTTATCTTGCCTTTGTTCTGTACCTGGGAAGATAAACTAGTAATTGACATTATCCACGTGGAGTCTTTTGAAAGGGGTGGTCACTGTGAGAGGGGATATAATGAGGTGAGTCTGACCTCCCATCCCGTCATGGCCATGAACTTAGCTTCCAAGATTTCTCTGGGGTCCCCTTGGCCAAGAGGGGGTCTGTTAGTCATTTGGGGGCTTAGAACTTTATTTGTATTTCTTATCTCAAAAGTTTCCAGGTGATGTGCTGCTGCTGGTAGAGGAGCCACACTTTGAGAATCCTTGAGTTAGGGCAAGGGAAGAGGGAGCAGATGATCTTGCTTTCAATGTGATCTTCCTTTGGACTAACATCTGATCCTTTAAAACAGAGCTATAACAGAATTATGCCCTAAAAAATGTTGGCTACAGAATACATGGTAAAGGCAAAATAATACAAAATTATTCTATAAAGTTATTTTCTTGGTCAAATAGATGGAATAGCACCAACTGCTTTAAATAGAAGGTTTTTAATTTTTTTTGGCTTCTATTTTCAATAACATTTCCTCTTCCAGATGATCTAAATAAAGTACTATATTGTAGGAAATTTGAGAAATTCAGGAAAATGTAATGACTCATCTGAGTACCCAGAGATAACCACCTTTATCAGTTTGATCCATTTGAAAGGAAATTTTTTAAGGGAAAAATAATGAATGACCTATTAAGATAGAAACAAAACCTGATCTACAATGTGAAGAAAGTCGGTGGCCTGAGTCTGGTTTCAGGCCTGTGCTCTGAGGTTGCTGTCTTACAGGAAAAGAGAACTAACTTTTATTGGATGTCTGATGTGTAGTCCCCTTGCATACGTTTCCTCACTGAATCCTCACAACCACCCTAGAAGGCAGAAGTCATCTCTTTTAAAAGATGGGAGACCAAAGGTCAGAAAAGCCCCACAGCTAGGAAGTAGCAGTGGTTTTGCAGAGTTGAATCCATGTTCATCTGACTTGTGAGAGTCTGCATTCCTACAGCAGAGACTGCCACAGCCTCTGTAGGTGGATCACTGTGGGATTGGCTAAGACACCGTAGGAGGGGAAAAGTCGTGGAGGATGCAGCATTGGACTGTGGGGCCCCCTACCTTTCAGGGATCTTAGGGAGGAGGCCATGGAGAAATCACTGTCACTGGAGTAATAATATGCAGGATGAGATAAGAAAAACCCGCCCAAGATGCCTGCTTAGACTCCCTAGGTTCGTGGGGCACTAAAAGCAGGCAAGACTGGGGACAAAGCTAACACAAATGATAAGTGCACCACTTATTAGTAAACTAATAAATGGAGGTTCTGCGGGAGAGTTGTTTCTCCTGAGGGATTAGGTTCATTTTAAAAAACTAGTAAAATCAAGAAATGTAGATTACAAAGATCCCTGAACTTGGGCCGATGAGGTCACTTTCAAAGTGAGTCACTGGGGTAGACTGTCCTGAGAAGTTTGTTGACAAGAAGAATTGCATGGAAGGGCATGAGTTATTAAAGAAAGCTCTTTGGTTAGAGGAGTAAGGAGTTATTGTTGGTGTTTGTAGAATAAGGTAATCCTAAACATGTTTATAAGCAAAGAACCAAGGTTAATATCAAATGAGTAAAGTGAAGCATTAAGAAGTGAGGTCACTGATGAGTGATGAAGCTGGTAGGAGTGGCCTCAGCCCTACAAGGAAAGAACTGGCCTTAGAAAGGGAGCGGAAGGGAAAGGGAAGCAGCCTGGCCTCTGAAGACAGAAAGGAAGTCATTAAAATGTGGAGGATGATTAAGATGTAAGGGAGGAAGCTGAGGGAGCTCACATCTGCCTGACTCGATTTCAGCAAATCAAAATTCTAGATGCAGAAGGAAGCTTCAAGAAACATGTCAGTGATTCTTGAACTTCTTTGATCACATCCCACCTCCCCAACCTGCTCCCACTTTCTAGTGAGAGTTAAAAAAGGATTAGAGAGGAGAAAAATGAAAATAAGACCAAATTTTAGTAACCCTTGATAGTTCACCTAATAGTGGTAAACAGCCCTCTGTAGGACTTAAAGATAGACATTTTTGAAATGGAAACGTATTTTTTCCCTAAGAACTGGAGAAACGGCTTTCATCCCTAGAGCAGTTACTGGCCCTCCTTACTGGAGAACCTCCAGGCATGCCCAGCAGTAGGCCACAGCCACAGTGAGACTCTCTGATCTCTCCTGCCCCATCTCCTTCTGCCTCACAGCTGAGGGAAGTGAAGTCGAGGGAGATTTTTCCACAATTACTTGTTACAGCCTGTTAGCAGTGGGCCCTGGACTAAACCTAGGTTTCTTGGCTCCACGTTCAGGGCTGGTTCCTCTTCATCAATAGAGATGAAGTCATCAGCAGAAAGTTCACAGGCAGGGGAAGACCTAAGAGGTGGGGAATGTTTAACCTGCTGCTATAGAGGAGGGAATGCATGTTTGAGAGGTCAAGAAGGAAAGCCCTATTGGGAGGAGGGCTATTTGAGGTCAATTGCCTGGTTGGGACCCAGAAGCATCTGCTGGTAGTTTCCTAAAGCTAAAATGACAAGAGTTCAAAGGGGCATCAGATTCTAGGAAACACCTGAGGATGTCCCAGAAATGACTGGTCAGTCAAATCAGGGAGGACTGGTAGTTTTGGAGAAAGCAAATAGACTAAGTGACCATAGGTTAAAAGAAGGGCAAGGGCTGGGCATGGTGGCTCATGCCCGTAATCCCAGTACTTTGGGAGGCCGAGGCAGGCAGATCGCCTGAGGTCAGGAGTTCAAAACCAGCCTGGCCAACATGGTGAAACCCTATCTCTACTAAAAATACAAAAATTAACTGAGCATGGTGGTGGGCGCCTGTAATCCCAGCTACTCGGGAGGCTGAGACAGAAGAATCGCTTGAACCCCAGAGGCGAAGGTTGCAGTGAGCCGAGATCGTGCCATTGCACTCCAGCCTGGGTGACATAGCGAGACTCCATCTCAAACAAAACAAAACAACAACAACAAAAAAAACAAAACAAGGGCAAGAATGGGTTCTGTAAGAGTGGAGAGGGGATGGTAAGGAATGGTGACCAAAGGGTTGTTGAGAATCCTCAGCAGTCAATTCCAAGTTGACTCCTACATTATTGGAACAGGGAGCTTGTTGAAAATACAAATTTTCTTGCCTTGCATTAGACCAGCTGAAGGAGAGTCCCTGGGAGTGAGGCTCAGAAAGCTGTATTTTTAACAAGCTCATTAAGGGTGACTAAGGCAGATTTTACTCCACTGAGGTTAAAAGATAACTTATTGGGAGTCTTTTGCAGCTTTGTTGCCTTATCCAGGTTTCCTACTTTTATTGCCTATCTGATTCCCCATTAGGTGAGCAACAGATACCCCTGATAGCCTAGACATCCCGTGAGGCTGTTTTCAGGGATGCAGGGGAAGGCACGCAAGAGAAAAGCTCAAAGGCTGTGTCTTCCATCCTGTTTCATTAGTTTTAGTGCAAGAAGGAAGGGTGAGACCCTGGAAAAATGGTGTGGCAGCTAAGGGAGCAGGTGAATTAATCTCTGGACTGTGTGAAAAAAACTCAGGGAAATGTCAGAAACACTCATGGAGGATCTGGAAGGGTTGTTAGAGAGTTATTTGTGGAAGGAGTCCCATTAGTGAAAAAATCATTTGAGGAGCAAAGAGGAAGCACAACTCTGCCTTTCTCCCTGATTGAAGGAAGCAGGAGGAGTGGCTAAATGGGAATAGGACCATCTGGAAGAAGCTAGGATTCCATTAAAGGGGTACAGTGGGTAGGGTTGTTCTCCTTGGAATCAGATGTCCCGAGGCTATGGAAGGAGAGACTAGTCTGGAGTGGACTTTGAAAGGTCTGGAGCCGAGTTAGAGAGAGGTAAATTGAGGAGGTGCCTGCAGGGAAGGTTTTTTGCTTCATCACAGAAAATAAAGGAGTCTGGGGACTTGGCGGTGCGGCACACAAAGAGTGTAGGCTTGAGCGTCACACAGGTTCACACCCTGGCTCTGCCAGTCGCTAGCTGTAGGACCTTAGGCTGGGAAGGTAATCTCTCTGAGCCCAGCTTCCTCATTGGATTCCCACGTGAAGAGATTTTTCAGAGAACTAGTTAGCTTATGTAAAGTAAATTACATGTATAAGGCTGGGCATTCCAGTATGTGTGTTGGTGGTGGCCAGAAGAGGGAGCTAGGGAGAGGCATCTCTGCAGAGGGAGAGGGCAGTGCTGAGCCTGTGGACCTGTCTTCAGGGAGGCTCCAGGTGATCAGCTGGCATGAAGGTGTAGCTGCTGGGGGAGCTGCTGCAAGTTTGCCTCTGATTTCTTCCAGGCTAGGCTGTGACTCACACTGAGGGTTGGAGCTCCGGACATTTCTGGGGACTCTGTTACAACCACTTCCTGTTGTGCTGGAAGTTTCATACTGGAATCACTGAGCAGCCCACTGGATGACCCCTTTGCTGCTGGCCTTGGCAAACCCTACACCCTATGTGGCTGTGTTCAGGATGCCAGCTTTCTGCCCCCTTCTACTGTACGTGGCCCTGCTGTTTTAGGGGTGGCCACAGGGCCCAGGGAAGCAAGGAGGAACTGAGAATGCCAGGCTGGGGCCTAACCTCGTTCACACTGAGGCTGGCACTTCCTGCACTTAACGTACAGGCACACGTCCAACACGCGTGGATAGGCAGAGCCCTTAGGAAACATGAGGCACTCAGCCACAACTACCCCAAAATAGAAAAGCACAAACAAAAACAACGAAATGCTTTTGTTTTTAATTTGTACTCACTGCGGGTTGTATGCCTCAGACCAGCCCCACCTAAGGGGCTGGAGTGACATTTTTATGGATCCCTTGCACTACTTTTTTTATATGATTTTCTTTGCCATAAAAGGAAATAGTATTTCTCATCTCCCTTCCCTGCTTCCACCCCACCCCTGAGAAATTCCCCTACTTAGGGACAATCTCAATACTTAATAAGGCGGGAAGAGTAGAAAGGACTCACTGGAATCTACTTGAGCTTTTTGCACGCCCTTGCCTTCTTCCCACAAACTTTCTTCCACCCAGGGTTGGCATGCCAGCTAGAAATACTCTTCCATGCAATTGCCAAGTAATTCTGCCCATTATCTTCAGTATCATGCCCTTCCCTTTTTCCTTCACTCTGAGCAGATGCCCCCAGCCCCTGACTCACAGCATCCTCTAAGTCCTTCGCATCTGGACCTTCTGTTTCTGGCCTTTGGCTTCTAGTTTTATTGGCCTATGGCCCACTTATTCATTGTATGCTAGTATCCATGAATCTACCTATGCATTTTGGGTGACCTTAGGAATGGGCAAGATGATGAAATGATTTTGAGGCTAGGAAGTCAAGTTTTAAGAATATACTTTACTGGGGTACAAAAGTTGCAGTCTTGAAGATAATTTAATTCCAGCTCCTCGCCAGGGGGACAGTTAATTTACTACCCCCTTAACCCTTACTCCCATGCAAAATAGGTGAGAATGGACAAGAGAAGCTGGCCTCTTGCAAGGCCCCTAGGTGGAAAGAAGTGAAGTGGGAGGTGTGGGGCTTGCCCTGGCTGAGGGCCTGCATTTCTCCTTCTTTCCCTGCAGCCCTGGCCCGCCACCGCTACATGAAGCAGGCCCAGGCCCTAGGTCCTCAGATGATGGGAAAACCCCTGTACTGGGGGGCGGACAGGAGCTCCCAGGTTTCATCTTATCCAATGCACCCGCTGCTGCAGCGAGGTAAACTCTTCCAGAGATTTGGGATAGGGGAGGGCAGAGGGCAAGGGCGGGAACATGGGCTACATCAAGACCTCTGTGACCGATGCGGCAGGCATCTTCATGATGGAGATGGGAGGGATTCATGCTAACCAATGTCACATTTTGATGTCCTGATTCTGAGGTGTATGTTTTGGGCCATTTGTTCTATTGTCCTGTCCTTGTTTCCATTCAGATTTGTCCCTGCCGTCCAGCCTCCCGCAGATGCCAATGACCCAGACCACCAATCAGCCTCCCATCGCCAATGGTGTCCTGGAGTATTTGGAGAAAGAACTGCGGAACCTCAACCTGGCCCAGCCTCTGCCCCCTGACCTCAAAGGCAGATTTGGCCATCCCTGCAGCATGCTGTCCTCCCTGGGCTCTGAGGTCGTGGAACGCAGAATCATCCACCTGCCCCCACTGATCAGAGACCTGTCATCCTCAAGGAGGACCAGTGACTCCCTGCACCAGCAGTGGCTCACCCCAATTCCCTCCAGGCCCTGGGATCTGAGGGAGGGGAGAAGCCACCACCATTACCCTGATTTCCACCAGGAGCTCCAGGACCGGGGGCCAAAGTCTTGGGCATTGGAAAGAAGGGAGTTGGACCCATCGTGGAGTGGAAGGCACCGTAGCTCTAGGCTGAATGGGTCACCCATACACTGGTCAGACAGGGACAGCCTAAGCGATGTCCCCTCATCCAGTGAGGCACGCTGGCGGCCGAGCCACCCTCCTTTCAGGAGCCGCTGTCAGGAGAGGCCCCGCAGGCCCAGCCCCCGGGAGAGCACTCAGAGGCACGGGAGACGACGCAGGCACCGCAGCTACTCTCCTCCCTTGCCCTCCGGCCTCAGTTCCTGGAGCTCTGAAGAGGACAAGGAGAGGCAGCCCCAGAGCTGGCGGGCCCACCGCCGCGGCTCGCACTCCCCACACTGGCCCGAGGAGAAGCCGCCTAGCTACCGCTCACTTGATATCACTCCAGGCAAGAATAGCAGGAAAAAAGGGAGTGTGGAGAGGCGCTCGGTGAGCCTGGGGCATCCTGCTGAGGGTTGGGCATGGGCAGAGAGGAGCCTCCAGCCAGGCATGACCACAGCCAACACAGGCTGCCTCTCATTCCACCACAGAGGGTGCCTCCTCCCTGTTTTGCCCAAATTACACTGTGGGCTAGGTGGACTACCTCTTGTCAGAGCTAAAGAAATCAAGCGAGTGCAGAGGGCAGGGGAGAGTTCGCTGCCTGTGAAGGGCCTTCTCACCGTCGCTTCGGCTGTCATCGCAGTCCTGTGGGGTAGGCCAAGCGAGGTCACAGGAGAAAATGAGGCTCAGCATGATTAAGCACCTTGCAAGCCATGAGCTAGGACTTGAATGCAGGCTGTTGTGGCTAGAGCCTCACCTTCCTTCACAGCTGCTTTGCTTTCTTTACTTAGCAACCCATTTCCATACCCCAAATTAGAACACTGGGCCTGACAGAAGACACTTGTTAAGTCAGCATTGCAAGGCCCTGGTATATATGAGGTTGGGACCCTCTGAGACATCCCCTGGAAAGGACCATTAAACTGATTTTTAAAACCCTGATATTCCATATATGGGCCAAAACATTAAGATTCTGTGAATAGGCAAGATGCCAATGGGTGCCAGACATAGTTAAAAGGGGAACACAGAAGGAAGTAGGCCTTTAGGGCCCCTAGAAACAGATCTTTTGTATTTTTTTAAAGAAGTGACTTTAAAAATTATTTGGGGCTGGGTGTGGTGGTTCATGCCTGTAATCCCAGCACTTTGGGAGGCCGAGGCGGGTGGATCACCTGAGGTCAGGAGTTCAAGACCAGCCTGGCCAACATGGTGAAACTGTGTCTCTACTAAAAATACAAAAAATTAGCTGGGTGTGGTGGCGGGTGCCTGTAATCCAAGTTACTCAGGAGGCTGAGGCAAGAGAATCACTTGAATCTGGGAAGAGGAGGTTGCAGTGAGCTGAGATCGTGCCATTGCACTCCAGCCTGGGTGACAAGAGCAAAACTCTGTCTCAAAAAAAAAATTTATAATTAATACATCCAAATGACAGCAGTCCTTTAATGTTGCCACTTTGCAAAGATATGTTGCCATTGCTCAAAAACATTAATAAACTGCCTCAGAGCCAACTTACAGGCTACCCATGAAGATCTTTTCTCTATTTGACCAAAATCCTTTTCTCTTTTGCTTCTGTTGAGATAGTCAAAGGTATATGCAGTAACTCTGAAATAAGTTCCCGGAGCAGAGAGATATTATAAAAGAAGAAGTGTAGTCTGTCACAGGCTTTGAAGGATACAACTCTCATTTGGAAGTACATGTTCTGCTGTGAGTTTTTTAAAAACTCAATCACATACATGGTGTGTGCAAAGGAGCAGGCCTCTTAGGAGAGCCACACTGCTGCTCTTTCTAGAGCAGAGCCTTGGTGAGAGAGTGATTTGTGAGGAAGGTAGCAAAGACCAGCAGACATTTCTGTAATAATTAATGGCAATTATGTCATCTTCTCACAGATGTCCCTTGAGTGACAAGGATCAACAAAATAGTGAAAATAGCTACCCCTTGCTAAGCGGTACTGAGTTATAGACATCTTATATAACATCTTACTTAATCCTCACAACAACCCTGTGTGTTTTGTACTATTATCCTCATTTACAGATGATACAACTATTTCTTCCGTGTTACCAGTAAGAAAATTACGTCCTGAAAGAAAACACAATCACACTTCCTTTACTCATGTAGTGACTAAACCAGGTCTCTTCATTATAACAACAACAACAAAAAAAGTTAAGATCCAGTTTTGGGCCCCAAATCTACATGCTATCTTCTTCTAAGTTAAATTATTTTCTTTTCATTTTCTGTAAGTTAAATTATGTGACTTCTTGTAAGTGAGAAAAGGGTGAGGAACACCAGTTACATTCCAGACACTGGATAAGCCCTTTAAGCCCTTTCCAGGCTTTCTTTTTTTTTTCTTTTTGAGACAGAGTCTCGTTCTGTCACCAGGCTGGAGGGCAGTGGTGCAATCTCGGCTCTCTGCAACCTCTGCCTCCCCAGTTCAAGCGATTCTCCAGCCTCAGCCTCGTGATTAGCTGGGACTACAGGCATATGCCAGCACACCCAGCTAACTTTTGTGTTTTTAGTACAGATGGGGTTTCACCATGTTGGCCGGGATGGTCTCGATCTCTTGACCTCGTGATCTGCCCGCCTCGACCTCCCAAAGTGCTGGGATTACAGGCATGAGCCACTGTGCCTGGCCTCCAAGCTTTATTTCATTTAATCCTCACAACTATGGGAGCCTCTGAGAGGTTGAGTAGCATGCTCAAAGCCACACAGCCAATAGGGAGTGAAGCTTAGGTTTGAATTGCGCTTTGATTCTCAAGCCTGTGCCCTTTCAATAATTCATGCTGCCTCCTTAGAGAGAAGTATAGTCAAGTGCAGTGGCATGTACCCGTAGTCCCAGCTACTCAGGAGTATAGGAGGATCACTTGAGCCCAGGTTCTAGGCTCAGTGAGCCATGATTGCACCACTGCACTCCAGCCTGAGCACAGAATGCGACCTTGACTCAGAAAAAAAAGGAAGAGAGAAAGAGATTATCATTTGGAGTCAATGATATCTTCTGGTGACTTTATTTCTTCCTAATTTTCTGAAAATATCACAGCTTCCTTTACCACCTACCACAACCAAACCAAATTTTCAATTGTAAAGTTACTCCCAAGAAGCAAAGATTTTGTACAAGAAATTGTAAAAGCCTCCATTGTTTGGAATCTCTTTGAGCTTATCTCCCAAGGAGTTATCACTTTACTTATCACATTCAACTTTCCATTCATATTCTGACAGTGAGCAGAGGCCCAGGATCAAAGCTTGATTTGGCAGATTGCTCAGTTTGAAGGCACTGTGTTTAGTTTGTTTTGTTTGTAACTGGAATTTTGAATGCATTTACTGAGGCAAAGTCTGCAGGGCCAAAGTCTTGCTGTTCCCTCCTCTCCTTGGGGCTGGCTGCTGCTTCTTACACAGGCTGCCTTCCTAGCCTCTGGAGTCATTGGAGCTTGTAGTGAAACATCCTAATACAATTGGGCCTCTAGATGGTGACCTTCCATCATGCAGCACTGGAAGTTCCTGTTTACTGCTTGAGTTGATAAGATGTATCACTATTTTCCTAAAGCAGGCTTTCAGCAGCTACAGCTTTACCATAACTTTTTATAAAATGCTTATTTAAAATACTTCATTTGGCATTTAGAGAAACATAAATGGAACAACTTTTTTTGTTGTTGTTCATGTGGAACCTTCTCTCTCAAGAGTAATATTTGACAAATAGATATTGACAAACAAGGGCTTCCATGCAGATGATTTCATGGTAACCTGAAATAGATAGGAACGATATGTTACACAGTGCCCATGAGAAAATGGAGGTTATATTGAGGGATCTTCCACCCAACTTCAGAACCAGGATTCCAGCCAAGATCTTCTCAATTCAGGTCTGGTGGCGTTTTCACTCCACTGAAGCTATAACCTCAGAAATATAAGGGGCAAAAACTTCAAGCTTTTACCTTCAGTGAGTACAGACTTGAGTGGCCCAGGCTCCTGGACTCCTTCCAATGAATTATCTTTCCTTCTAATCTTGTCCTAAGACATTCTCAAGGTATTTCTGGCTTCTTCCAAACTTGGCCGGTATACACCTGTTCTAATACAAGAGAAAACCACTGTGTTCTTTCTTCTCCAAGCTAAATTCAAACTTTCTAAAGAGAATCCCAGCTTTTTTCTTGACTTTTTGATTTAATGTTTAAAAAGTTTTATGTCGGCATTCTTAATCTCCTACTTTCAACAAAATGTCTACTCCTTGATCATGTCTAGGTTTTCTTTTAGCAAACTTGGACAAGTTCCTTTTACCACATTTCATTGTTTTCCGTTATGTCAGAGAACATTTATCCTGCAGTATTTTGATTAGAAATCATGACCCCTAAAACTCACTTTCCTGATAAATTGGAAACTTTTTTTTATAGCAACATGAATGTACATACATATGTGATCCCTTTTGAGCAGTATATTTTAGGACAGATACTTCGTTTTCTTATTTCAAATAAGATGAGGAAGGTTACATTCATGGACCACAAGTATAAGTATTCAAAACTTAAATAAAATGATCCCCTACCGTAGCTAGAAAAATATGAGAAATGTAAACCACAGTTCTTCACCCTCACCGAGGAAGTGGAAAAAGCCCAAAGACCAAGTAGAGTGGAATAACTTCTGAAAAAAAGCCACTGAGTTTGGTCAGGAAGAAGTAATTAGTGATCTCTGAAATACAACTTCAGAGAAATACTAAGGTTTGAAGCCAAACTTTTTAGAAAAGGGCTGGGAAGGAATGATTCAGGAGATTATAAAAAGGAAAAAGAGAACTGAGCAATGTCTTCATGAATGAATGGGAGAGAGATGGACTGAAGAATGGAACAGGGTACCCCTTTTTCAGTCTAAGGGAGACTTGAAGGTATTAGAAAACAGAGCAAGAGGCAGAGTGAATTAGACTGGAAGAAATTTTCAGAAATTAAAGGTATTTGAGGGAGTCTCTAGAGAGGTAAGCAAGAAAAACCTAAGCCTGGGGAGAGAGATTGGTTTCATGAAGAGTAAAGAAATACTTTTTAGGTTCAGATCTGCTGTCCTGGCAGCCACCACCCACTTAGGATTTGTAAATCAAGAGCACATTATGTGTTACATGCATAGACGGATTGCACTGACTGGATTTTTTTTGTGTGTGTATTCTTCTATTTCCCAGGAGAAAGACAGCTCTCATAGTGGAAGGAGTGTGGTCATTTAGTCACCAAGCACAGCACAACTTCTGTGGCTACTTCTCGGCTCCTGTGTGTCATCAGCATCACCTAGGTTTCCAGCTGACTTGGGAACTGCAAGTCTGAGTCTAACAGTTTTTGGCTTAGATTCTGAGAATCAAATAGAAGAATTTTAAATACAAGAGTTTGAGATTGGGTATAGTGGCTCACACCTGTAATCACAGCACTTTGGGAGGCTAAGAATCACTTGAGACTAGGAGTTCAAGATCAGCCTGGGAAACATAGTGAGACCCCGTCTCTACAAAAAATATAAAAATTAGTTAGGTGTGGTGGCATGCACTTGTAGTCCCAGCTACTCAAGAGGCTGAGGCAGAAGGATCCCTTGAGCCCAGGAGTGCAAGGCTGCAATGAGCCAGGATCCCATGATCACACATCTGTATTCCAGCCTGGGCAATAGAGCAAGTCCCCATTACTAAAAAACCCAAAAGGCCAAAAAACAAAAAAGTTAGAGTTCGAGGAATTACCAACTGTAGTTTTAGCCTTGGTTCATGCTCTCTTGCATATTTATATAATCTCTGACTTGTAATGGACCCTGACTGGAATGTGATCCCTCAGGAACTTAGTAGCCTGAGTCTTTCAGTAGACTACACTGCCCAGAACCCTGGCCATTCTCAAAATGAGAACTTGGGAATGTTTAAGAAGAAATCAAACATGTTTCAGGAAAAGGAAATCTATGGAGTATTATAGGGACATTCCCATGGGAATGTATCTTCCTCCATGGCATGTCTTGAGGGTCCTTTCTTGTTAGGAGTTTATCCTGCCAGCCCATAAATGGACTATTTATTGTAAGTGTAGAAAATCACAGAGAAGCAGTTTTGCACCAGCCTTATTCCTGTGCCTTGTTTTCCTCTTGCTCTTTTTTTACCTGTATATCTAATTTATATTTTCATATATATTGTGTATTGATTGAAGTCACTTTAAATCCTTCTTGGGAATGACACAGTATATAAATAAGGAAGAAAGAAAACATGCCAAGCTGAGCATGCTGCTCCAAATAAATATCTGCTTTCCTACTTTGGTGCATTTGATTGGATTAAGCCACCTTCACCACTAAAGTTCAGAGAAGACCCCGACCAACCTAGGGAGTTCTGGAGCTACCATTCTCCTGGCACTACTCAGCCTTTCAGAGTTGAGATTTCCCAAGCAGAAGCATCCAGGCAGGTCTTGCCACTCAGAGGGCCCCAGGAAGAAAGGACTGTATTTTCACTATAATAGGCTCTACCACCCCCTCCCATTTTTCGAAGCCCCTTTGGAGGCTTCATGAATCCATCTGTGCTTGACGGAGAGATCCACACTGAGCAGATTGGAAGGAGGTGGCCTGAGTGAAGGAGAGTATGTGTGTATGTTCTTTAACAGTATATCCTTACGTGCTCACTTTAGATCCCATTTATTGACACATCCATTTTCCCCCAGTCTCATTAATTTAATTACATGTGGAGAAAATAGGTTAAATTTCTGCATTAGGTAGACTTCTCTGGGATTTTTTGATTATTCATATTTAATTGGATCTAAATTAGCGAAAATATATATATATTTACAGATAATGTAGACGTAACATTCAGTAGGTGAGAGACTTCTGGTCTGGACAAGATGGCATTGTCCCATTTCCCCTGCTATGCCCTGCTAAGCACAACTTAATAAATTTTGGAAATGGTACAAGAGAAAACCAAAGGATTCTAAAGGGTGTTAAGAAGAAAGCAGGTTGGTTTGAAAACCCAGGACCAGAAGAACAGCACAGAGGCAGGGCATTTTATATCCCCCTATCAGAAGGTATTTCCTGACTTTCCATCTAGCAGCAGAAGGTAGCCCAGTAGCTCATTCTTCCCCCTGAACCTAATGGAGTCCCTCTGGCAACCTCAGGCAAGGGGACTGATTGAGAGTCCTACAAAAAAATAAGTGGACTGATTGAGAGGCCTACAAAAAAAATAAGTGACCAGGGGAAGCACCCTTATTCCCTGCTGGGTCAGAAACTCCTCTTTTCCAAGAAAAGATACTGAGGTGGACAGGAGGAGCTAGTAAGAGAAACCTAGGAAAAATAGGTGGTCCAGTTGGGGAAGCCTTTTTGCACAGGCCTAAGACTGTCCTCTCCTGCCCAGAGATACTAGGATTGGCTGGTAGAACCAGGAAAAGGGACCTGTCACAGACGACATCTCTGAAGCCAGCAACCTGGTCACAGAAGCCACGATGTGGAAGCAAGACTCTCCTCCCAGGCCCAGAGAAATCTGGGCAGCTAGAGGCATCTGCAGGATTTATCATAGCCCACCCTCACCAAGAGACACTTGGCAACCCAGCCAGGGAAATTCCTCCTGCCCTTTCAGGCAGCAGTAACAGAGACCAGTGGGAGCCCTACATAAACCAAGCAACTAAAATAACACTGCAAGGGCTCTGAAAATTAAGCTGCCATTAGAATTACAGCCCACAAAAGTAGGCTAAAACTGTATGCTAAACCTAAACAGAGTGATTCCTTGCAAAACAAAATATTTAAATAGAAATCAGTCTCCTAACATAATAGGCAAAATGTTCAGAGTGCAAATCAAGAAACAATAAAATCACAACTTGAGTGAAAAAGGAAATCAATGGATTCCAGCATTGAGATGAACCAGATATTGGAAATTATCTGATAAGAATTTTAAAGCAGACATCATAAAAATGCTACAACAATCAATTACAAATTCTCTTGAAACATGAAAAAACAGAAAAACCTCAGAAAAATAGAAATAGAAGTTTTATCAAAAGGAAACATGAAAATTATAGAACTGAAAAATACAAAAACTGAAAACTCACTGGATAGGCTTAATGGTACAGTAGAGATGATGGGGGATAAAAATCTGTGAACTTGAGGACAGAACAATAGAATTTACCCAATCTGAACAATAGAGAGAAAATAAACCGGAAAAAATAAACAGACCTCAGGGACCTATGGAACAATAACAAAATATCCAGCATTCATATTATCGGAGTAACAGAAAGTAAAGGAGAAAAAGGGTAGACATGAATATTTGAAAAAATAAGGCTGAAAACATTCCAAATTAGATAGAAGACACTAACTTAGAGATTCAAGAAGCCGGATGAATCCCACAGAAGAAAAAAAAAATCCATGCCCAGGCACATTATAATTTTTTGAAAACTAAAAACAAAGTCCTGGAAGCAGCAAGTGAGAAACAGTGCATTACTTGTAGGGGAACACCAATTTGAATGGATTTCTTATCTGAAACCATAAATAAGGAAGTGGCCAAATATTTTTTAAGGGATGAAAGAAAAGAATCATCTCCTATAATTCTAGATCTAGCAAAATTATCTTTTGAAAACAAACAAAACATTCTTAGAAATGAAGGGATTATAAAAACATTAACAGATGAATGAAAACTAAAAGATTTTGTGACTAGCCAATCTACCCATAAAAGACTAGCTAAAGGAAGTTCTTCAAATTATAAAAGAAGGAAACTTAGAACATCAGGAAGGAAGAAGAAACAATAGAGCAGAAATACTGGTTCATACAATAGACAATTTTTTCCTTATGGGTTTTAGAGAATATATTTTATGTTTGAAACAAAAATTGTAACACCATCTGATACTTAAAACAATGATATTTAAAGGTGGGGAAGCCAAAGAGACCTGAATGGAAGTGAGGTTTCCACACTTCATTTGAAGTGGTGAATATTGATACCAGTACATTGTTATAAGTAGCATGTGTAACACCCAGAGCAACCACTATGAAAACTATACAAAGTGACAAACTCAGAAGTATTACAAATAAATCAAGATGGAATCTAAAACATGTTTAAATAAGCTGCAGAAAGGCAAGAAAGATAAATAAGAACCAGAGGAGACAAATAGAAAATAAATAACAAAATAACAGACTAAAGTGCTAAAATATCAGTAAACACTGGACCTTAAATGTAAATGGTCTAAATATACCAATCAAAAGACAAACATTGGTAGACTGAGTTAAAAACCATCCATAATCCTATGTGCTGCATATAAGAAACTCATTTCAAGTTCAAACACAGGTGAGTTGAAAGTAAAAAAGGGTGGAAAAAGATATATCACATACACATTAATACTTTTTTAAAAAAACAGGAGTGGCAATAGTAGTGTTTGATAAAGTAGACTGCAAAGCAAAGAAAATTGCCAGAGACAAAGGGGATATTATATAATGATAAGAGGATCAATTAGGAAGACGCATTATACTAAATGTGTACAAACTAAACCACAGAGCCTTAAATACCTGAAGCAGCAATTGATAAAGCTGAAATGAGAAATAGCAGAATCTGTAATTATGGTTGGGAACTTCAACATCATTCTCCCCTTTCCCCAGTAACTAATAGAACTATGAAGTAGAAAAATCACCAGGATATGGAAAATCTGAGCAACACAATCAATCAACAGGGTCTAATTAACATTCATAAGACATACCACCTAACAATACATTTTTCTCAATTGCCCATGCACTAGTCATCAAATAGAAAAAGACATAAAATATATAGTAAAACAAACTTGACAAATTTAAAAGAATTGAAATCATGTGCTCTGGCCATAATGGAATTAAACTGAAAATCTCTAACAAAGACAACAGGAAACTCTTGAAACACTTGAAAATTAAATAACACACTTCTAAATAATCTATGGGTCAAACAGGGAGTCTCAAAGGAAATTAAAAGGATAAATGAAAACATATCAAAGTATGTGGGATGCAGCTAAAGCAGTACTAAGAAGAAAATTCATAGCACTATATACTTACATTAAAAATGAAGAAAGGGGCACTTGGTCTCTCATGTTGCCCACTTGGCCCTCTTCCAAATGTACTTCCTTTCATTCCTTCTCTAAAGCTTTTTAATAAACTTTCACTCCCCCCCCAAAAAAAATTAAGGTGTCATATCAATAATTTAAGTTCCTACTTTTCCTCAAAAAGAGGAGCAAAATAAATCCAAAGCAAGCAGAAGGAATAAAGTAGTAAAGAGCAATGAAATTGAAAACAGGAGAATCTTACCAAAAAATGCAATGAAAGGAAAAGATGGTTCTTCAAAAAATTGTAATAAAATCAATAAACCTCTAGCAACATTGACAAAAATAGAAAATGAGTCACCAATATGAGGACTTGAACAAGAACTCTCATTTCAAATACTGCAACCATTAAAAAAAATAGTATTACATATGGCTTTATGCTCAGAAATTTGACAATTTAGAATAAATGGACCAATTCCATGAGAACCACAAACTACAAAAACTCAGATGAAATAGACAATCTAAATAGCCCTATTATTATTAAGGAGATTGAATTTTTGATAAAAAGTCTCTCCAAAGGCCGAGTGCAGTGGCTCACGCCTGTAATCCCAGCGCTTTGGGAGGCCGAGGTGGGTGGATCACAAGGTCAGGAGATAGAAACTATCCTGGCCAACATGGTGAAACCTCATCTCTACTAAAAGCACAAATTAGCTGGGTGTGGTGGCACACACCTGTAATCCCAGCTACTCAGGAGGCTGAGGCAGGAGAATCACTTGAACCCAGGAGGTAGAGGTTGCAGTGAGCTGAGATCATGCCACTGCACTCCAGCCTGGTGACAGAATGAGACTATGTCTCAAAAAAAAAAAAAACTCTCCAAAATAAAATCTCCAGGCCCAGACCCAGATGGTCTCACTGACTAATTCTACTAAACCTTTAAAGGGGAATTAACACCAACTTTATATAATCTCCTCCAGAAAATAGAAGAGGAAATATTTCCTAATTTATTTAGAAGGCCAGTACAAAGCCAAAGACATTACAAAACAACAACAACGACAAAAAAAAACAAACATCTCTCCTAAAATTAGAAGCAAAAATCCTTTATAGAGCATTAACAAATCTTGTAATACACCATGAAAAAGTAGGATTTATTCCAAATAAGCAATCTTAGTTCCCAGAATAGACCTAACAATCTTGAAAAATCTTGAAAAATAAAATTGGAGGATTTACATACTTCTCAACTTTATAATGTACTATAAAATAATCAAGATAGTGCAGTATTGACATATTGATCAATGTGACATAAATTAAGAGTCCAGAAATAAACTCCTATACCTGTGGATAAATTGATTTTTGACAAAGCTGCTAAGGCAATTCAATGAGGGAAGGATAGTATTTTCTATAAATGGTGATGGACCACTTGTTTAGTCATATGCAAAAAGATGGATTTAGACTCTTACACCTTATACAAAAATTAACTTCAAATGGACAATAGACCTAAATGTAAGAGCTAAACCCCAAAAAGTATAGAAAAATCTTTTTTGTCCTTAGGTAAGGCAGAGTCCTTAGATATGACACCAATAGCATAATCCTTAAAAGAAAAAATGTATAAATTGAATTTCATCAAAATGTAAAACTTTTTTATTTCAAAAGAACACCATTAAGAAAACAAAATACAAACTACAACCTTAGAGAACATATTTGCAAATCATATTTCTGATAAAGTACTTCTAACCAGAATATATCAGGAGGGCTTACAACTCAATAATAAGACAAACCCAACTTGTTTTAAATGGGCAACGTTTAAATAGAGACTTCATCAAAGAAGATATAAAAATTTCCAACAAGCACATGAAAAGATGATATACATCTTAGGGAAATGCAAATTAAAACCACAGTGAGATACCACTTCATAGCCACCAGAATGGTGAGTTAGTCGGCTAGGGTTGCCATAACAAAATATCACAGACTGGGTGGCTTAACAGAAATTTACTTCTCACAGTTCTGGAGACTGGAAGTCCAAGATTAAGGTGCCTGCAGATTTGGTTTCTCCTGAGGCCTCTTTTCCTTGGCTTGCAGATGGTAGCCTTCTCACTTTCTCTCTCATATGTCCTGATCTTTTCTTTCTAGGACACCAGTCAGATTGGAGTAGGACATACCCTAAATATCCTCATTTTAACTTAATGCCCTCCTTAAAAGACTTATTTCCAAATATAGTTACATTCTGAGGTACTGAGGGGTTAGTGCTTCAACATATGAATTTGGGGGACAGGGACACAATTCACTCCATGATGTGGTAGGCATATCCATGGACTTCCGTAATAAAAGGGAATAAATTACTGACTTGCTGCAACACGGATGAGTTCAAAAACATTATACTAAAGAAAAGAAGCCAGATACAAAAACCACATATGAGGTGATTCTATTTGTACGAAATGTCCAGAAAAGGCAAATCTACAGAGACAGAAAGTAAATTAGTGGTTGCCCAGCACTGGAGTGGGAATAGAGATGGTAAGTGAACATGAGGGTTATTTTCAGAGTGATAGAAATGTTCTAAAATTGGTTGTTATTATGATCAAACAACCTTGTAAATTTACTAAAAATTGTTAACTTGTACAATCATAAGAAGTGAATTTTCTGATTTGTATATTACACCTCAATGAAAATTTTAAGCATAGTAAATGAACATCATTCCAAGTATTTTTTTCTCTGCTTATACAGAATGAGAGCAATAGATAACCTTTTAAAATGTGTTCATATGAATGCTACTAATTTTAGTCAAAAAAAAACCAAAAAACTTTTGCTGGCTGTAGTGGCTCACACCTGTAATCCCAGCACTTTGGGGGCCAGAGGTCGGGGGATTACTTGAGCTCAGGAATTACAGACTAGCCTCAGCAACATAGCAAGACCTCGTATCTACTAACAATAAAAATTTTTAAAAATTAGCCAATCACGGTGGCATGTGCTTGTACTCCCAGCTACTTGGGAGGCTGAGGTGGGAGGATCGCTTGAGCCTAGGAGGTCAAGGCTGCAGTGAGCTATGACCGTGTCACTGCACTCCAGCCTGGGCAACAGATTGAGACCTTGTCTAAGAAAAATAAAAAATAAAACCTGTTTTGCTGGATTTTAACAGAAGAAAAGTAAATTGAAGGGAAACTAGAGGAATTGTTAAACTTTAAATCTTTCATTTCAAGAGATTTTATTTCTTAAGGAACCCTCCTAGATTATGAAAGAAGACAAAGGAAAACATGATGAAGTTAGAATCATTGTACTTTAAACCCTCAGGTTTCAAATGGACTTCCTGGTATTGAAAATGAAAATACTGGCACTCTCACACTTCCTCTAATATTACACCTCTGCATCTCTCAACTTAGTTTTGTTGTTACAGTAAACAAAACTAGTTATGTTTATTTTAGAAAACCCAAAAAAGATAATTTTTATTCAAAGTTATTTTCCAACTTCCACAGAAGGGGAACAAAGAATTCTGATGGTCATCTTAAAAATCAAAGCTATTCTGATCTTTTAGGATTCTGCAGAAAAAAAAGCTGCACTTTTTTGTGGGAGTTTTTATAGAGGACAGTGTTCATAGAGTTCACTTGAAGTTCAGATACATACATACATGAACTAGCCAAGCCTTCAGATTTATTTTAATCATCTCAAACATATTTCACAATTTTTGACAAATATAAAGGCTTACATTTCAGATGAGTCAGACAGTTTAACAGCACCAGAGCCTTAATTTCTTTAGCTTGAATGAAAGGAAAGTAGGCAGAGAAATATAGTAGTAGGTAAAGATAGAGCATTGTCAAGTTTTATATTACTGGAAACCTCATCTGAACCTGAGGTTAGTAAATATAATCTGTATAAGTCTGTTTTCATGCTGCTGATAAAGATATACCTGAGACTGGGCAATTTACAAAAGAAAGAGGTTTAATTGGACTTACAGTTCCACATGGCTGGGGAAGCCTCACAATCATGGCAGAAAGCAAGGAGGAGCAGGTCACATCTTATGTGGATGGCAGCAGGCAAAGAGAGCAGTGCAGGGGAACACCCATTTTAAAACCATCACATTTCGTGCAACTCATTCACTATCATGAGAACAGCACAGGAAAGACCTGCCCCCATGATTCAATCACCTCCCACCTGGTCCTTCTCAAAACATGTGGGAATTCAAGACAGAGATTTGGGCGGGGCCACAGCCAAACTGTATCATTCTGCCCCTGGCCCTTCTGAAATCTCATGTCCTCACATTTCAAAATCAGTCATGCCTTCCCATCAGTCCCCCAAAATCTCAGCTCATTTCAGCATTAACCCAGAAGTCCAAGTTTAAAGTCCCATCTAGACAAGGCAGGTCCCTTCACCTATGAGCCTGTAAAATCAAAAGCAAGTTAGTTACTTCCTAGATACAATGGAGATACAGGCATTAGGTAAATACAGCCATTCCAAATGGGAGAAATTGGCTAAAACAAAGGAGTACAGGCCCCATGCAAGTCTGAAATCCAGCCGAGCAGTCAAATCTTAAAGTTCTAAAATGATCTCCTTTAACTCCACGTCTTGCATCCAGGTCACACTGATGCAAGAGATGGGTTCCCATGGTCTTGGGCAGCTCCACCCCTGTGGCTTTGCAGGATACAGCCCCCCTCCTAGCTGATTTCATGGGCTGGCATTGAGTGCCTGTGGCTTTTCCAGGTGCATGGTGCAAGCTGTCAGTGGATCTACCATTCTGGGGTCTAGAGGACAGTGGCCCTCTTCTCACAGCTCCACTAGGCAGTGCCTCAGTAGGGACTCTTTGTGGGGGCTCCAACCCCACATTTCCCTTTTGCACTGCCCTAGCAGAGGTTCTGCATGAGGGCCTTGCCCCTGCAGCAAACTTTTGCCTGGGCATCCAGACATTTCCATACATCTTCTGAAACCTAGGCAGAGGTTCCCAAACCTCAATTCTTGACTTCTGTGCACCCACATGCCCAATACCACATGGAAGCTGTCAAGGCTTGGGCTTGCACCCTCTGAAGCCATGGCCTGAGCTCTAAGTTGGCCCCTTTCAACCACAGCTGGAGCAGCTGGGACACAGGCCACCAAGTCCTTAGACTGCACACAGCATGGGGACCCTGGGCCCCGGCCCACAAAACCACTTTTTCCTCCTGGGCCTCCATGTCTGTGATGGGAGGGGCTGCCATGAAGGTCTCTGACATGGCCAGGAGAGATTTTCCCCATAGTCTTGGGGATTAACATTAGGCTCCTTGCTACTTATGCAAATTTCTGCAACCGGCTTGAATTTCTCCCCAGAAATTGGTTTTTTAAAAATTTTCTATTGCATAGTCAGGCTGCGAATTTTCCAAACTTTTATGCTCTGCTTCCCTTATAAAACTGAATGCCTTTAACAGCACCCAAGTCACCTCTTGAATTCTTTGCTGCTTAGAAATTTCTTCTTCCAGATACCCTAAATCATCTCTCTCAAGTTGAAAGTTCCACAAATCTTTAGGGCAGTGGCAAAATGCCGCCAGTCTCTGTGCTAAAACATAACAAGAGTCACCTTTGCTCCAGTTCCCAACAAATTCCTTATCTCTATCTAGACCACCTCAGCCTGGACCTTATTGTTCATATCATTATAGGTATTTTTCTTAAAGCCATTCAACAAGTCTCTAGGAAGCTCCAAATTTTCCCACATTTTCCTGTCTTCTTCTGAGCTCTCCAAACTGTTCCAACCTCTGCCTGTTACCCAGTTCAAAAGTTACTTCCACACTTTTGGATATCTTTTCAGCAACTCTACTGGTACCAATTTACTGTATTAGTCCGTTTTCATGCTGCCGATAAATACATACCCAAGACTGGGCAATTTACAAAAGAAAGAGGTTTAATTGGACTTACGGTTCCACATGGCTGGGGCAGCCTCACAATCATGGCAGAAAGCAAGGAGGAGCAGGTCACATCTTATGTAAATGGCAGCAGGCAAAGAGAGAGCTGTGCAGGGGAACGCCCCTTTTTAAAACCATCAGATCTCATGAGACTCATTCACTATCATGAGAACAGCACAGGAAAGACCTGCCCCCATGATTCGATCACCTCCAATTGGGTCCCTGCCACAACAGGTGGGAATTCAAGATGGGAGATCTGGGCAGGGACAAAGCCAAACCATATCACAACCTTTCTTTAGACAGCCAGGTCATAAATATACTGTAACCCCTAGATCCTATTATCAGAAAAAAAAAAGTGTGACTATCATCTTATGGCTTTTGCAAAAGGTTCTCTAGAAGGCAATGTTCCTAGAGTCTGTTCATGTTTATAAAAGCTGTTGGTGGACCTAAAACTTCAACTACATCTCAGTATAAGTTTCTATTTAGAATATTATCATTTGGTATTACATGTTGCTGTGGAAAAAACTGAGGACAGTCTATTTTTTTCTTCTTCTCTTCTGTAGATCAATGGTTCTTAAAAGTATGACATGTTGCTGTGGAAAAAAACTGAGGACAGTCTTATGTTTTTTTTTCTTCTTCTTCTTCTGTAGATCAATGGTTCTTAAAAATATGACCCCTGGATTAGCAACATCAATATCACCTAAGAATTTGTTAAAATGCAAATTCTCAGGCCCATTTTATGGCTACAGAATTAGAAATTCTGAGTATAAAGTTGAGTAGCCTGTTTTAACAATACATCCAGGTACTTCTCATGCACACTAAAGTGTGATAACTAATTAAATATTTACCTTTTCTGCCTGAGTGCTTGAAGAAGTTTTGCCTTGAAATTCAATAACCTAATCCAGGATATAATTGAGAGCTCTTTATCAAAATTTTCTATATTCATCTTTGAATATGTACTCTAGCTGGTAAAGGATGCAGAGTGAACAAATAAATCACTTGGCTTTTATGACTGGATGACCGTACATTTTCCCAACATGTTTATTACTAGTGCCTCCTTTCACTCTCAAAATTGTTCTAGTTGGAGTGATCAATTATATTATATGGTCACCCTACTTATGACCAGTGATTCCAGTGGTTTTCAAAATATGTATGGCTAATCAAGATGCTGGGGGATTCTGTGGAAACCCTGATAAGAGAATTAGAGGAGAGGCCCATAGCATTTTGGAGCAAAATCGTGCCTGATTTGAAAATTAATTGCCCTCATTTTGAGAGATAGCATTTGGCTTGCTATTGGGTCATAGTAGAGACCAAACACCTACTTGACTGTAGGACAGGAGGACAGTCAAGTCAGTTCCCCACATGAATTTGGTGTCTTATCTATCACCATAGAGTCCGGCATGGCAGCAACACTCCTCCAGCATGTGGTATATTGACCTTAAGCAGGTCCTAAAGTCAAGAGTAAATTGGATGAACAGGTGGCTATCATTCCTGGTGTGCCTACTGCCATCACACTGCCATCTTACTCTCATCTATACCTGAGCTACATGGAGTGTTCTCTATGATCAGTTGATTGAAAAAGAAAAACATGTGAAGCTAGTTTATAAATGGTTCTCCATGAAAACTGGAGATAAACTTCTGCAGTGCAGCAGCCCCACCAAGGGGTGGAATTCCTTCCAATGGGCAGAATTTTAAGCAGGCTATCTCACTGCCCATTTTGCCTAAAAGAGAGATGACCCAAGAAACAGATCTACAGTAATGCAGGGATTGGGGCTAATGATTGGCAGGTCAGAGATACACAAGGAGTAAGATATAAGGATGTATAACAAGTTGGCCTGAAGAAAGAGGTATGTGAAGGGATCTCTTAAAGTAAACTCAGAGTGTGAGAATATTTGTGTCCTATGTAAATACTCACCAAATGACTTTTATTGCAGAGAAAACATTCTTTACCCAGGTAAACATGACTCCCTTCCAATTTCCGCATGCAGGGCTCTATGATCAATTATTCAATGACAAAGATTCCTGTGGGTCAAATCATTATAATTACCCTACCAGCCTTTCTCCTATTAAAATAAGCAGGCCAAATTGTTTCTGGTATATTGGTGTAATTCATTAGTCTCTGCCACCCTGAGATGTCATCATTCTTATTGAAATCATAGAGACTATTTCAATATTGGTATTTTCCAACTTCATCTCTGGCATACAGAAATCAGCCACAATGGTGCTTTTCAAATATGTTGGTACTACCTTCATTTATGCTTTTCTCTATGCTCTTATTGAAACTGCCTTTGCAAAATCATGACAGTAAGAGAAATTTGACATAGTTGACTCCATCTTGCTTCTGATCTCCAAGCTGTCCTTGGTCATTGCTGGGCATAGGCCAAGCTAACTTTGGAAATGATTTATAGTTTTACCCAAAACAAAGATTATAATAGTCCTTTCCAAAACTAAACTGCCTTTATAAAAGTAATGAAAGTCCAGAAGGTTGGGATTGTGAAAGGGGCCTGAATTCTGAAAAGATAGGCATAGTTTCTGTAATTCCTTACTGCTCAGGGGTCATGTAGCCAGAAGTCACAAGACTTGTGACTTTTCTAACTGTTCCTATAAGTAATATCACTATTGTACAACCTAAGATTGTTTTTTTAAGATGCTTTTCAGACTGATACCACCTGGACTCATGACTTATGACTCAGCGAATCCTATTGCCCCAAACAGAGGTGGACTCAGCATGTGAAGATTGTTTTCCACACCCCTATGATTTCATCCTCAACCAATCAGCAGCACCCATTCCCTAGCCCCCGCCCACCAAATTGTCCATAAAATCCCTAACCTCCAAGTCTTTGGGGAGACTGATTTGAGTGATAAATTTGTTCTCCTGAGTCAGCCAGACTCACATCAATTAAACTCTTTCTGTCCTGCAATGTTGAGGTCTCAGTGGGTTGATTTTTATCTGTTCAGTGGGCAAGAAGAACCCATTGGGTGATTACATTATGACAGGTATGTCTTCAGGGATGGAATGGCTGAGTGAGTAACACAAAACAAATTCACTTTAACATTCTGATAAAAGAAAAATAGCTCAGGGCAATGGCAAGATTTAGCAGGCCCAGAGAAACACTGGTATGGGACTTTAGTCATACCCCTTACCCATGTCCAAAGGCAATTACTTAAAGACATTTTGTTCCTGATAGCTGCCTCACTCATTATCTTCAGGTTCCTGGAATTTGTGATACAAAGAACAGTGTACAGCCAATTAATAGCTTGCATTGTTTTAAGGTAAATTGTTTGTAAAGAACTCAGGAACTGCCTCTTCTTTTTTCCTTAAAAACCTACTTGTAACTGCTGTGAATCAGAGTGTATATTCAGGGCAACTTGAATCTATGCTCCCTGGTGGCCATCCACAAGCTTTAGGCCCAAATAAACTCTCTACTTAATCATATTTTCTGAATCTAGTTATTTAAGGTTGACAATTCTTATCTCCCTAAATCTTTCTTTCTCTACGAGGGATTTTTGAAGTCTCAACTCAACATAGGCCAAAGTAAATATAATTTTCAGTCTACCACCAAAAAACAAAAAACAAAAAAAAAAAGAGAGAACTCTTCCAACTGTGTGTGTTAGACATTGAAGGCAGAATCTTTTGTAAGTGCACCTATATAATAATTTCAACCTAATGTAATCACCTCATGGGTTCTTCCTGCCCACTGCACAGACGAAGCCAATTCACTGAAACCATGGCATTGCAATAAATAGAGTTTAATTGACATGAGGCCAGCCATGCCACATGGGAGATGGAGTTATTACTCAAATCAATCTCCTGGAAAATTTCAGAGGCTAGAGTCTTTCCAAGGATAGTTTGGTGGGCCCAGGAGTCTGAGTGGGGCCATAGAAGTTGTTGACAGGTGGCCAGTGGAAACAGAAATGCAAAAACCTGAAAAGACATCTCAAAAGGCCAATCTTAGTCTCTATAATAGTGATGTTATTTGCAGGAATAATTGGGGAAGTTGCAAATCTTGTGACTTCTGGAGTATGGCTGGTAATCCACACCTTAGTAGAATTCAGGCTCCTTTTATCTTCCTAACCTGATGGCCTTTCATTAGCTTTAGAAAGGCGATGTAGCTTTGGAGAAGGGCTACTATTATTTAAACTATAAACTAAATATCTCCTAAATTTAGCCTGGTCCAAGCCCAAGAATGATTAAATTAACCCTTTTCCCCTTTAGAGAAAAAAAGTGCAGCTCACTGCCAGCACTCATTTAATTTTATATAAACACGCTCTTTGTGGCTGAAGCAAATTTGACTGATTTTCAATGTGAAAATAAAATATAAAGACTGTTTTTGGAGTTATTTCTAAACAGAATTAACATCAGAATCATCTGAATCATAAGAATAATCTATTTCAGAAAAATCGGATTCATCAAATGAATCTTCAGCTGACAACTGTTTGAGAACGATGTTAACATCATGCATAGGAATGCTACATTTTCTAGAATGTGACATTTTCAGCAATTGAGAATTACTATATTTTGTAAATGGAAACACCACTACTAAAAACAGAATACTATAGAGTGATGTCTTTTGTTTCCAAAGTTGATATACTAGAGCGATCCAAAAATAATAATAAAAGTGAGATATTTTGTGGCAAAGTTATCTCGCGGTAAGCACTGCAGCTGCAAGCGCCACCAGCAAGTATTCTTAGGGCAAAGGGGAAAAGGGTTAAGGACAATTTGGAGGTTAAAGACAAGATGGGGGTTGGTTAGATCAGATCTCTTTCACTGTCGTAATTTTCTTAGTGTTATAATTTTTGCAAAGGCAGTTTCACTAACTTAAATTTATATCCCTGGGGCATTACCCTTATAATTCCATTTCATGTATATTCCCCCAGGTTTTTACCCATAAAACCTACTTCTGTTTGGTAAATTTTTTGCTATATAGGCCCTCTTGTTGCAAATTTGACTTTGTAAATGGCCCTTGGGCTCTGGGAGGAAAGCAACTGTTGGGCCATGTGGTTGTATCTTTAGTTTTGTAAGGAATTGCCAAACTGTTTTATAATGTGGGTATATCTTTCCACACTTCCAGCACAATGTATGAGTGATCCAGTTTCTTAGCACCATAGTCAGAATTTACTGTTGCTACTATTTTTTAGCTATCCTGATAGATGTGTAGTGATATTTTATTCTGGTTTTGAAGCAGTGTCATTGTCTGGGGTAAATCCTTGAGGTTTGTTGTCTCATGTCAAGGGAATCAAGGACATGGACACACAAGTAGTGAATTTAAGAGTGGAAGTTTAATAGGTGAAAGAAAGAGAACAGAGAATAGCTCTCTCCCCTGCAGAGAGAGAGGGGTGCCCAGGTGGGTCTTCTGGTTCCGTGGTGAAGTGCATGGGGTTTTATAGACTGGCTTGAGGAGGCAGTGTCTGATTCACATAGGGCCCAAAGATTGGTTGGACCAGGTGTGCCATTTACATAGCAAGCGAGGAAGGTGGCCACCCCACCCTAATCTTTTATAATGCAAATGGGGTCTCTTCCTGGCTGGCGCCATGTTGTCTGTTCCTTACGGTACACATGGTTGGTAAAGAAAAGGGGAGATGGAAGTGGCACGTTGAACATGCCTAGCCCACAGGTAGCCTTTTCCTATTGGCACGGCTGCTGGCATTCACCCATGCAAGCTTCCAGCTTGCTTATCTATGTCTGCAGCTTGATTTTACAGGCTGCTCTTTATTAGAAAAATGATTTGGGGGCTGCTTTTCATTAAAAGGAAAACCTTACCGAGAACTTCCTTACCCTCACTATCTGTCTAAATAATTTCTTTTTAACTCTTATATATCAGTTTTAATTTCTACTTCCCTAGTGGCTAATGGTGTCAAATATCTTTTCATGTGCTTACCTATTATCTGTATGTCCTATTAAGAGATGTCTCTGCATGTCTTTTGCCTATTTTCTAAATGAATTATTTATTTTGTTAGTGTTGAGTTTTTGAGAGTTCTTATTACAGATACTAGTTCTTTACTGAATATGTGGTTTGCAAATGTTTTGATCAGCCTGTAGTTTGTCTTTTAACCCTCTTTATATGGGCTTTCACAAAGAAAATTTTGATGGAGTCCAACTTATCAATTTTCCCTTTTTAAAATTATGCCTTAGTAACAATTCTTAAAAACTGCCTAACTTTAGACCCTGAAGATTTTCTCCTACTTTTTAAAATAAAGTTTTATGATTTTATGCTAGACATTTAAGTCTATAATGCATTTTGAGTTAACTTTTCTATAATGTATGAGGTTTAATTCGAAGTGTTTGTTTTCATTTTTTGTTTGTTGGTTCAGTTTGTTTTTTGGTTGTTTTCATGTGTGTGGACAGGAGGCCGTTTGTTTTGGATTTTTTAACCTAAGAATGTCCAATGGTTCCAGCACTTTTTGTTGAAAAGGCTGTCCTTTCTTCATTGAATTGCTTTTGCACCTCTGTCAAAAATCAGTGTAATAATCAACACAACACCAAAGAAGAAAAAATTTGGAGGACTGACACTACCTGATTTCAAGCCACACCATATAGCTACATTAATCAAGTTTGGCATTAGCAAGAGAATAAACAAATAGATCAATTGAACAGAATAAAGAGCCCCAAAATAGACCCAACAAATACAGTCAATTCATCTTTGACAAAGGAGCAAAGGCAATACTATGGATCAAGGAGAGCCTTTTCAATATATGGTGCTAGAACAACTAAAAATCCACATGCTAAAAACTGAAAGTAGGCCATGCATGGCAGCTCATGCCTATAGTCCCAGCACTTTGGAAAGATGAGGTGGGAGGATCCCTTGAGCTCAGGACTTCAAGACCAGCCTGGGCACATGGCAAGACCTTGGCTCTACTAACAACAACAACAACAACAAAATTAACCAGATGTGAAGGTGCACACCTGTAGTCTCAGCTACTTGGGAGGCTGATGTGGGAGGCTTGCTTGAGCCCGGAAGGTCAAGCCTTCAGCGAGCCATGATTGCATCACTGCACTCCAGCCTGGGCAATAGAGTGAGACCCTGTTTCAAAAACAAAAACAATAAACCAAAACTGAAACTAGACACAAACTTTATACCTCTTACAAAAATTAACTCAAAATAGATCATAGACCTTAAAGTAAAATGCAAAAACTATAAAATAAAACTCCTAGCAGATAACAGGAAAAAGTCTAGATGACCTTGAGTTTGGTAATGACTTTGAGACATAACACCGAAGGCAAGATTAATACAAGAAATAATTGATAAGCTAGACTTCATTAAAATAAAAAACTTCTTCAGGCAAAGTCTGATGGAAAGTCTTTGGCTTGGCTTCTTAGTCTACAGAGGCTTTTAAAAAGTCAAATCTCAGATTTCCTGTTAGAAGTTCCAGTAAAGCAAACTTAAAAGGAGCCTTTATGGTTAATCACCATTCTTGCTGCACTTATGTAAATAATCAGGTCATGTTTAATGAGACTGATTTATTTTGCAAACAAATTAGTTTTACTACAATTGTCTTTGGCAGACATGCGGGTGACTATAGAGAGAAAAATGTTTCAGTAGAAAATCCTAGTGTACTATGTGTAACATAGTGTACTATCTGTAACAAGATTAGATTATCAGATCTAGCACTATTCATTGTCTTTGAGGTTTTGTTAAACTAAACTGGATCCTGAATTTCTGTAGTTGCCTTGAATATCTGACTACAACTCTCCAAGCTAGCATTTCCAATTGTCTCCCACCTTTCTGACTTAAAACCGTTAACAGCTGACTGCCCTTTTCCTAAAGTTCTGAAAGCTAAAGCTGGATGACTTGATATAAATTTCAGATAAATCACCACAAAAGCTCAAATACAGACAACCTTGATGTCTGTTGCTGTGTGGGCCACTCAGAAAGTTCACTAGAACATGCTATGATATCACCAGAGATAGTCAAACCACAAACCAGGAAAACCCATTAGATTTAAACTGCCATCCTCATTCCACCATCTAAGAGGCTTTGAGATCAAATCTAGAACTCTCCACGTGACTGCCTTATGGACTCAGAAGCTGATTTATCATTTTTTTCCAGTGATTAACCTTTAGTTTTTTTGTGTCCATAGAATGACTCTACTTAAATACTTGTTTGCTTGCACCATACAGAGGCCTAACTTTGATGGGAACCCACCTGCAACACTGCCACCTGAAATGACACACAACTTTCTAACTCAGTTGACCTGAGTTTAACTGAACTCAGGACTAAGAGACTGGCTCCATAAGATATGGGGCTGCGAATTCAGCTTTTAATATGTGAAACTTTCCAAAAATAAAGTTCAAAGGGAGGACTGTAAGTGACTAGAATATGCCACTTTGGCATAAGGATTATTTTGAGCTGAAGACAAGTGGGAAAAAGCAGATATAAGAAGAGTTCTCTGCTCTTCCACTATTTGCCTAAAAGCAGGACATAAATTCACCAATGTGTCTGTCCCTCCTCCCCTTTCTACCAGGAAGGACAGCCCCTTACCAGCCTGGGGATCAGCACCAGAGGAACCTAGGTACTGAGCTTTATTAACTAGTCTGTATCTACCATTTATTTGCCTTTCTATAATTTGCCACCCTTAGAGACTCAAAGTCTTTTTCCTTTGTCTTGTCATTTCTCTAAATTTGCTATTGTTTGTTGAAGATGCTACATAAGCTGGAATTCAAAGCCACCTCTGAGATATACTCATTTTTGTGAGTATCTCCCACATATACATAAGGTACACATGTTATTAAGCTTTATTTGTTTAAAACGAACACAGCCACAGACTGGATGGAACTATTTGCAGAATACATATCTGATAAATGACATGTATCCAAAATATACAAAAAACTCTTCAAACTCACAATAAGTAAACAACCAACCCAACTTTAAAATGGACAAAATAGCTGTATAGATGGCAAATTCACCAAAGAAGATATGCAAATAGCAAATAAGATCTAAAATAGGAAAATAAGCCTATGAAAACATGCTCAATATTATATGCCATTAAAGCACTGAAAATTAAAACAAGATACTTCTACACACCTATTAGAACGGCTAAAATCTGAAACACTGAGAACACCAAATGCTGGTGAGCATGTGGAGCAACTGGAACCCTCATTCACTGTTCAGGAGAATGTAAAATTGTATAGCACTTTGGAAGATAACTGTGGTAGTTTCTTACAAAGCTAAACATAGGCTTACCATATGATAGAGAAATTCTGCTCCTAGGCATTTACCCAAATGAACTGAAAATGTGCGTTTACACAAAAACCTCCATAAGAATGTTTATAGCAGCTTTATTCATAATTACCAAAAGTTAAAGGCAACCAAGATGTTCTTCAATGGGTGAATGTATAAACAAACTATGGTACATCTATACAATAGCATATTTCTCAGTGATGAAAAGAAATGAGACCGTATGCAGTGACTCACGTCTGTAATCCCAGAACTTTGGGAGGCCAAGGCAGGATGATTGCTTGAACCCAGGAGTTTGAGACCACCCCTGGCAACATAGTGAGACCCCCTGTCTCTATAAAAAAAGAAAAGAAAAAAGAGAAATGAAGTATCAAGCCATGAAAAGACATGAAGGAATGTATATTGCTAAGTGAAAAATAGCAGTCTGAGAAAGCTACATCCTGTATGATCTCAACTATATGACAGGCTGGGTGAGGTGAAACTTAGAAACTGTAAAAATTCACTGGTTGCCAAGATTTTAGGGTAGGGGGAGAGATGAATAGGTGGAGCACAGGTCATTTTTAGGGCAAAGAAAGTCTTCTGTATGATACTGTAATGGTGGATATATGACATTCCCACATTTGTCAAAACCCATAGAACTATACAACACAAAGAGTGAATCCTAATGTAAACTATGGATTTTGGTTAATAATTATGTATCAATATTGATTAGTTAATTATAATATTATGTGCAACCCTAATACAAGATGTTAATAACAGAAGAAACTAGGGGTGGGGCAGGGAGGGAATGGGGGTTTATGGAAACTCTACTTTCTTTTTTATTATTATTTTAAAATTTATTTTTAATTTTTGTGGTGCATGGTAGGTGTATATTTATGGAATACATGAGATATTTTGATACAGACATTCAATGTATAAAAATCAAATTAGGGTAAATATGGTATCCATCACCTTAAGTATTTATCCTTTTGTTGTTTTACAAACAATCCAATTTTACCATTTTAGATATTCTGAAATGTACCATAAATTATTGTTGACTATAGTTGCTCTGTTTTGCTATCAAATGCTAGATCTTATTCATCCTAACTATATTTTTATACCCATTAACCATCCCCAGGTTGAATAGGAGGGATGAGAGAAGGCACCCTTGTCTTATGCCAGCTATCAAGAGAAATGCTTCCAGCTTTTGCCCATTCAGTACAATGTTGTCTCTGCGAGGTTTTGGTATCAGGGTGATGCTGGCCTCATAGAATGTATTGGGGAGGAGTCCCTTCTCTTCAAATTTTTGGAATAGTTTCAGTAGGAATGGTACTAGTTCTTCTTTGTACATCTGGTAGAATTTGGCTGGGAATCCATCAGGTACTAGGCTTTTTTTGGTTGATAGAGTATTTATTACTGATGCAATTTCAGAGCTAGATATTGGTCATTCAGGGAATCAACTTCTTCCTGGTTCAGTCTTGGGAGGGTGTATGTGTCCAGAAATGGATCCATCTCTTTTAGATTTTCCAGTTGGTGTGCATAGAGGTGTTCATAGTAGTTTCCGATGGTTATTTTTTATTTCTATGGGGTCAGTGGTAACGTTTCCTTCATCATTTCTAATTGTGTTTATTTGCATCTTCTCTATTTTCTTCATTAGTCTAGCTAGCAGCCTATCTTATTTTTTTTTCAAAAAACCAACTCTTGCATTAGTTGAACTTTTGAATGAATTCTCTTCTTTTTCAGAGATGCCAGTAATTCATAGATTAGACCTCTTTACATAATTCCATACTTCTCAGAGGTTTTGTTCATTTCTTTTTATTCTTTTCTTAAATTTTATTTATTTTTTTTTTTGACTGTCATATTTCAGAGAGCCTACCTTCAAGTTCTGAGATCATGTTTTGTGTCTTGATTTCCTTCAGGTTAAGCTATGAATTTCCTTCTTAACACTGCCTTAGCTGTGCCTCAGATATTCTGGTATGTTGTATCTTTGTTCTCATTAGTTTCAAAGAACGTATTGATTTCTGCCTTAATTTCATTATTTACCCAAAAGTCATTCAGGAGCATGTTGTTTCATTTCCATGTAATTGCATGGTTTTGAGTGATTCTTAGTCTTGACTTCTATTTTTATTGCAGTGTTGTCTGAGAGTGTGTTTGGTATGATGTTTGTTCTTTTGCATTTCTGAGGATTGTTTTATGTTCAATTATGTGGTTGATTTTATAGCATGTGACATGTGGTGATGAGAAGAATTTATACTCTGTTGTTTTTTGTTGGAGAGTTCTGTAGAGGTCTATCAGTTCCATTTGGTCCAATGTTGAGTTCAGGTCCTGAATATCTTTGTTAATTTTCTACCTCGATGATCTGTCTAATACTGTCAGTAGAGTGTTGAAGTCTCCCACTATTACTGTGTGGAAGTCTATATCTTTTTGTAGGTCTCTAAGAACTTGCTTCATGAATCTGGGTACTCCTGTGTTGGGTGCATACATATTTAGGATAGTTAGGTCTTCTTGTTGAATTGAACTCTTTAGCATTATGTAATGCCCTTCTTTGTCTTTTTTGATCTTTGTTGGTTTGTAGTCTGTTTTGTCTGAAATCAGGATTGCAACTCCTGCTTTTTTCTGTATTCCATTTGCTTAGTAAATTTTTCCCCATCCCTTCATTTTGAACCTATGGGTGTCATTATGTGTCCAATGGGTCTCTCAAAGACAGCATACCATTGGGTCTTACTTTTTTATCCAGCTTACTGCTCTGTGTCTTTTAAGTGGGGCATTTAGCACATTTACATTTAAGGTTAGTATTAATATGTGTGGATTTGATCCTGTCGTGTTGTTAGCTGGTTATTATGCTGGATTATTCATGTGGTTGCTCTATAGTGCCACTGGTCTGCGTATTTAAATGTGTTTCTGTTTTAGCTGGTAGCACTATTTCCTTTCAATATTTAGTGATCCCTTCAAGATCTCTTGAAAGGCAGGTCCCTCGACATTTGCTTATCTGAAAAGGATCTTATTTCTCCTTTGCTTAGGAAGCTTAGTTTGGCTAGATATGAAATTCCTGGTTGAATATATTTTTTCTTTAAGAATATTGAATATAGGCCCCTAATCTCTTCTGGTTTATAGGGTTTCAGCTGAAAGGTCTACTGTCAGCCTGATGGGGTTTCCTTTGTAGGTGACTTGCCCTTTCTCTCTAGCTGCCTTCAACATTCTTTCTTTCATTTCAACCTTGGAAAATCTGACAACTATGTGTCTTGGGGATGATCTTCTTGTGTAAAATCTTGCAGGAGTTCTTGTATTTTCTGAATTTGACTGTTGGCCTCTCTAGCAAGGTTGGGGAAGTTTTCATGGAAGATATCCTAAAATATGTTTTCCAAGTTGCTTACTTTCTCACCCTCTCTTTCAGAGATGCCAGTGATTAATAGATTTGGCCTCTTTACATAATTTCATACTTCTTGGAGGTTTTGAACATCCATTTTTATTCTTTAATTTTATTTATTTTTGTCTGACTGCCTTATTTCAGAGACCCAGTTTTCAAGTTCTGAGATTCTTTCCTCAGCTTGGTTTATTCTGCTGTTAATACTTGTAACTGCATTGTGAAATTCTTGTATTTGTGTTATTCAGCTGTGTCAGATCCATTAGGTTCTTTTTTATATCAGCTCTTTTGTCCTTCAGCTCCTGTATTATTTTATTGTGATTCTTAGTTTCCTTGGATTGGGTTTTGCCATTCTCCTGATTCTCGATGATCTTCATTCCTATCCATATTCTGAATTCTATTTCTATCATTTCAGCCAGCTTGGCTTGGTCAAGAACTTTTGTTGGCAAACTGGTGCAGTTGTTTGAAGGACATATGACACTCTGGCCATGAGAGTTACTGGAGTTCTTGTGTTGGTTCTTTCTCATCTCTGCATGTGGATGTTCCTTTAACTGCAGTGTAGATTGAGTCAATAGACCTCTTTTCTGTATGTTTTCACAGAGCCAAGACTTTGTGCAGGTTCTTTATTTGAAGCTGACTTCTTGTCTTTGGTTTCAGAGTGGGGTATGTAAGCGAGGTATTTGGGGTGTTGAAGTTTTGGGTTGTGATCCAGTAGGTGGCACTTACATGTATTGGTCAGTTGATAGACTCTTGCTCAGTTGTATGGCTCCCCGAAAAACCTCCAAGAAGTATGAATTATGTAAAGAGGCCAAATCTGTGAATCACAACTGCACTCCTCATTGTTTCCTCACAGTTGCAGCCATGTTCTCTCTCAATGCTCTGAAAGGGTGGGTCCCTCTCCCGCTTAAATGCTGGCTGTAGATCACAGCTTGGCACTCCTGGGCTGCCCACTGAAGCTCTGGGGCAATTTCAGTGTTTATGCTCCCCAACTTGGAGTTGCAGTGTTCCCCAACTTGGAGGCAGCAGAGGAAGGATTCTTAGTAGCAGTTATGGCCAAGGGTATTTTGCTTGTCTCCTGGGGGCTCCACCCAGAAATATGTAGGTCAGCAGTTGCTCAGTGCAATCAGCCCAGGATGGAAGGTCTGTGCTGTGGGCCCACGCTGGAGACCTCCTGTCTGGTGATGAGCAGGGAGGCTGGATGAGTCCTGTAGGAGACAGACTGGCCTCCTCTTCTTGGGTCTACTGCAGCTTGTTGGAGTTGTGGATAAGGCCTTAGGGTCTTTGCTCCTTTGTTAGTACGAGGGTAGCAAGGGCAGTTCCACTGCAGAAGCAGTGACAGAGAGGCTTTCATTTTCCCTGGGGGCTTTGTTCAGGGAGTTGCAGGGCTGCTACTGGCTTGATAGCTCTGGTGGTGGATGGCTGGAGGCCAAGGCCTGGAGGACCTGCCCAGTGAGGAGATATGGAAATGGGGATCCACATAACCATCTGGCCACTTTTTTATAGGGCTGCTGCAGTGTGCTGGGAGCCCACTCCAGTCCCTAGTCACCTTGGATTTTCCAGTACCTGGAGGTATCAACAGTGAAGGCTGTGAAACAGCAAATATGGTGGCCTGCCCCTCCCTCTGGGAGCTTTGTCCCAGGGAGGTACAGACCTATTGCCAGCCTGAATGTACCTGTAGGATGTGGCTGGAGACTCCAGTTGGGAGTTCCCACCCAGTGAGGAGAAACAGGATTGGGGACCCACTTTAAAAAGCAGTCTGGTCACATTTTTGTAGGGCAGCTGTGCTATGCTTGGGGTCTGCTACTGCCCCTGGTCACCTCAGATTCTCCTAAGCCTGAAGGCCAGAATGGTTAAGTAACCCAAACAGGAAAGATGGCAGCCTGGCCCTCCCTTTGGGAACTGCATTCCAGGGAGGCTTTAAATCTCTGTCAGCTGGAGAGCACTGGTGAGGGTAGCTGGAGACCCTGGTTGGGAGGTCCCACTTAGTGAGGAGGAATGGGATTGGACACCTGCTTTAAAAAGCAGTCTGGCCATGTTTTTGCAGAGCAGCTATGCTCTGCTGGGGGACCACTTTCATCCCCCAGGTGGCCGGGACTCTCTAAACCCTGAAGGCTGGAATGGCTAATTGTCCAAAGAGCAAAGATGGCAGCCCACCTCTCCCTCTGGGAGCTCCATCCCAGGGAGGTTTTAAATCTCTATCAGCCAGAAACTACCAGTAGGGGTGGCTCAAGACCCTGGTTGGAGGTCCTGCCCAGTGAGGAAGAATGGGATTGGGACACGTTTAAAAAAGCAATCTGGCCATGTTTTTGTAGCACAGCTATGCTGTGCTGGGGGACCACTTCAGCCTCCAGTTGGCTTGGACTCTCCAAAGCCCGAAGGCTGCAACCACTAAGTTGGCCAAATGGCAAAGATGGCAGGCCACCCCTCCCTGCTAGGAGCTCTGTCTCAGTGAAGTGCAACAGTGCTATCAGTGGCTGGTTGGAGTTCCAATTTAGTGGGTCTTCTCCTATGAGGTACCTGCAGACTATGCTGCTCAGCCCTGTGGATTCAACCATTTTCCTAGGGATGTGTACAGGGGTCTAACCTCTCACTTTGCTGACATTGCAGTTACTTTTGCTGTGAATCCTGGAAAGCCCAGGTATCCAAGGCTCCCAGATCTGTTCATGTGCCTGAGTGGCTGCTCTGCCAAGACTCCACATAGCTCTTTGTGTCAGACTGAAGGTCCTGGTGGAGTGAGTTCAACCCAAGGGTTGTAAAGATCCATGGGAGAAGTGTGGGTTCCCAGGGTTACACATTCACTCACTGCTTTCCTGAGTTGGGGAGGGTCCCCTGGCTCAGTATCTCTCCCATGCGGGCCATCATCCTGCCTTGCTCCATGGGTTGAGTTGTTTCGTTGATTAGTCCTGATGCATATACCTGGATGTTTTAGTTGAAGGTGCTGTATTTATTTGCCTGTTCCATTCTTCTCTGTATTAGTTTGTTTTCATGCTGCTGATAAAGACATATCCAAGACTGGGAAGAAAAAGAGGTTTAATTGGATTTACAGTTCCACATGGCTGGGGAGGCCTCAGAATCATGGAGGGAGGCAAAAGGCACTTCTTACATGGAGGTGGCAAGAGAAAAATGAGGAGGAAGCAAAAGCAGAAGCCTCTGATAAACCCATCAATTCTCATGAGACTTATTCACTATCACGAGAATAGCATAGGAAAGATTGGCTCCTGTGATTCAATTACTTCCCCCTGGGTTCCTCCCACAACACATGGGAATTCTGGGAGATACAATTCAAATTGAAATTTGAATAAGGACACAGCCAAACCATATCACTCTCCATGAGAGCCACACACACCAGCTGCTTCTAGTCAGCCATCTTGAAAACCCCCTTGTAGTTTTCAAAGTAGAGATCTTTCACTTCTTTGGTCAAGTTAATTCTTAAGTATTTCATTTTATTTGTAGCTATTGTAAGTGAGATTAGTTTCCTGATTTCTTTTTCAGATGGTTTACTTTTGGCATATAGAACTGCTACTAATTTTTATATGTTGATTTTGTATCCTGCAACTTTACTGAATTTGCTTATCAGTTCTAATAGTTTCTTGGTGGAGTCTTTAGGTCTTTCCAAATATAAGATCATACCATCTGCAAACAAGAATAATTTGTTATTCTTGTTTCCATCCCTTTCCAATTTGGATGTCCTTTATTTCTTTATCTTTTCTAATTGCTGTAGCTAGGACATCCAGTACTATGTTGAATAACAGTGGTGACAGTTGGCATCCTTGTTATGTTCCAGATCTCAGAGGAAAGGCTTTCAGTTTTTCCCCCTTCAGTATGATACTAGCTGTGAGTCTGTCATATGTGGCTTTTGTTGTGTTGAGTTATGTTTGTTCTATATTCAGAAGGTTTTTAGCTTCTTAATTTTTTTATCATCTTGATTTCTTCATTGACCTACTGTTCATTCAAGTGCATTAATTTCCATGTGTTTGTATATTTTCCAAAATTGCTCTTGTTATTAATTTCTAGTTTAATGATCATTTGGTTTTTGTTCTTCATGCTGTTGATAAGATGTATCACATTGATTAATTTGCATTTTTTGAACCATTCTTGCATCCCTGGGATAAATCCCATTTGGTCACAAAAAATGATCTTTTAAATGTATTCTTAAATTCAGTTTGCTAGTACTTGGTTAAGGATTTTTGCATCAATGTTCATTAGGGATATCGGCCTGTAGTTTTCTCTTTTTGATATGTCTTTGTCTGATTTTGGTATCAGGGTAATACTAGCCTCATAGAATAAGTTTGTAAGTATTTACTCCTCACCTATTTTTTTGGAATAGTTTGAATAGAACTTCTATTCATTCTTCTTTAAATGTTTGGTAAAATTCAGCAGAAAACCCATCAGGGCCCAGGCTTTCCTTTGCTGGGAGACTTTATTACAGCTTTGATCTTGTTACTTGTTATTGCTCTGTTCGGGTTTTGAATTTTTTCATAGTTAAATCTTGGTAGGCTGTAGTGTTAAGGAATTTATCCATTTCTTCTAGGTTTTTCCAATATATTGGTTTTTCCAATTTATTAGAGGCTACTGCTCCCAATATACACTTGAATAACCAATAGCCTCTAATAATCCTCCTAATTTCTGTGGTATTAGTTTTAATGTCCCTTTTTTAATTTCTAATTTTATTTATTTAGATCTTCTCTCTCTCTTTTTTTAAGTCTGACTAAAGGTTTGACTTTCTCTTTTCAAAACACCAACTTTACATTTTGTGGATCTTTTGTATTCTTTGTTTCAATTTTATTTAGTTCTGTTTTTATCTTTTTTAATATTTTCCCTACTAATTTTGGGTTTCGTTTGCTCTTGCTTTTCTAGTTCTTTAAGATAAATCATTTTTTTATTTGAAGTTTTCCTACTTTTTTGATGTAGGCACTTATAGCTACCAACTTTCCACTTAGTACTGCTTTTCCTATATCCTACAGGTTTTGGTATGTTATGTTTCCATTATTATTTGTTTCAATAAATTTTTAAATTTTCTTCTTAATTTCTTCATTGACCTACTGGTCATTCAAGTGTATATTGTTTAATTTCTGTGTGTTTGTATAGTTTCCAAAATTCCTCTTGTTATTGATTTCTAGTTTAATTCCATTGTGGTCAGAGAATATACTTGACATAATTTCAATATTTTTTGATGTTTAAAGACTGGTTTAGTGGCCTAACATATAGCCTATCATTAATAATGATCCATGTGCTTAGAAGAATGTTTATTTTGCAGCCATGGGATGAAATGTTCTGTAGATGTTTATTAGGTCCATTTGGCCTAATAAGATTAAGTCTGATGTTCCTCTTTTCATTTTCTGTCTGGTTGGTCTGTCCAATGCTGAAAGTGGAGTGTTGAACTCTCCAGCTATTATTGTATTGAAGTCTAGATCTCTCTTTATCTATAACGATATTTGCTTTATATTTCTAGGTGCTCCAATATTGGGTGCATATGTATTTTCAATTGTTATATCCTCTTGCTGAATTGACCCTTTTATCATTTTATAATTACCTTCTTGGTCTCTTTTTATAGTTTTTGTCTTGAAATGTATTTTGTCTGACATAAGTCTAGCTACTCCTTCTCTTTTTTGGTTTTCACTGGCATGGTATATCTTTTTCCATCACTTTATAGCCAGTCTATGTATGTTTTTATAGGTAAAATGTGTTTCTTGTAGGTGACATATTCTAGGTCTTGGGTTTTTTTTCTTTTTTTTTTTTTAAATCAGTTCAGCCACTCTATGTCTTCTGATTGGAGAGTTTAGTCCAGTTACATTCAATGTTATTATTGATAAGAATTTATTACTGTCATCTTGTTATTTGTTTTCTGGTTTGTGGCCTGCTCTTCCTTCTTTCCTTTCTCCCTGTCTTCCTTTTACTGAAGGTAATTTTCTCTGGTGGTATGCAATGATACTTGCAAATATCTCATAATCCATTATTTTAAACTAATGACAACTCAACACTAATTACATAAACAACAAAAAGAACTAACAAGGCAAGAGCATACTAATGAAAACTCAACACTTTAACTTCATCCCCCAACTTTTTAACTTTTTGTTGTTTCTATTTACATCTTTTTGTACTGTCTATGTCTTAAAAAGTTATTTGACATGGTTTGGATTTATGTTCCTGCCCAATTTCATGTCAAATTGTAATCCCCAATGTTGGAGGAGGGGCCTGGTGGGAGGTGATTAGATCATCGGGGCAGACTTCCCCATTTGGTGCTGTTCTTGTGATAGAGTTCTCACGAGATCTGGTTGTTTAAAGTGTATGGCACCTCCCCCACTCTCTCTTCCTCTTGCTCCAAAACCTGTGGAACTGTGAGCCAATTAAACCTCTTTTTCTTTGTAAATTACCCAGTCTCAGGCATTTCTTTAGAGCCGTGTAAGAATGGACTAATACATTATTTTAGTTATTATTTTTGATCAGTTTATCTTTTAGTCTTTCTATTGAAGATATGAGTAGTTTACACACTGCAATTACAGTCATAACAGTCTGTGTTTTTCTGTGTATTTACTACTACCAGTGAGTTTTGTACCTTCAGAGATTTATTGTTCATTAACATCCTCTTCTTTTGGACTGAAGAACTTTAGCATTTCTTGTAGGACAGGCCTGGTGATGATGAAATCCTGCATCTTTTGTTTGTCTGGGAAAGTCTTCATTTCTCCTTCATGTTTGAAAGATATTTTTGCTGGATATACTATTCTGGAATAAAAGTTATTTTCCTTCAGCCCTTTAAATATGTCATGCTACTTTCTGCTGGCCTATAAGGTTTTTGCTGAGAAGTCTGCTACCAGACACATATTGGAGCTCCATTGTATATTATCTGTTTCTTTTCTCTTGTAGCTTTTAGGTTTTTGTTTTTTTTTTTACTCTTTTCTCCCCTCTTTTCAAGCAGAAGAAAGAAGTCTCTCCCAGAGCTGCCAGCTGCACTGCTTGTGTTTGGAGGAGGATGGCACAGGCATTCCCTTGGCTGCCTTGGCCGGTGTCTCACTAGGTCTCCTGCCCCCCAAGTCCACTGGCTCTGAGCCCAACACAGCACCAGGACTTGTCCAGTAATTGCAGTTCTTGAAGCCTAGACTGACTTTCAAATTTATTTAGGACCCATAGCACTTTAGCCCATGGTGGCAAGACTTGCCAGAACTCAGGTTCCAAACACTGGGATGGATGATTTGCCTCTGGCATAGCTGGTCTAAATACTTTCTGTGTGGGCACCAGCAGATTTCTGCCCAGTATGACTTTCTACTGTGACAGGGAAGCACTAAGTTTCAATGCAAAGATCCCACAATTACGGTGCTTTCCCTTCCCCAAGTGCAGATTTCCTCTCTGCATCATGTGGTCACTGCCAGGGGATGGGAGAAGGGTGGCATCAGCAGTTCAAGACTTTCTTTCCTACCCTCTTCAGTTCCTCTTTCACTAATATGAAGTCAAACCAATTACTGTGCTCACTTACCTAATGCTTCATTCTTATGAAGGTGCTTTTTTGTGTGGATAGTTGTTAAGTTTGGTGTTCCTCTAGGGAGGACAATCAATGCAGGCTTCTGTTCAGCTATCTTGCTCTGGCTGTCTTGGAAACTCTATTTTCTGTGCCATTTTTCTTTAAAAAAATTATTTTTAGTTTCAATAGCTTTAGTAGTACAAGTTATTTTTGGTTACAAGGTTGAATTATATAGTGGTGAAGTCTGTGATTTTAGTGTACACATCACCCAAATGGTGTATATTATACCCACTAGATGGTTATTCATCCCTTAGTCCTCTCCCACCCTATCCCCTTCTGAGACTCCAATGTCCATTATACCACTCTGTATGCCTTTGCATACCCACAGCTTAGGTCCCACTTATAAGTGAGAACACATGGTATTTTATTTTCCATTCCTGAGTTACTTCACTTAGGATAATTGCCCCCCGTTCTATCCAAGTTGCACAAAAGACACTATTTTGTTCTTTTTAATGCCTGAGTAGTAGTATTCCATTATATATCTATATCTGGATCATCTATCTGTCCCTCTCTCTATCTATCTATCCATATATATCTCACATTTTCTTTATCCACTCATGGATGGGTATTTAGGTTGATTCTGTATCTTTGCAATTGTGAATTGGGCCGTGATAAACATATGAGTGTAGGTGTCTTTTTTATATAATGACTTCTTTTCCTTTGGATAGATACCCAGTAGTGGGTTGTTTGGATCTATGTATTTAATAAATAGAACAATTGAGTATTTCTTTTGGCCTAGAGCATAAAATAGTTGCTGAGACACAAAGAGACCCAAGAAAGTTGAGGAACCTCTGATATAGCTTCATGAAGGGCCAAAAATTTTGACAGAAAAGAAACTTTATACTCAACATTGTAGGCCAGATATTTGTTTTTGGGTAATGCAATATAGTGAACAAAAACAAGAAGGAGGAAGAGGAGCGGGAAGGGAAAGGAGGAAGTAGTAGAATAAGAATGGCCATTAACTGAGCACTTAACTAAGTGCCAGGCTTTGTGCTAAGCATTTTACCTACAATAATATTTTTCAATATAAGGCCTGTGCCATCATAGTACATATTGGATTTTCTCTGTTCTCGTTGGTAAAACAGCCATTACCCAAAGCAACCTTGGCAGCCCTGTGCCTCTTCCTGCCAGGCGCCCCCTGGACTTCCCTACAAAATAGCAACTTAATGAGCCAAGCAGGGGACCTTTATGACCTTGCTCCAGCACCATGGCTGATATTTGTTATGCTTAACTATTGCTTGGCCTTCCTAATGTTAAATATTTAGCATTCCACCCTTGTTCAGTCCTCACAGCAACACCTTTGGGGATGCCGATTCCAATGGCCCAAAATATATCTTGACCTTGCAGCCAGTTTATATTTTTCTTGATGTGAGAGACAACCCTAAATATAAGGAGATCTTTCTCTGAAGTTTGATCAGCTGACACAAATTTCCCAATTTTCAAGGACACTACCTAATATTTTATTCGAATTAAGAAAATCAACAAATATATATTTTGCAAGAGGCAAATCTGTGTGTGTGTGTGTAATGTAATGTAATGCCTAGAGCAATCACTTTAAAAAGCTGCATAAAGAGATGTACTCACAAACACTATAGATAAAACAAAATAGAATTCTAAAAAAAAAAAAAAAGTTGACATAACCCACAGGAAGGCAGAAAAAGACAAATAGAATATGCAGAAAAAAAATAAAATGGCAGACATAAGTCCTAACATATCAGAATTACATTAAAAGTCAATGGGGCAGGCCGGGCGCAGTGGCTCACGCCTGTAATCCCAGAACTTTGGGAGGCCGAGGCGGGCAGATCACGAAGTCAGGAGTTAAGACCAGCCTGACCAACATGGTAAAACCCCGTCTCTACTAAAAATACAAAAATTAGCCAGGCGTGGTAGTGGATGTCTGTAATCCCAGCTACTCAGGAGGCTGAGGCAGGAGAATCACTTGAACCTGGGAGGCAGAGGTTGCAGTGAGCCGAGATCGTGCCACTGCACTCCAGCCTGGGTGACAGAGTGAGACACTGTCTCAAAAAAAAAAAAAAAAAAAGAAAAAAAAAAGTCAATGGGGCTGGGTGCAGTGGCTCACACCTGTGATACCACCACTATGGGAGGCCGAAGTGGGAGGATCACTTGAGGTCAGGGGTTCAAGAACAGCCTGGGAAACTTAGCAAGACCTTAACTCTATGAAAGAATAAAAAAAAATAGCCAGGTATGGTGGTGTGTGCCTGTAACCCCAGCTACTCAGGAGGCTGAGGCAGAAAAATTGCTTGAGCCCAGGAGTTCTAGGTTACAGTGAGCTATGATCATATGACTGCACTCCAGACCCTGTCTCCAAAAAAAAAGCCAATGGGTTAACTACCCCATAATAACAAGCTAAACAAGAAAAGTTACATGATCATATTAATCAAAGCAGAAACAAATTTGACAAAATTTAACACTCATTCATGATAATAAAAAAAAACTTTCAGGAAAACAGGAATAGAAGGGAACTGCTTCAAATTGATAAAGATCATCTACTAAAAACATACAGCTATTAATAAACTTAATGTTTATAGATGTTGGTGGGGATGGTAAAAGGGGAATTATTATACACTGCTGGTGGGAATGTAAATTAGTACAACCTTTATGGAAAACAGTATGAAGATTTATAAAGAACTAAAAGTAGATCTACCATTTGATCCAGCAAAACCAAGATGGTGACAAGAGTAACCTCTTGTTGTCCTCACTGCTACACTCTCACCAGTGCCATGACAGTTTACAAATGCCATGACAGTATCAGGAAGTTACCCTATATGGTCTGAAAAAGGGAACCATGGATAATCCACCCTTTGTTTAGCATATAATAAAGAAATAAGCCTGGGCGCAGTGGCTCATGCCTGTAATCCCAGCACTTTGGGAGGCCGTGGCGGGTTGATCATGAGGTCAGGAGATCGAGACCATCCTGGCCAACATGGTGAAACCCCGTCTCTACTAAAATACAAAAAAAAAAAAAATTAGCCAGGCGTGGTGGTGGGCGCCTGTAGTCCCAGCTACTCGGGAGGCTGAAGCAGGAGAATGGCATGAACTCAGGAGGTGGAGGTTGCAATGAGCCGAGATTGCGCCACTGCACTCCAGCCTGGGCGACAGAGAGAGACTCTGACTCAAAAAGAGAAAGAAAGGAAGGAAGGAAGGAAGGAAGGAAGGAAGGAAGGAAGGAAGGAAGGAAGGAACCATAAAAATGGGCACCCAGGAGCCCTCGGGGCTGCAATGTCTATGGTGTAGCCATTCTTTTATTCCTCTACTTTCTTAATAAACTTGTTTTCACTTTATGTACTCACTCTGAATTCTTTCTTTCTTGAGACCCAGGAACCCTCTCTTGGGGTCTGGCTTGGGACCCCTTTCTGGGTAACATCTTTCTGGCAACGAGGAAGGGACGAAACTGAGGAGATCCCCCAGGAAACAGACTGTAGCACTGATTGGTTGACTTTGGGTAAGTGGTGGTGAGGCAGGAAAATAGGGTCTGGAGACAAGGAACATAAGGCCGATTCACACTTCAGCTATGAGAGGAAATAACCTCTCCATGAGGCATACACCAAATAAATGACTTTGTAACTTTACTTCATCCTCTCCATTTATATAGGGCATACCCGAAGAAACCAATGATATCTTCTAGGGATATCTTTTTTTGTTGCTGTTGAGACAGGGTCTTGCTCTGCCACCCTAGGCTGGAGTGCAGTGGCTCACTGCAACCTCTGCCTCCCAGGCTTGAGTGACCCTCCCACCTCAACCTCTCAAATAGCTGGGACTACAGGTACACATCACCACACCTGGATAATTGTTGAATTTTTTTTGTAAAGACAGGTTTTTTTTGTTTTTTTTTTCATGTTGCCCAGGCTGGTCAATTCCTTTTAGACCTACACTTGGAGTAGTGTGATGTTGGCTAATCTATTTTGGAGGAAAACCACTGTTTTTGATAGAATTAAGGAATTCTAGAATGCAAAGAAATTTTTAGGTAACCTAGGGCTTGCTCCTAGGATTTTCTCCTTATTTTGCTGATGAGGAGAGGTAGATAGCATGTAGTTGGATCCTGTTTTTTCATCCAATGTTATAATTTTTCACTTCTGATTAAAGGGTTTACTCCATTTATATTTAATGTTGGACTTATATGGTTTATATTTAATGGTTGGATTTATAGCTGTCATTTGACTGTGTTCTACATGTCTCATGTTTTTGGTTGCTGTATTGCTTCTTTACAGCCTCCGTTTGTGTTAAATATGTATTTTATAATTGCATCATTTTACTTTGTTGGTGTTTTAGCACTAGTCTTTTGAGTAATATTCTTAGTGGTTGCTCTAGGAATTGCAATATACATGCTCATTTGAAACAATCTAGCTTTGATTAATACTAACTTTAGTATATAGAAACTTTGTTCCAATATAGCATCATTTTCTCTCCCCTCCTTTGTATTATTGTAATAGAAATTATATTTATATATGTTATAATGCCAAAATAAACTTATATGATTACTGTTTTTATTCAATTGTCTTTTAACTCCATTTAGAGAAGAAAAAAGTAAAAAGTATATTTATACTATTTCTTATATTTATCTATATAATTACCTTTATTGATGCTATTTCTTTGTAGTGATTCAAGTACTATCTTCCAGTTTCATTCCTTTTCAGTCTGAATGATTTTCTTTAGAATTTATTTAAAAAAAAAACAACAACAACAAAATAAAACTAGAATCTTGCTCTGTCACCTAAGCTGGAGTGCAGTGGCGCAGTCTTGGCTCACTGCAATCTTTGCCTCCCAGGTTCAAGCTATTCTCCTGTAGCTGGGATTAAAGGCATGCACTAGCACACCCTGATAATTTTTGTATTTTTAGTAGAGATCGGGTTTCACCATAGTGGCCAGGCTGGTCTGGAACTCCTGACCTCAAGCAATCTGCCCACCTCAGCCTCCCAAAGTGCTGGGATTACAGGCATGAGCCACCGCACCCAGCTAGAATTTCTCATAGGACAGGTATACTAGTGACAAACTATCTTAATCTTTCTTTATCTGGTAATGCCTTTATTTTGCTTTCAATTTTGAAGAATAGTTTTTCTGGATATATAATTCTTGGTGGTCAGTTTCTTCTTTTTCTTTCAGTACTTTGAATATGTCAATTTATTGACTTCTGAGCTCCATTATTTCTGATAAGAAGCAAGTTGTTAGTCTTACTATTTCTCATATGTGAATAATTATTTTTTATTTTTGCTACTTCTAAGATTTTCTCTTTTTATTTGACTTTTGATGGTTTGACTATGATATGTCTAGGTGTGGATCTCTTTATGTTTAGGCTACTTGGAGTTCTTTAAACTTTTTGGATGTGTAGATTAATGTTTTCCAGCAAACTTGGGACATTTTCAGCTACTGTATCTTCAGTAGTTTATTTTTCTTCTTTCTCCCTTCTCTCCTTTTGGAACTTCTATTTTGCATATGTTGGCATGCCAGTTGTTTTTCATTGTTTCTGACACTCTGTTACTTTTTTAAAGTTCTTTTGTTTGTTTCTTTAGACTGGATAACGTCTATTGACCTATCTTCAAGTTCACTGATTCCGTTTTTCAGCCTAAACTTGCTGTTGAACCTTCTATTAAGTTTTGTATTTGTTACTGTACTTTTTAATTCCATAGTTTCTCTTTGGTTCTTTAATTTCTGTCTTTCTTTTGATATTGTCTGTCTAATGAGGCATTGTTTTCATACTTGTTTTAAATTATTTAAAAGTGGTTTTCTTTAATTTTCCAAACACATTTATACTAAGCTGATTTAAAAGTTTTCTCTATTAAGTATGCTCTTCAGATAGTATGGGCCACAGTCTCCTGTTTCTTTGCATGTGTTGTACTTTTTTGTCAAAAATTATACATTTTAGATTTTTTTTTTTTTTGCTAAACACCAGAGTATTTTAATGACTCTGAAATTTTATTACCCCACCCACACCAGGGTTTGTTGTTGTCTGTTTAGCAATTTACATAGGCTAGTTCTATAGAGTCCCTGCAGTATGCTGCCACAGAAATCTATGCTCACTTTTTTAAAAATTCTTGTTTCTATTTTTAAGCCTAACTTCCTAAGGGTTCCCCTGTGTTTACATACTTCAGGGGTCAGACAATGATTGGTTAGAAGGTTTTCTTAAATGACTTGAATAAGTAAATCTTCCGCAACTGGCTGAGAGAAGCTGTTTATGAGTTTCCACATGCCTTCAAAGTTCAGGCAGTTTATAAATTTGCCTTAGGTTTCATTGCCTGCTTACACTGAGCTCCAAGGTCAGTAAGAGATGAATAAGTAACTTGGCCCCTGTTGGTATTTCCTGAACATGCATGCAGCCTTGAACATGCACACAACCTTCTAAATTCCCAGGAACATTACAGACATATTATAGAGCTTATCAAAGTCCCTTGTGGCTCTCTTGTTTCTCAGGTAACCCTATAAAATATTTGCTAGTCTCTTGGTGCCTCAACCTATATTGCAGCCCTAAGCAGTTGCAATGCTGACTTTGAGCAGATTGCTTCTAATTGCTATTCTTTTCATGAATATCCAGAGATAGAGCTTTTTTGAGGTTCTCCAAGTCAGATCAGTTCCTTCCAGCAGACACAAGTCCTCAAGACTACCTTATCACAGAGCTGACACTCAGAGAGGGAAAAAGATGGAAAATATAAAAAAGAACATAAGAAACGTAAGGAATAACATGAACAAATCTAACTTTCATGTAATTGGAGTTCCAAAAGGATAGCAGAGAGAGAAAGAGAGAATAGGGAAGAGATGATCTTTGAAAAGTTAATGGCTAAAATTTTCCCAAAACTAATGAAAGACATAAAGCCACTGAGGCATGAATTCCTGAAAATCCCAAGCAGGATGAATATAAAGAAAGTCACATCTTGGCACATTACAGTAACACTAATAAAAACCAAGGTCAAAGAAAAAAATTTATAACAGCCTGAGGGGGAGAAATATTACCTTCAGTTTTTAATTGATTTGGTGCTGACTTTCAATAAAATGGTGGCAGTGAGAATATAAGTAGTGAAGAAAGTAACTGGTAATCTAGAATTACAGACCCAGAAAATACACCCAGCAAAAACATCCTGCAAAAATGAAGGAGAAATGAAAATGTTGTCAGAATAACAAGAACAGATAATACTTCCTAAGCAGAATTACACTAAAATTACTATAAAAGGTAGTTCTTCAGGCAGAAGGAAAATAATTTCAGATAAAAGCCTAGAAATTCAGTAAGGAGTGAAAGACAATAGAAAGAGTAATTGTATGGATTAATCTAAATGAATATTGAGGATATGCAACACTAATATATTGTCTTGTGGGGTGTAAAATATGTTTAGGATTACAATACATGAAAACAATAAAACAAAAGGTAGAAGAGACTAAATGGAATTATAATGTTCTAAAATCTGAGCATTGCTAGGGAAGAGGTTAAATTAATCATGTATATTTACTATAAGAAGTTCAGGATGTATGTAACAACCCAAGGGTAATCACTTAATTAAAAAAAGAATATATAATAGAAAAAGTTAATAGTGGGGTAATGAAACTAAATATTTGATTAATCCAAAAAGAAGGCATAAAAGAAAAGTAGGGCCAGACATGGTGGCTCATGCCTGTAATCCTAGCACTTTGGGAGGCCGAGGGGGGTGGATCACTTGAGGTCAGGAGTTTGAGATCAGCCTGACCAACATAGTGAAACCCCGTCTCTACTAAAAATACAAAAATTAGCCGGGCATGGTGGCACATGTCTGTAATCCCAGCTACTTGGGAGGCTGAGGCAGGACAATTGCATGAACCCAAGACGTGGAGGTTGCAGTGAGCTGAGATCACACCACTGCACTCCAGCCTGGGTGACATAGCAAGACTCTGTCTCAAAAAAAAAAAAAAAACAAACAAAAAAAAAAAAACGAAAACACCAGAAAAGTAAAAGGAATATAAAAGAGGTTAAATAGAAAACAAATAATAAGATGGTAGATAAAACCTAAATATTATCAATAATTCTACTAAATTTAAACAGACTAAATATTCCAGGTGGAAGACTAAGATAACCTGAATTTTTTTTTTTTTTAGACAAAGTTTTGCTCTTGTTGCCCAGGCTGGAGTGCAGTGGTGCAATCTCACCTCACTGCAACCTCCACCTCCCAGGTTCAAGCAATTCTCTTGTCTCAGCCTCCCGAGTAGCTGGGATTACAGGCATCTGCCATCATGCCCAGCTAATTTTTTGTATTTTTAGTAGAGACAGGATTTCACCATGTTGGTCAGGCTAGTCTCGAACTCCTCCTGACCTCAGGTGATCCATTTGCCTCAGCCTCCCAAAGTGCTGGGTTTACAGGTGTGAGCCACTGCACCTGGCCGATAGCCTGAATTTTTAAAAAAGAAAACCTACATGGTGCCTACGAGAGACCACACCTTGAAGATAAAATTACAGAAATATGTAAAGTAAAATGATTGAAAAAGATATCCCATAAAAGTGTAAAGGAAAATGGGTTCAGCTACATTAATATGAGATAAAGTAAATTTTAGGTAAGAAGCTTTGTAGAGATAAAGAGGGGTATGATATAATGATAAAGGATTAATTTGCCGTATATCATATAGCAATTTAAAATCTATATGTACCTACAATATAGCCTCAAAATATATAAAGCAAATTTGACAGAAATAGACAAATCTTCAATTATATTAGGAGACATTTGCTCTAGTTGACATATAGAACATGTCACACAACAAAATACATACTTTTTTTTTTTTTTTTGAGAGGAGGACTTGCTCTATTGCATGGGCTGGAGTGTAGTAGTGCAATTATAGCTCACTACAGCCTTGAGCTGCTGGGCTCGAGCTATCCTCCCACCTCAGCCTCTCAAGTAGCTGGGATTACAAGTGTGAGTCACCATACCTGGCAAAATACATATTCTTTTTTTCAAGTATACATGCAATATTTGCATAAATGTATCTGGATAGAATACTAAATCATAGGCCAGATGCAGTGGCTTATGGCTGTAATCCCAGCTTTTTGGGAAGCCAAGGTAGAAAGATCACTTGAGCTCAGGAGTTGGAGACCAGCCTATTCAAGATAGTGAGACCTGGTATCTACAAAAAAAATTTTAAAAAATTAGTTAGGTATGTTGACACACACCTGTGGTCCTAGCTACTTGAAAGGTTGAGGTGGGAGGATTGCTTGAGCCCAGGGAAATTGAGGCTGCAGTGAGCCATGATTGCACCACTGCACTCCAGCCTGGGCAACAGAGAAAGACCTTGTCTAACAAAAAAAAAAAAAAAAAAAAAAAAAAAAAAAAAAAAAGAAGAAGAAGAAGAAGAAAGGACTATAAAACAAATTTGTTGCCTCAAAAAATTTCATAGGATTGTATTTCCAACAGAATGTGTTCTCTGATCACAGTAGAATTAAGGTAGGTATTAATAAAAAAAGAATAATTTAGAACACCTTTGATATTCTTAGAAATTAAGCAATGCAGTTCTAAATAACCCATAGATAAAGAGGAAATGAAAAATAAATTAGGAATCCTTTAAAACTGTTGGGTGGATCACTTGAGGTCAGGAGTTCGAGACTCAGCCTAGCCAACATGGTGAAACTCCGCCTCTACTAAAAATACAAAAATTAGCTGGGCATAGTGGTGGGTGCCTGTAATCCCAACTACTTGGGAGGCTGAGGCAGAGGAATTGTTTGAACCTGGGAGGCAGAGGTTGCAGTGAGCCAAGATCGAGCCACTGCACTGCAGCCTGGGCAACATAGTGAGATTCCATCTCAAAAACAAACAAACAAACTGGATTATATTTAAAAATTGCATTGTAATGAAAATGCAACATGTCAAAATGAATAGGATCCTGCAGTTGAGCAAAGGAAATGAAACACTACAATATACCTGTGATACAAGGTAGAAAATTATGAATGTATTCACCAAATAACAAATAGAGCTCTACTGAGGTTTAGAGGTAGGAGCAGGTGTATCCCAGAGGTGGACTACAAAAGGCCTCATAGAAGTGGTGACATTTAAATGAGGTTTTAAACAAATATGATGTAAAGTTGGAGCTACAGAATAGAGGTAAGAAGAAAAATGTCTAATAGGTTGCAGCTCAAGTTGTGATCACAGAAAAATTAATCAAATTTTAAAAATTAATTGCCTAAGTACACATATTATAAAAAGAATAAAGGCTGAAAAATCAACCCATCTTAAGAAATTAGAAAGAGAAAAGCAAGTTTGAAAGACTCAATATTGGAAAAGATCTATTCTATAGATGTAATGCAATCCTGATTGAGATCTCAACAAATCTGTGTGTATATGTGTTGCATATATGCAACTTGACAAGGGCCATAGCAAAGATAAGGCTAGATAGGTAGGTAGGGGCCAGGGCAGATAGGGCACTGTTGATCTTATTATGGAGTTGGAAGTTTATCCTTAAAGTAGGGAGCAATGAAGGGTTGTTACGCAGATGAGCTATATATTAAAATATATCACATTGATAACAGCTTTAAGAAAAAATAGATTAAGCATAAAAGGTTGTTGTAAAAATCTAGAGATATAATGGTGATTTTGATAGTGGCAATAGGAAAGGATAGAAGTGGACAGATTTGAAACCTATTTAGTAGGTAGGTTTCAAGACTTGTTACTAGAGTCAATGGATAATGCCTATGTTCCTAATTTGGAAAATGGGTAGACGGTATTGAATTTTGAACCATATAATCGTACTCTTGTGATATTCTCCTGCAGTTCCAGGCACCCCAGAAAGAGCAATAGAAATAATATAGATTTGTGTAGTGGTACAGATTAGCAGAAATGATGAAAGTCAAGAAAGGGGAAAATTTTGAGGTGGTAGCAAACAAAGAGCTAAAATAATTGACCATGGTGTCCCGGTTAGTTTCAAGACAAATGAAACCATACTGGAATGTAATCTGAGAGAAGTGAGACATATCAATTGAAGATTACAATAAAAACAAACAGTGAGTTCGATTAAGAGGAAGGAGAAAAGTAAACGTGCAGAAGATTAATATTAGAGAAGATTTTTTAAACGGAGATCTTGCAGGTAGCATTTTTCAAGGCATATTTAAGTGTGACATATAGCTTAGTCTGAGGACGATTGAGTTATCTTAGGTAAAATGGAGGTCATGGAATTTCAAAAGAGGTCAAAGAATTGTGAGTCCTGGATGTTAATGGTTTCTGTTAATGGATGTGGGAAACACCAAAAGTGATTGTAGAAGACAGAAAAAGATTGAGAGTCAGATACTACAATTAGAAAAACACAAAGCTTTTGATAGAAAATTTCTGAAAATTGAAAAACTTTTGAGCTCATTGATGGCAAGAATTGTGTTTCATTCATCCTTGTCTTTTTTGAATATAGCACATCTAGAACATAGCAAGTGCTCAACAAATATTTGCTGGTTGAACTGACTCCATTGCCTTTTATTCCTCAGAAATGTGTATTTGCCCATGATATGCTAGATAGCTATTTCAAATGGAGAGATCAGGTGATGAAGAGGTGATCTAAGAACTGAGTGACAATAAGAGTCAACCCAAGATCAGGGTAAAGAATATTCTAGGCAGTGGAAAGATCTTGTCAGGAACAATCTTGGCATGTTTCAGAAGCAAAGATTGCTAGTGTAGTTGCAGGTTATTGGTCAAGGGAGAAGAAAATGATGAATGTGGCTGGACACAGTGGCTCATACCTGTAATCTCAGCACTTTGTGAGGCCGAGGTAGGGGGATCACTTGCATCCAGGAGTTTGAGACCAGCCTGGGCAACTTAGCGAGACTTAGTCTTGACAAAAAATAAAAAACTAATTGGGCATGGTGGCACATCCTGTAGTTCTAGCTGCTAGGGAGGCTGAGGAGGGAGGATTGCTTGAGTGCTGGAGGTTGAGGCTGCAGTGAGCCATGATCACACCACTTCACTCAGCTTGGGTGACAGGGTGAGACCCTGTTTCAAAAAAAAAAAAAAGAAGGAAGGACCATCAAATTGAATTAAATTGTGGAGGAAAAAGGATTTAGGCAAACATACATAGAAATTACCAGAACCCAGGTTTACTAATAGGAAAAAGTACTTTCTTTAGGTCAAAGATAAAAATTCATTTTTATCTAATTACAACACAGAGTGTGTCATTTATATTAAATTGCATTCTCCTGAGTTTCCTCATATTTCATAGGTCACCCATCTCATTGCCTTTGCTGCATCCTCCTCTTCTCCAAACCTCCAATGTTGGAGGACCCCCAAGCTCAACCATTCCTTGACCATTTCTCTCACTCTCTCTCTCTTTTTTAGAGATGGGGTCTCACTCTATGGGCCAGGCTGGAGTGCAGTGGTGTGATCATCACTCCCTGTAGCCTCAAACTCCTGGGCTCCAGCAATCCTCCTTACCTCAGCCTTCTGAGTAGCTGGGACTACAAGTGCACACCAGCACACCCGAACCTACATGATCTGATCCCTAGCTTCCTTTGTATATTTTACCTCTTTGCCCCTTATTCTTGTCAAACTGTCCTTCTTGCTCATCATTTCTCTATACACATTCACTTCTTGGGAAATCTCTTCCAGTTTGATGGCTTTAAATACCATATATATGCTGATGATTCTCAAGTTTATGTTTCTAGCTCCAACCTCTTACCTGATCTTCAGACTCATATATGAAACTGCTAACTTAATGTCTCTAATTGGATATCCATTAGCATGGGTAGAAGCTCAACATGTCCAAAACAAAACTCATACCAGAAAACTTTTCTTATCCTAGTCTTTGCTATTTCTAGAAAATTGCATCCTGATTCATCCTTACTACTTAGGACCAAATCTAGGAGTGAGCTTTTTTCTTTCTTTCTTTTTCTTTTCTTTTTCCTTCCTTCCTTCCTTCCTTCCTTGCTTCCTTCCTTCCTTCCTTCCTTTCTCTCTCTCTCTCCACCCCCCACCGCTTCTTTCATTTTGAGACAGGGTCCTATTGTCCAGGCTGGAGTACAGTGGTGTGATCATAGCTCATTGCAGCTTTAAGCACCTGGGCTCAAGGGATTGTTCTGCCTCAGCCTCCTGAGAAGCTGGGGTTGCAGGTGCACACCACCACACCCGGCTAATTTTTTTATTTTTATTTCTTGTAGAGAGGGGGTCTCATTATGTTGCCTAGAGTGGTCTTGAACTCCCGGCTTCAAAGAATCTTCCTGCCTTATCCTTGCAAAGAATTGAGATTACAGGTGTAAGGCACCACATCTGGCGCATTTCTTTCTTTTAAATTGTGTATCCAAACTACACTCAAATCTTGTCAGTTCTAGCTTAAAGTTTAATTCCAAGTCAAACCATTTCTCTCCACCTCCACTACTATCACCTTGTCCAAGTCACTACCATCTATTGCCTGAACTATTGCAAAAGCCTCCTAACTTAACTCCTTACTTCTTTTCCTTCCTGACTATAGATAATTCTCCCCTTAGCAGCCAAAGTGATCTTAAATGATCACATTATGTCACTCTCATGTTCTAAACTTCCAATGGTTTAACATGTCACTTAGAATAACATCAAAATGTCTTACAATGGTGACAGTCATATATGTCCATATATAGTCAGAGTCTTTAATATGCAAATGTTAAGAAAAACTCTATATTGCAGTTTCAGTCAATGACAGACCAAATATGTGATGGTGGTCCCATTAGATTATAATACTGCATTTATACCTCTTTTCCAATTTGTGTGTCCACATTTTTTCAAATGAATTATGTCATTCACTTTTTAAAAAATTGATACATAACAGATATAGACATTTTCAGAGCACATATGAATAATTTGATACATCTATATAATGTGTAAAGTTTTTTGTACCGTTTCTATGTTTAGATATGTTTAAGTATAAAAATACCATTGTGTTACAATTGCCTACAGCATTTAATACAGTAACATGCTGTGCAGGTTTGTAGCCTAGGAGAAACAGTCTACACCATATAGCTGGAGAAACAGTCTATACCATATAACTTAGATGTGTAGTAGGCTATACCATAGGTTTGTGTAAGTACACTCTATGATGTTTGCATAATGACAAAATTGCCTAACAATGCATTCCTCAAATGTATCCCTGTCATTAAGTGATAAGTGCTAGAATGTAAGCCCACATTATGATGTAGTTTCCAAAAACAACTCATGTTACCTTACACTGCATTAACAGAAGTGCATTGTTTGAAGAAAGGCAGGTGCTAGTTCTTCCAGTCAGACTACTTTGGAATGTTATATTTGACTCCAGGCACTTCATATTAAGATATCTTAATATTAATTGCTGTATTTCAGATAAAGAATGTTTTTCAGAAGACAGAAAGTAGGATGGTAAAAGGACAAATTATGCCTGGTGAGGAACCATTACAGGAACCGAGAATCTTTACCTTGAATACTTGATGATTAGGGAAGAGCCATGAAAGTTCTCCCCAAATAGCTAAACATCTGCCACATGAAAAAGGGGGTATACATATTCTTTTCTTTTTTTTTTTAGATGAAGTCTCACTCTTGTCCCCCAGGCTAGAGTGTGATGGCGTGATCTCGGCTCATTGCAACCTCTGCCTCCCGGGTTCAAGCAATTCTTCTGCTTCAGCCTCCCGAGTAGCTGGGATTACAGGCACCTGCCATCACACCTGGCTAATTTTTGTACTTTTAGTAGAGACACGGTTTCACCATGTTGGCCAGGCTGGTCTCGAACTCCTGACCTCAGGTGATCCACCTGTCTCAGCCTCCCAAAGTGCTGGGATTACAGGCATGAGCCACTGTGCCTGGCCGGCTGTTATACTTATTCTTGTTAGCTACAGGGGAAAAAAAACAATGGTAGGAGGTTTCAGAGAGGAAGCTCAGCACTTACAAGGAAGAACTGCTCAACAGTTTTTTCCAAACCAATGTTCTGCAGCGTACATGTTAATTTAAACAAGGTATCTTGTGTCTTTACTGCAGGATATCTCAGAGTCTTTAATATGCAAATGTTAAGAAAAGGATACAGTATGCCACATTTCCCAAACTTATTTGTCCATAGACACTTCTATTTACAGAACTGTGTTAATGTCTCTTGAAACAATGGTCATAGAACAGTTTGGGTTAAAGCTATTTAAAAATGAACAGGCTGTCTTCTAAAGGAGTAGGGTCAGGTTCACATCAAGATATCTGGAAAAACTGGTTGGTCTGGCTGCCGCTCTTATATTTCTGAAATGCTTGTCATTAAAACTGAAGTATATAAAGTTTGGGCACTTAGAGCAATTTCTCTTACCTGTTAACAGTAACATTATCTGTTAATATTAACAGGTGCCTGTTAACATGAACATTGTTACGTATTAACATTAACAGTATGAGACCCAACACTGTTCTACATGAGAATAATGTTTTAAAACCAATGGAAATGAAGCTCTCTAGAACAGTGATTCTGAACTTTTTTCCTAGTAACACACTGCACAGTCGTGCCATTCCCGTGTCTGTCCTCTGATTCATTCATTGTGTATGAGGTAATGTTTCTCAATTTTTTTTCATGACCATACACATACACAAACAAAACCCTCATGCTCTACCATCCCTACTCCCACAAATTTTGATAGGAACCTCACATAGGACCATGCTCCTCTATTGACATTTCCATTTTAGAACCTCAAACCTAGAGCATTAATGTAACTTTTTTTGAATAAAAAGAAAATTTCTAGGCTTCAAGGCAGAAATGGTATTTAAAACTTATGGGAAAAGTAAATCAGGAAAACAACATCAAAAAGGAACTACTTTGATATTTTTGAGGCTAAATGGAAACATTAATAAAGGAAGTTGGACTTATAGAAACATTGTTGTTATTGAATATTTGCTGCAATAAGCAAGACAAGGTGTAATAATAAGAAAAAGCTGGATCAGCAAGGTTGACAAGACAAGGTTGCAAATTATAATTATTGTTTATACAACTGTTCACTGAAGGGCATAGACCAGCGCCATAGAGGCTAAGAAGAATGTACTCTGTAAAAGAATGACTGGCTCTTCAGGATTTCTACAACTTACACCTGTTCCTGTTCTCCAGAACAATGTTTACTAATGCTTACTATCTCTAATCTGGTTTCCATGATCTATCCATACTGAGAAAGGAGGGTTTGGATAAGTAAATAAAATACTATCATAATCAGAGAGATATAACTTCTCCTGTGTTTTAATAAAATGGCATTCTGCTTCCTACCATCTATATTGACAAATTTACTAAAGTCATATCAAACCTAGAGAGCTGACAAGCCAGGCCCTGGCTGGACCAGATCACATCATACATACCAATTCTTGAGGCCCCTGTGAATAGCATAATTACATTGCTTATAAAAAAAAAAACTTGAAATACCATTTCTTTGTTATTCTGCAATTTTGCCTCTAAATCAGCACCTCAAAAATTAGGGCCATCAGTCCTAAATGGCAGTTACCTATAAAGGAATTCCCATAACTTTGCATACCCACAGAGAATGATCTCCATTATACGTGTGTATTTTCATGGTCATTTGGAGACACCAGGCCAGCTCCAGCAACACTGCACAAGTTTTAATGAGTTCACTGATGGACGGGCAGACATAGAGTCTCTGGGGCCTTGTTTAAAGATGTACTGGAAAACCAGTCCTGGAACTTCTGTCATTGGAGAAAGGTGGAGGAGATCAGCTCTGATATGCTGCTATCTCTCTTGTCTAATCCAGTAGAAGAAAAAAAATGCTTCAAGACAGGGCCAGGAATTGGGGTCAGGACAGAATCTAGGGAGTCATCAGAGTTTTGTCTTCTTGGTCTCTAGTTTGATCATGTTCCCCTGGATGTGAGGAATGTGCTTATCTGCTGGACCCCGCATATCCTCTGTCTTTACAGGAACATAGTAGTAGCCCATGATGGAGAAGATCAGGCAGATCACCAGCAGGAGGCAGGAAAACAAAATGAATTCGGCCCACTGCAGGGGGAAATAAATATGAGAAGAATATGGAGAAACCTGAAACTAAAGAGATCTTTACAGGATGAGGAGTGGGGAGCAGACTGACCTGGGATCACCAGTTTAACCAGACTTTTGCTGGACAAAGACTGGGTTCACTGGCCTCTCCTCACATAGGTATATTGTAGTCATTATTGCCACTTACATATGTCTATTTTCCTGGTAAAGTCTGTATATCTAACCCATTTCATGTCACAGCACTGAATGGGGAATGTGGGAAGCAGAGAGATGGGGGAAAGGGAGAAGAGAAAGCTGGAGGAAAAACTTGAGTAGAAATGAATCCTGCTTCCCTCAGATCCATACCTGTACCAGGCCACTGAACTGTGCCACAACAAGCACGATGATATTCCCAACTGCAATTGTCAATAGCCAAGCTGCCTGGAGCACAGATTTCATGCTAGAGGGAGCCTGGGGATGACACAAGTTTGAAAGTAAACAAACCCCCTTCACTGCCCTCATGCCCCATGCATCCAGGAAACTTCTCCCACAAAAGCTTCCAAGTTAGAACTTCTCTTATTAAGTTCAGCTATCACATTGATTCAGAGGGTGTTAATAATGTAAACAGTAAGAATAAGATGAAGCTCCTAACTGAATATATTTAAACTCATTATGTCATATAATCTTCATTACAATCCTAAGAGATAAGTTCTATTCGTATTCTTATACATTTAAAAAATAGTATTACAGACTGGGCGCAGTAGCTCAAGCCTGTAATCCTAGCACTTTGGGAGGCCAAGGTGGGCAGATCATCCAAGGTCAGGAGTTAGAGATCAGCCTGGCCAACATGGTGAAACCCTGTCTCTACTAAAAATACAAAAATTAGCCAGGAATGGTGGTGTGCGCCTATAATCCCAGCTACTCAAGAGGCTGAGGCAGGAGAATCGCTTGAGCCGGGGAGGCAGATGGAGTCTCGCTCTGTCGCTCAGGCTGGAATGCAGTGAGCTGAGATCGCGCCACTGCACTCCAGCCTGGGCGACAGCATTACAGAGATAGTAATTTACTTGCTCAAGGTTACACAATAGGTCATGCAGCCAAAATTTGAACACGGGAAGTCTGACTCTGCAGCTCTTCATTTTAATCTTTAATCTCTTTCCTAGAACCCCAAAATCATAGACTCCCATGCTGTACTGTCATGACCTGGGGAGTTAAGATGTTCAGGTCATATATGTTCAGGGTCATAAATAAGGTACCCAAGGCCAAAAGAGATAACATACCTATTTAAGTCAGTGCTAGAATTAAAATTCATTGTCCTTCAAGCAATGCCTCAATTTCTACCTTCTATTTGCAAAAACTTACCTGAGAATAAGAAAACTCAAGACCTGTGACAGAGAACATGACCTCCCCAGCTGTAACCAGGGCATATTGTGGTAGCTGCCACGCAATGGACATTTTGTTGGCTGGAATGTCTTCAATCTTCCAGGCCTGAAGACCCTGATTGGTGTTCTTAGGGAAAGAGAAAATGGAAATGGACTTGTCAGTAGTCTCAAGTAAATATTTCTAACTACAGCATTCTACGATCTTATATCCATCCTTTTTGTATTTTCATTCTTCAGCCATTTTCAGGAAATTGAGCATTTCTACACAATTCCAGCTTTTCAAAACTTCTTTTCGTAATATTATGCTCACTCGCCTAGATTCAATCAGATATCATTATTGACAGAGACTTTAAATAAGAGAATATTTTGATATTGCAGTTTGGATTTCCACCGTTTTGCCCTATCAGGCATTTTGATCCTGGACAACATTTTAAACATAAAATGGCATCTGAATTACACAAACAAAATAAATTTTCAGATAATTCCCTTGGTAAGGGTGTGTTTATTCTTTGAGCAGAGATTATACTTCTCAGGCTATGCCCAGGCCTGCTATGGTTATCAGCCTGGTAGAAAAGAAGTAGTGGAAATTGAAGAAAATGAACAAGATTAGAAGAACAGATTCTTTTGCAACAAGGGTTAAAGTGTTGCTGCTTTTGGCCAGGAGGGTTAAAAGAGACATGGAGGTGGCTGGAGCCAAGATGGCCGAATAGGAACAGCTCCGGTCTACAGTTCCCAGCGTGAGCAATGCAGAAGACGGGTGATTTCTGCGTTTCCATCTGAGGTACCGGGCTCATCTCACTAGGGAGTGCCAGACAGTGGGCGCAGGTCAGTGGGTGCAGCACACCGTGTGCGAGCCAAAGCAGGGCGAGGCATTGCCTCACTCGGGAAGTGCGAGGGGTCAGGGAGTTCCCTTTCCTAGTCAAAGAAAGGGGTGACAGACGGCACCTGGAAAATCGGGTCACTCCCACCGGAATACTGCGCTTTTCCGACGGGCTTAAAAAACGGCGCACCACGAGATTATATCCCACACCTGGCTGGGAGGGTCCTACGCCCACGGAGTCTCGCTGATTGCTAGCACAGCAGTCTGAGATCAAATGCAAGGTGGCAGCGAGGCTGGGGGAGGGGCGCCCGCCATTGCCCAGGCTTGCTTAGGTAAACAAAGCAGCCGAGAAGCTCCAACTGGGTGGAGCCCACCACAGCTCAAGGCGGCCTGCCTGCCTCTGTAGGCTCCACCTCTGGGGGCAGGGCACAGACAAACAAAAAGACAGCAGTAACCTCTGCAGACTTAAATGTCCCTGTCTGACAGCTTTGAAGAGAGCAGTGGTTCTCCCAGCATGCAGCTGGAGATCTGAGAACGGGCAGACTGCCTCCTCAAGTGGGTCCCTGACCCCTGACCCCTGAGCAGCCTAACTGGGAGGCACCCCCCAGCAGGGGCAGACTGACACCTCACATGGCCAGGTACTCCAACAGACCTGCAGCTGAGGGTCCTGTCTGTTAGAAGGAAAACTAACAAACAGAAAGGACATCCACACCAAAAACCCATCTGTACATCACCATCATCAAAGACCAAAAGTAGATAAAACCACAAAGATGGGGAAAAAACAGAACAGAAAAACTGGAAACTCTAAAAAGCAGAGCACCTCTCCTCCTCCAAAGGAACGCAGTTCCTCATCAGCAACGGAACAAAGCCGGATAGAGAATGACTTTGATGAGCTGAGAGAAGAAGGCTTCAGGCAATCAAATTACTCTGAGCTATGAGAGGACATTCAAACCAAAGGCAAAGAAATTGAAAACTTTGAAAAAAATTTAGAGGAATGTATAACTAAAATAACCAATACAGAGAAGTGCTTAAAGGAGCTGATGGAGCTGAAAACCAAGGCTCGAGAACTACGTGAAGAATGCAGAAGCCTCAGGAGCCGATGCGATCCACTGGAAGAAAGGGTATCAGCAATGGAAGATGAAATGAATGAAATGAAGCGAGAAGGGAAGTTTAGAGAAAAAAGAATAAAAAGAAACGAGCAAAGCCTCCAAGAAATATGGGACTATGTGAAAAGACCAAATCTACGTCTGATTGGTGTACCTGAAAGTGATGGGGAGAATGGAACCAAGTTGGAAAACACTCTGCAGGATATTATCCAGGAGAACTTCCCCAATCTAGCAAGGCAGGCCAACGTTCAGATTCAGGAAATACAGAGAACGCCACAAAGATACTCCTCGAGAAGAGCAACTCCAAGACACATAATTGTCAGATTCACCAAAGTTGAAATGAAGGAAAAAATGTTAAGGGCAGCCAGAGAGAAAGGTCGGGTTACCCTCAAAGGGAAGCCCATCAGACTAACAGCGGATCTCTCGGCAGAAACCCTACAAGCCAGAAGAGAGTGGGGGCCAATATTCAACATTCTTAAAGAAAAGAATTTTCAACCCAGAATTTCATATCCAGCCAAACTAAGCTTCATAAGTGAAGGAGAAATAACATCCTTTACAGGCAAGCAAATGCTGAGAGATTTTGTCACCACCAGGCCTGCCCTAAAAGAGCTCCTGAAGGAAGTGCTAAACATGGAAAGGAACAACCGGTACCAGCCGCTGCAAAATCATGCCAAAATGTAAAGACCATCGAGACTAGGAAGAAACTGCATCAACTAACGAGCAAAATAACCAGCTAACATCATAATGACAGGATCAAATTCACACATAACAATATTAACTTTAAATGTAAATGGACTAAATGCTCCAATTAAAAGACACAGACTGGCAAATTGGATAAAGAGTCAAGACCCATCAGTGTGCTGTATTCAGGAAACCCATCTCACGTGCAGAGACACACATAGGCTCAAAATAAAAGGGTGGAGGAAGATCTACCAAGCAAATGGAAAAAAAAAAATGCAGGGGTTGCAATCCTAGTCTCTGATAAAACAGACTTTAAACCAACAAAGATCAAAAGAGACAAAGAAGGCCATTACATAATGGTAAAGGGATCAATTCAACAAGAAGAGCTAACTATCCTAAATATATATGCACCCAATACAGGAGCACCCAGAGTCATAAAGCAAGTCCTCAGTGACCCACAAAGAGACTGAGACTCCCACACATTAATAATGGGAGACTTTAACACCCCACTGTCAACATTAGACAGATCAAAGAGACAGAAAGTCAACAAGGACACCCAGGAATTGAACTCAGCTCTGCACCAAGCAGACCTAATAGACATCTACAGAACTCTCCACCCCAAATCAACAGAATGTACATTTTTTTCAGCACCACACCACACCTATTCCAAAATTGACCACATAGTTGGAAGTAAAGCTCTCCTCGGCAAATGTAAAAGAATAGAAATTATAACAAACTATCTCTCAGACCACAGTTCAATCCAACTAGAACTCAGGATTAAGAATCTCACTCAAAACTGCTCAACTGCATGGAAACTGAAAAACCTGCTCCTGAATGACTACTGGGTACATCACGAAATGAAGGCAGAAATAAAGATGTTCTTTGAAACCAACGAGAACAAAGACACAACATACCAGAATCTCTGGGACACATTCAAAGCAGTGTGTAGAAGGAAATTTATAGCACTAAATGCCCACAAGAGAAAGCAGGAAAGATTCAAAATTGACACCCTAACATCACAATTAAAAGAACTAGAAAAGCAAGAGCAAACACATTCAAAAGCTAGCAGAAGGCAAGAAATAACTAAAATCAGAGCAGAACTAAAGGAAATAGAGACACAAAAAACCCTTCAAAAAATTAATGAATCCAGGAGCTGGTTTTTTGAAAGGATCAACAAAATTGATAGACTGCTAGCAAGACTAATAAAGAAAAAAAGAGAGAAGAATCAAATAGACGCAATAAAAAATGATAAAGGAGATATCACCACCAATCCCACAGAAATACAAACTACCATCAGAGAATACTACAAACACCTCTACACAAATAAACTAGAAAGTCTAGAAGAAATGGATAAATTCCTGGACACATACACCCTCCCAAGACTAAACCAGGAAGAAGTTGAATCTCTGAATAGACCAATAACAGGATGTGAAATTGTGGCAATAATCAATAGCTTACCAACCAAAAAGAGTCCAGGACCAGATGGATTCACAGCCGAATTCTACCAGAGATACAAGGAGGAACTGATACCATTCCTTCTGAAACTATTCCAATCAATAGAAAAAGAGGGAATCCTCCCTAACTCATTTTATGAGGCCAGCATCATTCTGATACCAAAGCCGGGCAGAGACACAACCAAAAAAGAGAATTTTAGACCAATATCCTCGATGAACATGGATGCAAAAATCCTCAATAAAATACTGGCAAAACGAATCCAGCAGCACATCAAAAAGCTTATCCACCATGATCAAGTGGGCTTCATCCCTGGGATGCAAGGCTGGTTCAATATACGAAAATCAATAAATGTAATCCAGCATATAAACAGAAACAAAGACAAAAACCACATGATTATCTCAATAGATGCAGAAAAGGCCTTTGACAAAATTCAACAACGCTTCATGCTAAAAACTCTCAATAAATTAGGTATTGATGGGATGTATTTCAAAATAATAAGAGCTATCTATGACAAACCCACAGCCAATATCATACTGAATGGGCAAAAACTGGAAGCATTCCCTTTGAAAACTGGCACAAGACAGGGATGCCCTCTCTCTCCACTCCTATTCAACATAGTGTTGGAAGTTCTGGCCAGGGCAATCAGGCAGGAGAAGGAAATAAAGGGTATTCAATTAGGAAAAGAGGAAGTCAAATTGTCCCTATTTGCAGACGACATGATTGTATATCTAGAAAACCCCATTGTCTCAGCCCCAAATCTCCTTAAGCTGATAAGCAACTTCAGCAAAGTCTCAGGATACAAAATCAATGTACAAAAATCACAAGCATTCTTATACACCAATAACAGACAAACAGAGAGCCAAATCATGAGTGAACTCCCATTCACAATTGCTTCAAAGAGAATAAAATACCTAGGAATCCAACTTACAAGGGATGTGAAGGACCTCTTCAAGGAGAACTACAATCCACTGCTCAAGGAAATAAAAGAGGATACAAACAAATGGAAGAACATTCCATGCTCATGGGTAGGAAGAATCAATATTGTGAAAATGGCCATACTGCCCAAGGTAATTTATAGATTCAATGCCATCCCCATCAAGCTACCAATGACTTTCTTCAAAGAATTGGAAAAAACTACTTTACAGTTCATATGGAACCAAAAAAGAGCCCGCATTGCCAAGTCAATCCTAAGCCAAAAGAACAAAGCTGGAGGCATCACACTACCTGACTTCAAACTATACTACAAGGCTACAGTAATCAAAACAGCATGTTACTGGTACCAAAACAGAGATATAGATCAATGGAACAGAACAGAGCCCTCAGAAATAATGCCACATATCTACAACTATCTGATCTTTGACAAACCTGAGAAAAACAAGCAATGGGGAAAGGATTCCCTATTTAATAAATGGTGCTGGGAAAACTGGCTGGCCATATGTAGAAAGCTGAAACTGGATCCCTTCCTTACACCTTATACAAAAATCAATTCAAGATGGATTAAAGACTTAAACGTTAGACCTAAAACCATAAAAACCCTAGAAGAAAACCTAGGCATTACCATTCAGGACATAGGCATGGGCAAGGACTTCATGTCTAAAACACCAAAAGCAATGGCAACAAAAGCCAAAATTGACAAATGGGATCTAATTAAACTAAAGAGCTTCTGCACAGCAAAAGAAACTACCATCAGAGTGAATAGGCAACCTAAAAAATGGGAGAAAATTTTCGCAACCTACTCATCTGACAAAGGGCTAATATCCAGAATCTACAATGAACTCAAACAAATTTACAAGAAAAAAACAAACAACCCCATCAAAAAGTGGGCGAAGGACATGAACAGACACTTCTCAAAAGAAGACATTTATGCAGCCAAAAAACACGTGAAAAAATGCTCATCATCACTGGCCATCAGAGAAATGCAAATCAAAACCACAATGAGATACCATCTCACATCAGTTAGAATGGCAATCATTAAAAAGTCAGGAAACAACAGGTGCTGGAGAGGATGTGGAGAAATAGGAACACTTTTACACTGTTGGTGGGACTGTAAACTAGTTCAACCATTGTGGAAGTCAGTGTGGCGATTCCTCAGGGATCTAGAACTAGAAATACTATTTGACCCAGCCATCCCATTACTGGGTTTATACCCAAAGGACTGTAAATCATGCTGCTATAAAGACACATGCACACATATGTTTATTGCGGCATTATTCACAATAGCAAAGACTTGGAACCAACCCAAATGTCCAACAATGATAGACTGGATTAAGAAAATGTGGCACATATACACCATGGAATACTATGCAGCCATAAAAAATGATGAGTTCATGTCCTTTGTAGGGACATGGATGAAATTGGAAATCATCATTCTCAGTAAACTATCGCAAGAACAAAAAACCAAACACCGCATATTCTCACTCATAGGTGGGAATTGAACAATGAGATCACATGGACACAGGAAGGGGAACATCACACTCTGGGGACTGTTGTGGGGTGCGCGGAGGGGGGAGGGATAGCACTGGGAGATATACCTAATGCTAGATGACGAGTTAGTGGGTGCAGCGCACCAGCATGGCACATGTATACATATGTAACTAACCTGCACAATGTGCACATGTACCCTAAAACTTAAAGTATAATAATAGAAAAAAAATGGCACACCAAAGGGATCAAGTTAATTAAATTAATTAATTAGTAAAATAAATAGAACTTTGTAGATTGGGTTCTCATCAAACCTCTAGAAATGTTCTCTCTTTTTTTTATTCACTATCTTTTAGTCTTTAATACAGTATGAATAATAATGAAATAACAAAATTAAAGTCAAGATTGACATCAAAATTAAAATCAGTTACTCTGCCCTGACTGCTAGGACAATTGTTTTTGACAGATCACAGTTAACTGATCCCCAAACTTTGTGTAGGGATTGACATTATTATCAGTTTCAGTATTTCAGACTGTGACATGCTAGCAGATCAAATTTCCAGAGAGTGAGAAGATCTGCATATGAAGCTGGCCAAGAAGACATTAGTACTTTTTCATAAATAACTTGTGTTTGATTGGAGACATAAAAAGACTGGAGCAAGCTGTGGCATCTCACAGTGATGGCTCAAGATAAATTATGTTTCTCCTTCCCCAAGACCCTTTGCTTGTTGTTGATGTTATCTCTTAACAACCCCTACAGAGACAGTGGGCTTTCTAAAGTCACTGTAGAGCCAGGTGCGGTGACTCACGCTTGTAATCTCAACACTTTGGGAGGCTGAGGCTGGTGGATCATCTGAGGTCAGGAGTTTGAGACCAGCCTGGCCAACACGGCAAAACCCCATCTCTACTAAAAATACAAAAATTAGCTGGGCATGGTGGTGGTGGGTGCCTGTAATCCCAGATACTCGGGGAGGTTGAGGCAGGAGAATCACTTTAACCCGGGAGGCAGAGGTTGCAGTGAGTCGAGATGGTGCCACAGCACTCCAGCCTGCGCGATGAGAGCGAAACTCTGTCTCAAAAAAAATAAAAATAAAAATAATTAAAGTCACTGTAGAACCTGTCATCTTATGCTAGAAATAAATATACGTGTCTGCTTTGCCACAGAGTCTTCTCTTTTGTTTTCTGCCCCTGCCTAGAGGATCTCAGGAGATATATGTATATGGAGAGAGGGTAAAGAGGTGGCTGTGAGCTACTTACATTAGTAATAACAAACAGATATGCTGCACCAAAGTCTAGAAGACCCAAATTCAGAGAAAAGTTCTTATCTTCTGTTCTACAGTGCACTGCAGGGTATCTGGAACAGGATGAATTTAGGTTAGAATAAATATCAAGGCTTGGAAAAGCATTCCCATCTCCAGGTGAAAGTGATCTCATCTCTCTACTGATGGTGAGGAAAGCAGTGAAGCCACTAATTATCTTTGAAGAGAAATGTTTCTTGGAGTAGGTTATTTTCATGCCAGGCTTCTGTCCCTGATTTGAGCTCTTTATTGCTTGTCAGGTATTTTCTAAAATATTCAACCTAAATAAAGAAGTTACAAATCATATTCTTTTGTTAACTTAAGTACCATGTGAATTTTCCTCATGCAAATCTTATGACTTAGTAGAACAGGCTATAACAGTGAACCTGAGAAGATAAGCTCTAAGTAATGAAGTGCCAGTGTAAGGTACCAAAGTACCTTCTTTAGTAGAAATGGAAACCAATAATAAACTTTGAGAAACTCACAGAGACGGACTGTGTTAACTATACAGAGATGGGCTGTGTTAACTATATAGTGTGGTCTTCACGGCAATCGTGATCTCAACATATCTGTGCAGAAAAAAAGTGAGACTGAGGGAAGGAAGCAAGAGTTGGAAAAGATCAGTAGTGCGTCTATACTCAAAATTAGACCACATGCACCTAAGTTCCCCACCTATATACAAAGATAGCACTTAAAAAACAATTATTGACAAAAGTAAAATGTCCACAGGGGCAATGCACTTACTCTCCTCTTTGCACAGTTCTATAAGCAGACACACCATAGTCTTCACCAACATTGAGAGAGGTATCTGTACTCAGGGAGATGTTGACATCTTTATGCAAAGTGTTAACAAACCTGAGGGTAGAGATATTATTTACATATCAAACAAACAGGAACACCTGATAAAAGAGGTTAGGGGCCTTTTATGTTTTGGGTATAACTATATCCCCAGTGCCCAGGTGCCTAGGATAGTGGCTGGCACATAAAAGGTACCTAATGTATATTGTTAACTAGACGAATGAACCCACACGTAAAAAGTAATCCATAGTCTTAGCTGTCCCTAAGTTTCTTTTTCTTGAACTTTTATCTGCCACATCCTCACCAGACCTCTAGCTAGACGGACACTATCATGATCATTCATGGAAATCTGAGTTTCCTCACTAATCCAGCTTAGGTGCATCTAATTTATTTCCCTTATAATGGTGGAATCTATCAACTGAGACTTTACTAAGAAAAATAAGATAATTATGCATATATAAAGATATGATAGTATTTACATAAAACTGATATCTTATCCTCTTATAAATGAAGTCCAATGTGACCTATGCAAAACTCAGACTCCCAGCCCAGAGTAGGTTATTATAATTGTTTTGGAGTCTGCAGAAACTTTGGACCCTTCCAAGACCATCTTTCTATTTTTCTGAACCTGGCACCTAGATTGTCCTCTCAGGATGGGTTTTGGTACATTTCTGTTTTGATAGCTTTTGATTTGGTCTCTGGCCCCAGGAATAAGAAGGACATTTCCCTTTAGAGTCCTGAATGTTGATTCCTAGACTTTAGATCATTCTACACTGACCTAGAAAATGCCCCTTCTGGGGGCCCATGGCTCTCTGACCTCACATTGTCTTATTTTGAGCTGTTTACTTTTTTTGAAGCATATTCAAAAGCAAGTTATTATGACTGTCCCAACCTTCAGTGAAATCCAGACTTTTCACTAAAAGTTCTCCACTAAAATGCTATTCTCAACAGCAACCACTTGACCTTGGTGGCCATAGACCTGTGTATCTGTCCATTTCATATCTAATACCAGCCACAGAGAACACATGTCCTCTTGGGTACTCCATCTCTGTAACTGTCCCTCACCATTTGACAAGACCCTTCAGCCTTATCTGGATTCAAAACTAAGTCTTTTGACTCCAAATGTGTGCTATACCATGATGCCTCTACAGGCTTATAATAAAAACTATACTTTAAAAGATATATATTCAACTATCAAAAATGAAGGGAGGATTATTTTCTCACTTCCAAATTTCTCTCTGGCGATCACAGAGAGAAAAGTACTCAGTTATTTTCCTGAGAGCAAGATAAATAGATAAAATTCAGCAGAAAGGATTTATGCCCCAGAGTACAGGGGGCATACACAGATAGAGTCATCTTCGAATCCCACATGAGAAAAGAAGCCTATCTGCCTCTCACTGTCCTAGAAAATGCCTTTTGACACCAGTGCCCCTGGCATTCTACGAGAGGGAATTCCTGTTCAGAACAAGTAGAATGCAGCCCCAAAGATTAGAAGAGATCCAAGATTCAAGAAAACAGAGTGGCCTGGAATCTCATTGACATTCAAACCTCACGGTTGTCATCCCATTGGTTGTTCTGCTTTCTGTATCCTTTACCTACAACAGAGGAAAGTAAAAATCAGTAACAGCTGATGAAATAAGACCTATACTCAGAAAATTTGATCATCAGGCAGATCCTTGGTAAGATGTTGATGAGACAGTCATATTACTTTGAGATGACAACTGAAAACACAGGCAATTCCTCAAATTACCATCATGCTGGAGATACTGTTCCCATCTTCACGAATGACAAGACTGTACCAGTTCTTCTCCTGCACAGAATGCTCAGTGTAGAGAGACAAATTGTGATATTTCAGGTGGAAGTGAAAATCCTGGCTTTTTGTTTTCAGGTGCAGTTTGGAATAGTGTGGTGTTTTCTGTAAAATGAAGAATATAAAATGAAGGTCACGTACACCTTCTACTGCATATTGGACATCACGATGTAGCATCTCAGGGTAGGTGACCTCATCAGACACTTTCAACCTAGTAATTCCTTTCTTTAACCTAGCCATTTTATTTCTTGGAATTTACCCTAAGAAATAATCAGAGCCATGCATAAATATTTATGAATAAGAATGTTCATTGTAGGATTATGTATAATAATAAAAACGGAATACCTATGTGGAAATGTCTAAATAAACTATGGTATATCTATAGAATGGAATATTATATGCCCATTAAAATCATGTGCTCAAAGATTATCTAAAGACATGGGAAGATGCTTATGATACAATTAATGTTAAGGAAAAATCAAGATCAATATAGCATACAGAGTTTCTAATTCATTCAGGTACACACCTCACCTGAAAGGATTTGATGGACTCTATCAACAGAGAATTGTTTTCATTTCCCACCACTGTCACCTTCACCTCATCATCTGCCAGATTCAAGACTTGTAGGAAAACCTCCTGGGGACCTGGCTGGGCTGGGGCCATTTCCTTAGAGCAAAGAACACATGTCAGAATCACCAACAAATAATCCTTCAGATACAATGGCAACACATATCTCAGTTGTTTCTGACAGCCTAGTCCACTAGCCAAGTAGACATAGTTTTCTCCCTCTGAAAAATATTTGGCTTAGAAAACTCTAAAGGCAGCTTGGAGAGGGAAACATCAGCTCATTGTAGCAAGTACCAATGCCAGCTTACAAACTCGATGCTTTTTGACTCAGCTGTGGCCTCATCCGTAATAGTGGCTATTCAATCTGCCAAAAGGTTTTTACTTGAGTATGTAGAAAGGCATCACATAAGCCTGTGTTCCCTAAGGAGAGGGCTCTCTTGGATATTAGTGTTTGAGAATTCCCTGAAAATACATTCTGAGTCACTCAGGTGGGAGGTGGGCCTCATTTTGCATTGCTGTTTTACCCCTGTATCTACTTATTTATCACAAATACTTATGATGCACCTCTTATAAAACAGGTACTGTGCTAGGTCCCAGGGAATCATGACTGAACAAGTCAAAAGAGCAAATAAGAAAGATATGATCCTGCCCTCATAGAGCTTAAGAATTACTGAACTCACATTTATTTTTATCTCTACAGCTGCCGCAACTGCAAATGCCAGGCATGCTAGGATCATACCAACAGCCATTTTCCTAAGTGATCTGTGGTGGAAAGGAGAAACAATTATATCTAAACTTTAGACTCTAAAGGATGAAATCCAAACTCTGTAGCCTATTATTAAAGACTGCATTAGACTGTTCTTGCATTGCTGTAAAGAAATACCTGAGACTGGGTAATTTATAAAGAAAAGAAGTTTAATTGGCTTATGGTTCTGTAGCTTTACAGGAAGCACAGTGCTGGCATCTTCCAGCTTCTGGTGAAGCATCGAGGAGCTTTCAATCATGGGAGAAGCCAAAGGTGGAATAGGCATGTCACATGGTGAAAGCAGAAGCAAGCGAGGAGATGGGAGGTGCCACACACTTTTAAATGACCAGATCTTGTGAGAACTCATTCACTATCATGAAGATAGCACCACAGAATGGTGCTAAACCCTTCATGAGAATTCACTCCCATGATCCAGTCATGTCCCACCAGGCCCCACCTTTATCACTGGGAATTACATTTCAACATGAGATTTTGGCAGGGACAAATATTCAAACCATATCATTCCATCTCTAGCCCCCCAAAAATCTCATGTCCTTCTCACATTGCAAAATACAATTATATCTTCCCAATAGTTCCCCAAATTTTAACTCATTCCAGCACAAACTCAATCAAAAGTTCCAAGTCCAAAGTCTCATTTGAAATAAGGCAAGTCCCTTCCACCCATGAGCCTATAAAATCAAAACAACTTATTGACTCCCCAAATAAAATGGGGGTATAGATACTGGGTAAACATTCCCATTCCAAAAGGGAGAAACTGGCCAAAACAAATGGGCTACAGGCCCCAGGCAAGTCTGAAACACAGCAGGGCAGTTATTAAATCTTAAAGTTCCAGAATAATCTCCTTTGACTCCATGTCCCACATTCAGGGCACACCAATACAAGGGGTGGGCTCCCAAGGACTTGGATAGCTCCACCCTTGTGGCTTTGCAGAGTTCAGCCCCTGTGGCTGCTCTCACAGGTTGTTGAGTGCCCGTGGTTTTCCAGGCCCAGGGTGCAAGCTGCCAGTGGGTCTATCATTCTGGGGTCTGGAGGATGGTGGCCCCCTTCTCACAGCTGCACTAGGCAGTGTCCTTGTGGGGACTCTGTGTGGGAGCTCCAACCCCACATTTTACCTCCACACTGCCCTAGTAGAGGTACTCTCTGGGGGCTCCACCCCTGCAGCCGGTTTCTGCATGAACACCCACACTTTCTCATACAGCCTCTGAAATCTAGGTGAAGGGTGCCAAGCATTCTTCATTCTTGCACTCTGTATGCCTGCAGGCTTAACACCATGTAGAAGCCACCAAGGTTTATGGCTTGTACCCTCTGGAGAAACAGACATGTCACATGGTGAAAGCAGGAGCAAGTGAAGGGTAGGGAGATACTACATGCTTTTAAATGGTCAGATCCCACTAGAACTCACTATCATAAGGACAGCACCAACGGGATAGCACTAAACCATTTATGAGGAATTCATCCCCATGATCCGACTACCTCCCACCAGACCCCACCTCCAACATCCAACATTGGGGATTACATTTCAACATGAGATTTGAGTGGGTACAAATATTCAAACTGCATCAAAGACTTTTCCTGATTTGATCCCAATTACTTTCCTTTTTTAAATCCATGTTTCCATGACCAATTACTTTTCAAGGGATTTCCTAGAACTCCCCTTCATACATTCTTCTTTCTTCTTGTTCTTGAGTCACATTGAACTGCTCTTCTCTGTGATACACCACATTTACCCACCTCCATCTTTGCTTATGATGGTTTTTCTATTCGCTATGTCATAACACCAAAAATAATGGCAATACAATCAGGTTTATTGAACAAATGCCATATGCCAAGTGCTGTACATGCTTTACCTCACATTCCTCTGCAGAAATCTGTTGGCTTTGGCAGGGGAGGGACTTTTTCTTTTCTACCTCTCCTTGGCACTTGATCTTCCCTTCTTAGGACACTTATTTTACCTGTGTAGTAGTTGTATTTTATATATATATATATATATATATATATATATATATATATATATATATATATATATAGTCTAGCCCCTTTACTAAGTAATAAACTGTTTGAGGGAAATGTTGTTTTTTTTTTTGCTTGATTTATATTTTCATGACACTTGGTCCTAAACTTCCCAACATTTGCTCAATGAACAAATGACAAAGGGCCATTTTCATCTGGTAAAGTGGTCATCACAATGAAATTGCTATTAAATCAAGAATGAAAGAAGGCTTGAAACTTTCTTTTGCCAAACTCTAAAAAAGACTAGTCCTTCTATTTAGAAAAAATTTCAGGCAGTAATTGGGAATAATTCAGTCCCCAGTCCTACTAGGTTCCCCATTTGTTTTGTAGGGACAACAGGAGATTTAAAGGGATTAGTAGTCATCAAAGGCCTTGAGTTTCTTTGAAGAGACAACATTCAAGAACAAAGAAGAAAGTTGGTTTAGGAGCTAAATTTCACATATTTTTGGTTTGGCATGAAACCTAGACCTGCCCCTCCACCACCATTACACAGTTAAGTCCACAGTAATGGCTTTGACTCTCATTAATTATATCTAATTCACATTTTTCAGGGTCAATAGGCAGTTAGTCTAACATGGAAAAATAGAAGCAGATAGATGATAAACTAAAACCAATCCTCACTAAGAAAAATACTGACATTGAATCTTTTTCAAACTGGGCAAAGACTGAGTCAATTTAGAGTAATCCATACAGACATAGTGAACACTTACGAGAAGTTAATTCCACACTTGGAGACCAGACGATAAATGACAAAGTCAAACAACGGGATGAAGATAAGAACCAGAAGGGGATTTAGAACCTGTAACACCATGATAAAAAGGATTAGCTACAAATATTCTCCTATCATGAGTGTGAGCACTGCACTCATTTGCTTGTTTACACTCTGTCTCACATCTACACACACTTTTGTCATTGTAAGTACAGAATGACTCCACATTCCTCAGTCCATTTACACCCAAGACCCTATTTCCCTTGCATAGCATTTTAGCTTTCAAATATCCCAAGGGACAAGTTTCACTCTGAGCCTGTCTTTCTGCCAGCCTTATTGTGAGCTCTTTCCTCTCATGACTTCATTGCTCACAAAATAAGCCTTACAATTTCTTTTACAAGATTTTGATTATACTATCTTGACTTGGAAAAAAATCCAATGCTTACACTTAACCCGTTGCAAGTTAAGTACTTAACAGGGGATGTGAAGGAGAAGGGTGGGGCTTAATGGGAATGTTTTCATGTCGAAGCTTGGCCCTTATCAGCGTACAAGGAGAAAAGCATCAAATTATGGTTGTTAATCGTAATACTGCAGGTGGAGGCATAGATAAGGAAACAAATAAGTCCCCATGGCTATAGAAGAGTCACATACCTGCATCTGGTCCGGCTGAAGCACAAAAAACCCCTGAAACATTTTAACAAATTAATTTAGTTGATGTCTGAAGAAAAGAAAAAAAAATGTTGGCCTAGATCAATAATTTTGCTAGTTAGCAAGTGAGAAACATATGAGAGAAAATTCATCAGGTCTTTGGTTCAGGGCCACTATTTTGCTGTTAAGATTATTTGGGGGATGGGAACAGACTTGGGAAAGCTTCTGGCTATGTTTGCCAGGCAGATGGGCCTAAGGGAGAAATTATTTTCTATGTATTATGCTTTCCTTAACTTGAAAGAGAATAGAGTCAGTGCATTTTTATTGATCTCAGCAACTGCAGTTCTAGGTTGTAATAATATGAAGGGCAAGACATCATGGTTAGGGTGAAGACTCTCCCTGACACATAGTGTTTCCAAAGTTGTTCTCCAGAGGGTCAACAAGAAGACCACCATGGTAAATAAGAGACAGCCAGAGGAAGGGAAAAGGTAAAATTATATTTTGCAGGCTCCAAATAGACTGACTAATAAGACCCTGGTATCATTCTACTCTGTCTTTTCAAAAACTGAGAAGATAGAAAAATAATACACTAATCTAGGAAAAGAACAATTGAGAGTAGAGATGGTACCTTATTTGAGTGGGCTAAAGAATGGAGTTTGGAAAAAGAGAAAATAATACGTATAACCTTCTCATTCTTTCCATATCCATACATACAAAATATTCCATTTCCCACAGGTCCCCTGCTGTGATCCTTGTTGAAGAGATAGACCAATTGCGTAGTAGTGCCACTCAAACCTGTCCCTGCTGTACTCTGGGATAGGCTTAGACAGAAGAAAATCACTATCCCAGGTTACGCATCACATCATTTGCTAGCCTCTCAATACTTCCTTGTATACATTGAAACTTTCTCATCCTTATGTTCCTGATTTCTAAAGAGAAGATTCTGGTTTTTATTTCTAAACTAGCTTTCTTTATCTTTGCCTACACGGTACCTTCAGGCTAAAAGCACTTCTCTGAAGATCTTGTTAGTTTTCAGGCAAAATCACAAAGAAATTAATTTTTCCCCAATATGGATGATGAAGAAAATAATAGACTTCTCTGGAAAATCTCTTCTACTCACCAAATTCCTATTCATCCTGATGGCTTGCAAAGTCCATCGTGAACCCTAGGGCAAACAGATCCTGTTATGAGAAATCCCTTTCCTGTGAGAGGGAAGTGGCTGTAAGGAGCGGTAATGTCCAAAAGAACTATTCTTACCTGCTGATCCAAAAGAGCCCAGAACATGGGCAATGGGATATAAAGGAATAGTACCCTGGTCAGTGCCTTTACATCCATAATGAGCTGCTTCTGCGAAAAGGAGGAAGAATGGGCAGAAATGCTAGAAGTTCTGTACATGGCTTTCTTGCTTAAAGTAGAAGTGTCCAAAAAACAGTAGAGAGGAGGTTGAATGCAGTAGGATAGAATCATTTTGAACATTAGGAAAGACTCTATCAAGCCATAAGATGTTTCTGCATTTCCAACTTACTGGATATTTCTCAGCCGCCCAGTCTAGCCAGTGCTGTCGCTTTGGAATGTCTCCAGAACGGTTCTTGAAACGATTGGAAATAGCAAACTAGGGCAGAGAGTAGACATCATGGGAGAGACAAAGAGAAAAACATCCTCTGCCTTTTCCAACTTATTATACCTTCCTTCAAACACCATACTTCTAGTGACTTATTCCAACTCTTTGACCTAATCAGGCATTGAATTTCAGAATATTTCTGATATAATTTTATCTATCACTTTAAGAAAGAACTTGCCATTCAAAACAAAAAATAACAACAAAAAAGAAAAAATGTTATCTGTCTATATATAATTACATTTCAGAAGATTTTTGCCAACTTAAAAAGATGATTACTTTTTTTAACTTAATGGTTAAGTAGAGGCATAAGAAGAAGACTGGTTAATCTTAGCTTGTTAAAAAACATGAAAATAGAATAGAGGTCATTGAGAAAAATGTATGCCCACGTTTGAAGGCCCATATTCTCAGCATAGCATCTCTTTCTTTTGATTGAAAAAGGCAAGAAAACAATTTATGGACTTACCCAGATACATTTGAAAACTTGAGCCACTATGTTTCCTTCAGGGGGTGGTTTATTGTATATTTTGCTTCCCATTGCAAACACAACTGCAGTTGATACACAAACAAGGTTCTTAGCTTCTCATTTATTAGGTTGGTGCAAAGGTTATTGCAGTTTTGCCATTACTTTCAATGGCAAAAACCACAATAACTTTTGCACAAACCTAAATAGCACATTCAGTATATCAGCGCTAAGGACAGAATGCTGAACTGTGGGAGTGGCTGGCAAATCTCATAAAGAGGGAGCTGACTTACATTTCCTGACTTTTGGAGTTATCAAAATTGCAGGAGCCAAGAGAAGACAAAATGGTATGTTGTTAAGAGAGATATCTATTGAGACTTTCATGTAATCACAGAAGTGGAAGTCATCTTTGACTTCTTACTCTTCTTTCTCCATCTCCATATCTGAAATGTTACCAAGTTTTATTGGTCCTCTTTCTTTAACGTATTGCCTATTTGCCCCCTCTTTCACTTTACTACTGCTACCACTCTTGTTCAGGACTTCACAACTTGTACTTTGGATTATTAAAATGGCCACCAACTAGTTTCTCATTCCCTAGTCTCTTCCTTCTTTAATCTGATGCCAAATGTTTCTTTCCAGGATCTATTAATACTTACCTGACCCAAACTCCTGGCATGAAAGACCTTCCCAAATTCATTGTTATCCTAATGGTTATTGTTATCCCTAACATCTATTTGAAGGTTTATCACATGTAACTTGTTAAGCATTTTACATACATTAATTGATTTAGCTTGACAAAATATGTACCACTATCTCTATTTTATACATGAAGGAATATTAAGGAAATTAAGCACCTTGTACAAGGTTACACTGCTAGAAGATACCAGAACTGGACTTTTGACCTGAGGCTTGACTGACTCAAAAATCTATGTATTTAATCCTTATAATGCATCTCACTCACTAATTCTTACACCACATACTGTACTAGACACTACTGGTAACACAGGTGAAAAAAACAAGGTCCCTGTCCTCAAAGGAGTTCACCTCAACCTGCCGTTTCCCACTTTATATTTCATCTATCTTTTTGAGATACCCTATGCTGTAAACACTATTCATCATTTATACAAACACTTCTGTTCTATACTATTTCTGTTCTTGAGCTCATTCTGTTTCTTTCAGCCCATATCTCTGTCCTTTAACCACATATCCACAGCTAATTGTAAGGGAATTTCATTTCTTTAATTTTCCTTTTATTTTCCAAATTAACAATGAGCTGGTATTACCTTTGTAGTTATAAAATAGTGGTTTTTTCAATTTCATTCAATTAAAATCAGTAGAAATACTCCATCTTGGTTCCCTCCCAGATGCACTTTCCTCCTTAACGGATTTCCCAGCTTCAGCGTGATGCCCCTCTAGTAGATCCTCTGCTAAAGATGATTTTCTCAGTGACAAGTAGCATTTTCCAGTATCCTTACACATCAGAATGCACAAATCACTTTACTTTTCTCTCCCATCACTTTTTAATATCTCCATTCGTCTCATTTAGATTCACTCTACCACTTTTTCTCATTCATCCTCTCAATTTCCCCAAAGCTTCTCCAAATAGCATCCTTTATCTATAATACCCTTCTCATGGTTGATAGAAAAAATAGTTCAGTGGAGGAATGCTAATCCTGAGAGTCAAGTGGGCAGATAAAAAAGTACCTAGACGGCTGGGCGCGGTGGCTCACACCCGTAAACTTAGCAGTTTGGAAGGCTAAGGCGGATGGATTACAAGGTCGAGAGATTGAGCTGACCAACCTGGCCAACATGGTGAAACCCCATCTCTGCTAAAAATACAAAAATTAGCTGGGCGTGGTGGTGCGCACCTGTAGTCCCAGCTACTTAGGCGCTAAGGCAGGAGAATCACTTGAACCTCAGAGGCGGAGGTTGCAGTGAGCTGAGATTGCGCCACCACACTCCAGCCTGCTGACACAGTGAGACTATGTCTCCAAAAAAAGTAAAAAATAAAAAACAAAAAAAGAGATACCTGGACAAAGGAAAATTTTGGGTAGGGAATAAACTGCTCCTGAAACTAAGAATGATCCTAGAAAGAGGCTGGACACCACAGGAATGCTGGTTGCAATAGTGACAGTGGAGTGATAATAGGAAGACTTATGTAATCAACTAAAGTCATACTTACATGTCAAAGACACTTAACTAAAGAAGATGAGTATAAACCTTGAATTTCTCTACTATCTACTCCTTCTAGTAGATGATGTTGCCTCTTACTTCACAAAGAAAATGGAAACCTTCAAATGGAAACTCCTTCAACTCCCTGCCACCAGATCTATTAATTCTTGTATCCACACTCATCCTGTCCTCCCTCCAGGTAGGTGAAGGTGATATTCCTCCTCCTATCCGCAGCTAATTTGCTCATATGTGTTTTCATACTGATTATACTGTCTTTATCTTGTATCTTCAACCTCTTTCTCCACTGGATTATTCCTAATAATATTCACACATGCTCAATATCCTCTCTTGAATCCATGTCACCTTCCAACTATAAATACTATTTCACTTTCTTACTGATAGTGACAAGAGACAGATAAATTCCTAGGCAGACACGGACGGGTCCCAGTGAAACCCGACCTTCAAGCCAAAGACAGTTTAAAGCCTGAAAACCGACTTGCCGGTTCCTGATAGAGTCCATGACCTGAGTGAGAACTTCTATCTCCGTCTTATCCTCTCTCTCCATTGGTTCCTTTTGGATGATGCCTTTTAACCAATCTAGTGGTACTTTTTCCAAACCCACCCATGGACCAATCAGCATGTACTCCCCCATTCAAAACCCATAAAAAACCCACACTAAGCCTCACAGACGGCTACCTACTTCGGGTCCCCTCTAGGAGCTCAGAGCTTTCCTTCTGCCACTCAATAAAATTCTTCTCTGCTTTACTCACTCTCTGGTGTCCACACACCCCATTCCTCTTCATCATGGGACAAGAACCCGGAACTTGCTGAGCTGTGGGTGATGGGAATGAAAGGGCTGTGACACCCCTGGGCAGCTCGCCAAGCTATGGGCAGCGGGAATAAAAGAGCCGTAACACGCTCCCGCTCGCTAGACTACAGGAGAGAGTTGTAACATGCTCCTGCTCGTTGAACTACAGGAGTGAACAGCTGTAACATTTCTGGGGGCTCAGACCTTGGGACTCCCTGAGCAGGAGCTATAACACCTCTTAGGACTCTGCAATTGCTAGCATCTCCGAGTTTTTGGGCGCCACCGTGTTCCCCTTGTCTAGATGCCGCACCCAACACAGAAGCTGCTCGCTACATGCCCAGTCCAGTCGCAGGCTGAGCGAGCCCAGTGGGCCAGAGCAAGGCCCAGACAGAGGCGGTAGTGGCCACAGAGATTTCTGGCTGACAAAGCAGCACTGAAGGAATCCTGTAACATTTACTTCTCAGTCTCCTCCAATCAGTCTTCAGCCTCCACCATTTACCATAACTGATCTAATCGTATCAGTGACCTCCTTGTTGTTGTATTTAATAGACATCTGTCACCCTTATCTTAATCTCCCACTCAGGAACATTTATCACTCTAAATGAATCTTTTCTTGAAATCTTCTTCATATCCAAGATAACGCTATTACCACTTTGGCCATTCCTTCTTAGTCTCATTTGTGGGCTTTTCCTCTTTGCCTGTCTTTTAAATCCTGGCGTTTCTTGAAGTTTGAACCTATCCCCCCACCCCACTTTTTTTTTTAACCTTACTCTTCTAGCTTTTAGTTATCTATCTTCATTTCATGGTTTATTGCTACCCATATACTAATGACTCCAGATCTATATCTATAGTGCAAACATTTCTTCTAAGCTCTAATCCTGTATTTCCAAATAACTGTTTGGTAACTCCAATTAAATATTCCAAGAACATATAAAATGCAACATGTTCAAAACTAAATTTATCAACATTGCCCCAAACTGGCTTTTCCTCACTAGCTCAGTTAATAACCCCACTACCTACCCAGTTGTTCAAGGTTCAGAACACTACATTAAACCTTGGCTTATCTTCTCCCTCACTTAACATATCTAACCATTCTAAGGTTTGTTAATTCAACCAGGGCCAGATTAGGGTAAACTGAGTGAAGCACTCATCTCAAGCACTAAATTTAAGCAAGTATCAAAAAATTCGGTAATCAAAATAAATATTATCTTTGCCTCACTCCAACACAATCCTTTCTCTACATTATAGAAACATCATTGAAAAATTAAAATCTAGCAATTATTCCTCTGTTAAAATGTTTTTAGAGTTCCCCACTCTCCCTCACAATAAAGTTCTAATTTCTTATTGGTTTAAAAGGCCCTTCATTATCTGGTTTCTGGCAGTTTCTCCTCTTTATCATTCTTTTTTATGCTTTAGGTAATCTGAATGCCTTTAAAACCTTTAAACATGTCATGCTATTTCTCAGCCTCTTGTCTTACAGCTACTGTGTCCTCTTTCTGCATCACTTATAATTTCTTTATTGATTAATTGCTGTTTGGCCCTTAGGTCTCACCTTAAATGTCATTCCTTTAGGCAAACTTTTTACAATCCCCAAAGTATTATTTATTTATTTATTATTTTATTCATTTATTTATTTTTGAGACAGGGGCTTGCTCTGTTGCCCAGGCTGAAGTGCAGTGGCTCAATCATGGCTCATCGCAGCCTTGACCTTCTGGGCTCAAGCGATCCTCCCATCTCAGCCTCCCAAATAGTTGGGATCATAGGTGTGCGCCATCATACTCGGCTAATTTTTAAATGTTTGTATAGATGGAGTCATGCTGTGTTGTCCAGGATGGTCTCAAACTCCTGAGCTCACGCAATCCTCCTGCCTCGGCCTCCCAAAGTGCTGGGATTACAGGTGTGAGCCACTATGCCCGGTCCCTCAAGGTCTTAATTAAACATTGCTTCTATGCATTCCCATAGCTCTCTCTGTACTTTCCTAGATCACACTATATTGATCTGGGAAATACTGATCATACCATATTGTAAATTCCTTTTATTTGTTTGTCTTCCTTTCCCTACTGAACTATATAAGTTCTTTGGGAACATGAATGCTCTAGGTATCTAATTCACCAATGTGATCCCAATACCTAGCACATAATATGGCACACAATAGGTTCATTAAATGTTGGTTAAAAAAATGAGTGAATGAAAAAATAAATTAATTGGCTGGGCGTGGTGGCTCACACCTGTAATCCTAGCACTTTGGGAGGCTGAGGCAGGCAGATCACAAGGTCAGGAGATCGAGACCATCCTGGCTAACACGGTGAAACCCTGTCTCTACTAAAAATACAAAAAATTAGCCAGGCATGGTGGTGGGCGCCTGTAGTCCCAGCTACTCGGGAGGCTGAGGCAGGAGAATGGCGTGAACCCGGGACGTGGAGCTTGCAGTGAGCCGAGATCATGCCACTGCACTCCAGCCTGGGCGACAGAGCGAGACTCCATCTCAAAAAAGAAAAAAAAAGAAAAAAGAAATTAATTACAGTAAAAGATCAGAGAATTGAGTTATTGATTAGCACCCAGAAAACTGAAGCTGCTGACTAATAATGACAGCTAGCACTTGTTTAACATTTCATAATTTATGAAACATTTCATTTATAGCATCTCTGTTTTATCTTCATAATTACTCTGTTATGTAAATATTATTATCATGCAAATATTTGGGAAAATATTTGGCTTTGAATGCAGAAGGAAGTAAAGAATATATTATCACAGCTCACCTATAATAAATTTCCTTGGCATTGGGAATTCTGAGTACTACTATCAGTGCCCTCCCATCAACTCCCTGGTAGAAAATACACTGAGCATTGAGTCTGTAGGCTGTTTTTCCTCTGTTGAGCTCTTTATGGGTTTGCACTGGATATCTTCCAAGGGGGTGTCACTCTGAGGCTCAGAGTGGAGAACAGGTTTCCAGGTCAATGATTAGAAATAATCATGCCCAAGTTTTCCCTTAGGCTATGTAAAATAAGGAACACCACATCCCTCTTCTCTTCCAGGACTGGGTTCTCAGGGATAAAGAGAATGCCACTTGATTTAAGTTGCATTAATTTTCACCTATTTATCCAACTCCTCTTATTCTCTTTACTCAAGGGCAGACCCTTTGGGGGCACTACAGAGCAGGGCAGAAATAGCTAAACCTAGAAGCTGTTTTAAAAGGCTTGGAGAATTTAAAATCTTTTCCAATTACCAGATAAATAAGTATAATATGAAGTAAACTAATTTGAAAGAGGATTATCTTCCTTGCTTCCCTATATATTGTAGTGTAGAGCAGTGGATCTCCACCTTGACTATACATTAGAATGACCCGAGATACTAAAAAAAAGCCCAAGTCCCTGACTGGCCCAGAGTTTGGACTTTTTAAGGCTCCCCAGAAAGCATCTTACTGGTTATGCAACCTTAGGCACTTTTTTCTTAAAGTTTCTGACTTCATTCAGAATTTACCTCCAAAATTGAGGGGAAACCCTTACAATAACAGTTACCCAATAGGCCTGGTGTGAGGATTGAATGAAACAGCTTGTGTAAAGTGCCTACATGATGCTTTACATGTGTCAGGTATCAATGATTATTAGTTTCCTTTGCTTCACTGCACTTACCAAGTGCAATTACCATGAGCAGTCCTGGAACTCCAAAAGCCAATGCATAGCAGTCTTCTCCAAAACATTGCACATCTCCTAAAGAAAATGGGATGGGAGGAGGAAAGTAACTCTGAGTCTTGAATATTTGATGTTTTATTCTACAAGCTCAGGTTGTTGAATAAACCTGAGCTTGTAGAATAGACATAACCACCCTCTTTCCTCCCATCACCTAATCCATAGTTCTTCTTTTGGGCCAGACAAATCAAGACTAAAATAAATTTTCACAGATTATCAAGCTCTTATAAAAGGAGATGATAGACAGGAGAAAGCCTTGAACAGCTTTTTGGCTGACCAGAGCAAAGCCTTATACAGGGCCCCTCAAAAAAATCCTAACCTCTCAGCATGGGTGTGATAAATGTAGAAATCAAGCTCCCTGCATTGATGGACAGGTAGAAGACTGAGAAGTATCTAGTCCGTTCCTCTGCCTGAAACAAACAGGATAAATCATCAGTGCAATGTGTCCCCTAGCTCCAGCCCCACTCCACGTTCAGATTCAGAGCTGAAGGTACACACAAAGAGAAAGATTCAGATATTGCCTCCACAATACCTGAATTTCATATTATTAATAGATATTTAAAAACATTGCTGGCTGACCCCAATCATTTACTCACCTTTCAAACTCCAGAGCAGCTTTAGCATTCTTTTCCTCCCTTTTCATAGGTTAAAAATAATCTTCCTGTCTTCAGTGCCACTACCGTATCCTGTATATAGCTATTCTAATATTAATGTCTTTGCATTAAATGTCTGGGTTTTTTATTTCATGTGTGTGTTTGTGGTTTTTTTTTTTTTTTTTTGAGATGGAGTCTCACTCTGCCGCCCAGGCTGGAATGCAGTGGCGCAGTCTCAGCTTACTGCAAACTCCGCCTCCCGGGCTCAAGCCATTCTCCTGCCTCTGCCTCCCGTAAGTGTCTGTTTTTTCAGTATGTTGTGAGTTTCTTTAGAGCAGAAATTTTATCTTACTCATTTCTGTAATCACCAATACCTAGCACAGCATCCGACATATATTAGGGACTCGATAAATGTTTATTGACTGTATTAACTAAGTGAATGCCTGATTTAGTTAAATAATAGATTTTGTGGTAGGAGTGTGTGGTAGGAATAGTACCAGAACATAGGACAGTGGAGTCAACTGTTAATGAAGGAGGATAGTTCACCTAGTGCTTAACGGAGATTTGCCAGAGAGTCTAAAAAGAAATCATCTGGCTTAGAAGTGGCTAGTGGAAACCTGGAGGCAGATTTGTCTTACTAATTGAAATATCTTTGTGGAGCAGTTACCAAATGAAACAACTTTCAAATAAAGTTGCTGATGTTTCGTTCATTATACACCGACATGCTTCATTCTGACACCCCAGATCTCTCCCTGCCATATTAGAACAACGAGTCCTTCCCCATTTTCTATTTATAGTGTGTTTTGTTTCCTCTCCTGGTTTCAATTTAAACCTTATTCCACTTATCTAATTTGTATAGTTCATCATACACAGGATCCCACTTGCCAAAAGTTGGTTCTTTCTCCAAAGTCAGCAAGCAATTATGATCTATGGACTCTTTGACAGATAAAGAGTATAAAATAACCCAAATGGTCTGAAAGGTAAGAAAAACACTGGAAGACAGGACAGGATAGCAGAGGCAGAAGGAGATAATAGGCATTATGTCAGGGTGGAAGAGGGAAGAGGAAAGAGAGAGAGAGAGAGTGGCGGGAGGTGGGGGGGAGAGAGAGAAAGAGAGAAGGAGTGGGGGAGAAAAAGAGAAACTGGAAAAAAGATAAACAGTTATAGAAGAGAGAATGGATACATGAAGACAGACAAAACTGAAAACTGGAAGCAAAACTGAGGAAGCCAGAAATGTTGACAGATCTAGAAATAGACTATTTCCTTGCCTATTTGTCACTGCTTTCTCATAAATGCCCATTTATTTTTCACCACTGGTAATGGAAAGTATTTAGGAAGAGAGGGAATGATCAGTCAGGGAAATTCATCTATAGACATTCATTACGTTTCCTTGCAATTTGTCACTTTCCCATTTCATGGAATCTCAAAACAAGATGCTAAAATCATCTCTATACTACTTATCACCTCCCATTGCCAAAGTGCTTACCACATTTCTTTCTAAATACCTCAAGTTAGAGTAAACTTACTACTTCCAATTGTTTGAAGTTTTTCCACCCATCAAGCAAAACACTGGCTTCTTGGAGGCTTTCACTCATTGGTCTCAGGTTTAATCACTGACATCCTTCCAGCATCTATAAGCAGCTATAGTATTCTCCTCAATTCTTGTCCAGGCTAACTATCCCTATTTCCTTCAATCTTTCCTCATAAGACATACCTTTTAGTTCATCTACCACCCTGGTCTCTTTCCTTTGAAACTGTTTCAGTTTTCCTCACTATTAATGGCCAGTATCCAGCATTGAATACAACTGCTCAGATAAGATCTGACCAGTACATTACTTCAATCTTGGCAAATGGCTACCTGCCAGATACCCCCATTAATGCTGGCTCTATATTCTTGAAAATACAAAATAACAGGATTCTTACATGTTTTTCTTCAAACTGGTCTCCACCAAAAGCTGCCACACAGGGTTTGATGCCTCCTGTCCCCAAAGCTATTAGACTCAGGCCGATCAATGATAGGACTCTGAAATGGAGAGGTGAGAATGCCAACCATGTTGATACTAAATGCACCTGTAGAGATGGACTACAGAGCTGCAGAGGGGAAAAAATGTGTACAAGGGCAAAGATCCCCTTCACATTTCTACCCCATGGGTACTTTCCATTTGCCTTTATTCCTAGGAGGTATTCATGGTCAATTACCCTATTTATGATCCTTCGGCCTCTGCAAGAAAGTATGCATTATGTGGGAAGATTTCATCCCTGGTAGTTCCATTTACCCCTTATGAGCATCCGATAGAAACAGATACTGAAGGAACTCCAAAGCTAACACACTGGTTCCCAATCTTGTTTTGGTCAAAGGAGTACTTCAATGGAAAGACCTTTAAGGACCTGATCTCACATATTCTTACCAAAATTTAAAAAAAAATGTTCAAATTCATCATAATTAATAGCAACAGTGTCAAAGATTTTTGACGGGACACCAATAAGAAAGTAATATTTATTAAATATCAAGGCCAGGTGCAGAGGCTACGTCTATAATCCCAGCACTTTGGGAAGCTGAGGCAGGTGGATCACCTGAGGTCAGGAGTTCAAGACCAGCCTGGCCAACATGGTAAAACCCCATCTCTACGAAAAATACACAAATTAGCCGGGCGTGGTGGCAGCCGCCTGTAATCCCAGCGACTCGGGAGGCTGAGGTGGGAGAATCACTTGAACCCAGGAGGCAAAGGTTTCAGTGAGCCAAAATCACACCACTGCACTCCAGCCTGGGCAACAGAGCAAGACTCTGTCTAAAAACAAACAAACAAACAAACAAAATTTCTAACTCATAGGATAAATACATGTACACAGGCACACAGGCACATTATAATATGAATACATATAAACTGCTTTGTGAACAGCTGTAATCCTCTCTACTGACTGAATAGACAGACATCAGAATTTATCAAATGCCTCTGATCCCATAAACATCAATAGCAACTGAAATATATGGAACTACACATAAATGTAAATATTCAAAGCTTTGAGTATGACTTCTACAATTAATTATAAGGAAACATTATAGAGTTTTTTTTAACCCTGGTAAAGTATAGATGCATGGATGAATAAAAAGGTGAGGGAATATGTAGGGTATGAAGGTTTTGATTATTTTCAAGCATATGAAGAGGATACTAACTAGGCATTCTACAAGTCCCAAAAACAGATGAGCTCAGATAAAGTAGGAAAGAGTTCAACTGGTCATAAGACTGTTTTTCTTAACCAGTTTTGTAGTAAACTGTAGATTGAAAATAAAGAGACATCTCTGGTAAGAAAACAGAAAATAATTTGTAACAAATGTCTGAGAAAAGTAGTTTAGTTGATTCCATGATTTTACTCACGTGTGTACCACTTGTCCTCCCAGTATTGGTAAGGCACCCAAGGACTTGATCACATGGCCAAGCACATACACCAAGGAGAGATAGATGATTGTCCTGTTGAGAGAGCTAAATCAGTCAGTCTAAAACCAGAACTGAGAGATTTGAATAATACAGACTTAGGGTTCATACTGTTCTCAGTGTGGGGATAAATGGAGGAGGAGGAGGAGGGAGGAGGAAAGAATTATCTGAGAAATCCAAATAGAGACAATAATGGTGAATGAAGTGAACAGACTAGGAAAAAGGAGTGGAATTCTTCACTCTTTAGTGTTAGAGGTAATAGACATTCCCTTCAAGTTCCCTTCCTATACCCACCTTCCCCTTTGCCTCTACCCGCTCACTCCACACACACACAGAGAAACCCTACTTTGTACAGACATGACAAGAACAAGGTGGATTTGTAGCAAAAGTGACAGTGCTTTAAATTGGGAGAACCAGTAGAAGAGGATATTTGGACCTTAGGTGTTTTTCTCAAGGAATATCTTCTGCTGTAGAGAGCAAGAAGGGTCAAGGAAGAACTCCAAGTAAACAGGAATGGCTAACCCAAACAACTTCCTCAAAACTCAAGAAGCACTGGGAGGTAAAAAGCTCTCAGGTTCAGCCTGGGTAACTTGGACTCTTGGATTAATTGTAATCCTCACCACAGTTTCCTCAGGGACAAGTTAACAAGGGTAAGAAAGGAGCCAGGGACTTAGAATAGACTGTCCAGTGACAAAAATCATGCAGTTGGAAGGAACATCCTGTTGTATTGTTTTCTCAAAGAACTTGAACAGCAAATAGAAAGTAGAAGAATAAGGAACTCCAGTAAGAACATATAGAGAGATTCACACATTGAAATATGGCGCACTACAACATATATTCCTTATGTGTACTACCACACCAGCATTCCCACATATAAGTAGAATGTTAGCATTATAATGAACCTTGGAAATTACAGTTTACACCTGCAATTTTTAAGGTGTTTTATGCTAATGTGGAATAAAGAGAATAGAATGGAATAAAGATAGCAAAGAGAGGCCAGAGATGTCAGAACTCTCAGGATGTGGATTTCTCATTCTAAGTGCCTAATCCTTGGGTTAGCTTTCTAGGGAAGGGAACTTAAAGTGTATGGCGGGTAGCGGACAAGAAGTTAGGTGACTAGGGCACGGTGGCTCACGCTTGTAATCCCAGCACTTTGGGGGGCCAAGGTGGGTGGATCACGAGGTCAGGAGATCGAGACCATCCTGACCAACATGGTGAAACCCTGTGTCTACCAAAAATACAAAAATTAGCTGGGCGTGGTGACATGCACCTATAATCCCAGCTAGCGGGGAGGCTGAGGCAGGAGAATCGCTTGAACCAGGGAGTCAGAGGTTGCAGTGAGCCGAGAGATGGTGCCACTGCACTCCATACTGGCGACAGAGCAAGACTCCGTCTCAAAAAAAAAAAAAAAAAAAAAGTTAGGTGACTAATCTAGGACTAATTAACATCAGGGGAGGGAACAACTTTCCCAAAAGATCTTGTAACATCTTCTAGAGAAAGGTTCTCTTTGTTGTAATAAAAAGAATAAATAGAAAGGGAATAAAAAGGAACAGAAAAAAAAATGCTAGCTATCATGAACCCCAAACAGATGATCTATGTTAGATCATCATAGAGGAAAAAAAAAGGAGTTTGAGCTGGAGTGATATAGTCTGGGTAGTAAGATCGGTATCCAATTGATGGACTAAATCAGGGGTGTCCAATCTTTTGGCTTCCCTGGGCCACATTGGAAGATATATTGTCTTGGGCCACACATAAAATACACCAACACTAACAATAATTGGTGAGCTAAAAAAAAAAATCTAATAATGTTTTAAGAAAGTTTATAAATTTGTACTGGGCCACATTCAAAGCTGTCCTGGGCTGCATGTGGCCTGCAGGCTGCAGGTTGGACAAGCTTGGACTAAATGAATGAAAGAAGTGTAAGTGGTTTAGGAGGAAAATAGGCAACTTATAGATTAAAAAAACAACCAAAAAACAAACAAAAACAACAAACAAACAAAAACCTCATAGGAAATAGTTTAGCTATGAGGGATATAAGAGAGGAAACTAATGGCAGGAAACTAATAGGAGGAGCAAGAAGTCAAGAGACCTGAAAATTCTGCATTTGAAACGAGATATTAGGGTCATTGTAATCCCAACCATAGCACACAGAAATGCTTTAGGTTGACTTCACTAATCCTTCAATTTTACAAATCAAGAAACTGAAATCCAGACAGGTCAAATGACATTTCTAAACAGTGACTTTTGGGCCAGTTGCAGTGGTTCACCCCTGTAATCCCAGAACTTCAGGAAGCTGAGGTGGACGGATCACTTGAGGTCAGGAGTTCAAGACCAGCCTGGCCAACACAGTGAAACCCCACCTCCACTAAAAATACAAAAATTTGCCAGGCATGGTGGTGCATGCCTGTAATCCCAGCTACTTGGGAGGCTGAGATGGGAGGATCACTTTAACCCAGGAGGTGGAGGTTGCAGTGAGCTGAGATCTCACAACACTGTACTCCAGACTGGGAGACAGAGCAAGACTCCATCTCAAAGAAATAAAAAATAAATAAATAAATAAAAATAAAAATAAATAAATGAACAGTGACTTTTTTTTTATTGTAGAGATGGGGTCTTGCTATGTTGACCAGGCTGGTCTCAAACTCCTGGCCTCAAGCAATCCTCCTGCCTCAGCCTCCCAAAGTGCTGGGATTACAGGCATGAGCCGCTACATCTGGCCCCAAAGTGACATTTTAATTAGTATTAGGGTTAGGTGTAGAGCTTCTATATTTAACTCATAATCCAGCATTCCTTTGGTTTTATCATGAACAAGTTAATGTGGAAAAAGAAAATGGAAGAGAAAGAAGTAATACATTTTATTTCACCATATGAATATAAAAAGCCAGAGCCATTTTTAATAGGCACTTAGGAACTAAGAAGAGGTATATACAGAGGCTGAGAGTGTGTAGTGATGGCAGAGGAAGAGAGCTTGCATGAAGAAAAGAAGGTCAGTTCTGATCAGACAAAAAAGAGGAGAGAGAAAGGACATACTATACAGACCCACTCAGAGAAAGAGAAAAGAGAAGTGTGGAGAGGACATTCAAAAGCATAATAACTCCAAGATGGCTGAATACGAACCACTCCGGTCTGTAGCTCCCAGCGTAGTTGATGCAGAAGATGGTGATTTCTGCATTTCCAACTGAGGTACCTGGCTCATTTCATTGGGACTGGTTGGACAGTGGGTGCAGCCCACAGAGGGCGAGCTGAAGCAGGGTGGAGCATTGCCTCACCCAGGAAGGACAAGCGGTTGGGGGATTTCCCTTTCCTAGCCAAGGGAAGCCGTGACAGACTGTACCTGGAAAATCGCAACACTCCCACCCAAATACTGTGCTTTTCCAAAGGTCTTAGCAAACGGAACACCAGGAGATTATATCCTGCGCCTGGCTTGGTGGGTCCCATGCCCATGGAGCTTTGCTCACTGCTAGCGCAGCAGTCTGAGATCGACCCACGAGGCAGCAGCCTAGTAGGGGGAGGGGCATCTGCCATTGCTGAGGCTTGAGTAGGTAAACAAAGAAGCTGGGGAAGCTTGAACTGGGCAGAGCCCACTGCAGCTCTGCAAGGCCTGCTGCCTCTGTAGACCCCACCCACCTCTGGGGTCAGGGCATAGCGGAACAAAAGGCAGCAGAAACTTCTGCAGACTTAAACGTCCCTGTCTGACAGCTCTGAAGAGAGCACTCGTTCTCCCAGTAGGGTTTTTGAGCTCTGAGAACGGACAGACTGCCTCCTCAAGTGGGTCCCTGAAGCCTGTGTAGCCTAACCGGGAGACACCTCTCAGTGGGGACCAACTGACACTTCATTACAGGCGGGTGTCCCTCTGGGACGAAGTTTCCAGAGGAAGGATCAGGCAGCAATATTTGCTGTTCTGCAATATTTGCTGTTCTGCAGCCTCCACTGGTGATACCCAGGCAAACAGGGTCTGGAGTGGACTTCTAGCAAACTCCAACAGACCCGCAGCTGAGGGACCTGACTGTTAGAAGGAAAACTAATAAAAAGGAAGAAATAGCATCAACATCAACAGAAAGGACATCCACACCAAAACCCCATCTGTAGGTCACCAGCATCAAAGAACAAAGGTAGATAAAAACCACAAAGATGGGGAGAAACCAGAGCAGAAAAGCTCAAAATTCTAAAAACCAGAGTGCCTCTTCTCCTCCAAAGGATCGCAGCTCCTTGCCAGCAATGGAACAAAGCTGGACGGAGAATGACTTTGATGAGCTGACAGAAGTAGGCTTCAGAAGGTTGGTAATAACAAACTTCTTCAAGCTAAAGGAGAATGTTTGAACCCATTACAAGGAAGCTAAAAACCTTGAAAAAAGATTAGATGAATGGCTAACTAGAATAAACACTGCAGAGAAGACTTTAAATGACCTGATGGAGCTGAAAACCATGGCACGAGAACTATGTGATGCATGCACAAGCTTCAATAGCTGATTCAATCAAGTGGAAAAAAGGGTATCAGTGATGGAAGATCAAATAAATGAAATAAGCAAGAAGAGAAGTTTAGAGAAAAAAGAGTAAAAAGAAATGAACAAAGCCTCAAAGAAATATAGGACTATGTAAAAAGACCAAATCTACATTTGATTGGTGTACCTGAAATTGACAGGGAGAATGGAACCAAGTTGGAAAACACTCTTCAAGATATTATCCAGGAGAACTTCCCCAACCTAGCAAGGCAGGCCAACATTCAAATTCAGAGAACACCACAAAGATACTCCTCGAGAAGGGCAACCCCAAGACACATAATTGTCAGATTCACCAAAGTTGAAATGAAGGAAAAAATGTTAAGGGCAGCCAGAGAGAAAGGTCGGGTTACCCACAAAGGGAAGCCCATCAGACTAACAGTGGATCTCTCGCCAGAAACCCTACAAGCCAGAAGAGAGTGGGGGCCAATATTCAACATTCTTAAAGAAAAGAATTTTCAACCCAGAATTTCATATCCAGCCAAACTAAGCTTCATAAGTGAAGGAGAAATAAAATCCTTTACAGGCAAGCAAATGCTAAGAGATTTTGTCACCACCAGGCCTGCCCTAAAAGAGCTCCTGAAGGAAGCGCTAAACATGGAAAGGAACAGCTGGTACCAGCCACTGCAAAAACATGCTGAATTGTAAAGACCATCAATGCTAGAAAGAAACTGCATCAACTAACGGGCAAAATAACCAGCTAACATCATAATGATTGGATCAAATTAACACATAACAATATTAACCTTAAATGTAAATGGGCTGAATGCCCCAATTAAAAGACATAGAGTGGCAAATTGGATAAAGAGTCAAGACCCATCAGTGTGCTGTATTCACGAGAACCATCTCATGTGCAGAGACACACATAGGCTCAAAATAAAGGGATAGAGGAAGATCTACCAAAGCTACCAAGTAAATGGAAAGCAAAAAAAAAGCAGGGGTTGCAATCCTAGTCTCTGACAAAACAGACTTTAAACCAACAAAGATCAAAAGAGACAAGGAAGGCCATTACATAATGGTAAAGGGATCAATTCAACAAGAAGACCTAGCTATCCTAAATATATATGCACCCAGTACAGGAGCACCCAGATTCATAAAGCAAGTCCTTAGAGACCTACAAAGAGACTTAGACTCCCACACAATAATAATGGAAGACTTTAACACCCCACTGTCAGTATTAGACAGAACAATGAGATAGAAGGTTAACAAGGATATACAGGACATGAACTCAGCTCTGCACCAAGTGGACCTAATAAACATCTACAGAACTCTCCACCCCAAATCAATAGAATATACATTCTTCTCAGTACCACATCACACTTATTCCAAAATTGACCACATAGTTGGAAGTAAAGCACTCCTCAGCAAATATAAAAAAACAGAAATCACAACAAACTGTCTCTCAGAACACAGTGCAATCAAATTAGAACTCAGGATTAAGAAACTCACTCAAAATGCACAACTACATGGAAACTGAACAACCTGCTCCTGAATGACTACTGGGTAAATAACAAAATGAAGGCAGAAATAAAGATGTCCTTTGAAACCAATGAGAACAAAGACACAACATACCAGAATCTCTGGGACACATTTAAAGCAGTGTGTAGAGGGAAACTTATAGCACTAAATGCCCACGAGAGAAAGCAGAAAAGATCTAAAATCGACACCTTAACATCACCATTAAAAGAACTAGAGAAGCAAGAGCAAACAAATTCAAAAGCTAGCAGAAGGCAAGAAATAACTAAGATCAGAGCAGAACTGAAGGAGATAGAGACACAAAAAACCCTTCAAAAAATCAACGAATCCAGGAGCTGGTTTTTTGAAAGATCAACAAAATTGGTAGACCACTAGCAAGACTAATAAAGAAGAAAAGAGAGAAGAATCAAATAGATACAATAAAAAATGATAAAGGGGATATCACCACCGATTCCACAGTAATACAAACTACCATCAGAGAATACTATAAACACCTCTATGCAAATAAACTAGAAAATCTAGAAGAAATGGATAAATTTCTGGACACATACACCCTCCCAAGACTAAACCAGAAAGAAGTTGAATCTCTGAATAGATCAGTAACAGGTTCTGAAACTGAGGCAATAATTAATAGCCTACCAACCAAAAAAAGGCCAGGACCAGACGGATTCACAGCTGAATTCTACCAGAGGTAGAAAGAGGGGCTGGTATCATTCCTTCTGAAACTATTCCAATCAATAGAAAAAGAGAGAATCCTGCCTAACTCATTTGATGAGGCCAGCATCATCCTGATATGAAAGCCTGGCAGAGACAACAAAGAAAGAGAATTTTAGACCAGTATCCCTGGTGAACACCAATGTGAAAATCCTCAATAAAATACTGGCAAACCGAATCCAGCAGCACATCAGAAAGGTTATCCACCATGATCAAGTCGGCTTCATCCCTGGGATGCAAGGCTGGTTCAACATATGCCAATCAATAAACGTAATCCGGCATATAAACACAATCAACAACAAAAACCACATGATTATCTCAATAGATGCAGAAAAGGCCTTCGACAAAAATCAACAGCCCTTCATGCTAAAAACTCTCAATAAACTAGGTATTGATGGAACGTATCTCAAAATAATAAGAGCTATCTATGACAAACCCACAGCCAATATCATACTGAATGGGCAAGAACTGGAAGCATTCCCTTTGAAAACTGGTACAAGACAGGGATGCCCTCTCTCACCACTTCTATTCAACATAGTGTTGGAAGTTCTGGCCAGGGCAATTAGGCAGGAGAAGGAAATAAAGGGTATTCAATTAGGAAAAGAGGAAGTCAAAATGTCCCTGTTTGCAGATGACATGATTGTATATCTAGAAAACCCCACTGTCTCAGCCCAAAATCTCCTTAAGCTGATAAGCAACTTCAGCAAAGTCTCAGGATACAAAATCAATGTACAAAAATCACAAGCATTCTTATACACCAATAACAGACAAACAGAGAGCCAAATCATGAGTGAACTTCCATCCACAATTGCTACAAAGAGAAAAAAATACCTAGGAATCCAACTTACAAGGGATGTGAAGGACCTCTTCAAGGAGAACTACAAACCATTGCTCAATGAAATAAAAGAGGATACAAACAAATGGAAGAACATTCCATGCTCATGGATAGGAAGAGTCAATATCGTGAAAATGGCCATACTGCCCAAGGTAATTTATAGATTCAATGCTATCCCCATCAAGCTACCAATGACTTTCTTCAGAGAATTGCAAAAAACTACTTTAAAGTTCATATGGACGCAAAAATAGCCCACATTGCCAAGACAATCCTAAGCCAAAAGAACAAAGCTGGAGGCATCAGGCTACCTGACTTCAAACTATACTACAAGGCGACAGTAACCAAAACAGCATGGTACTGGTACCAAAACACATATATAGACCAATGGAACAGAACAGAGGCCTCAGAAATAACACCACACATCTACAACCATCTGATCTTTGACAAACCTGACAAAAACAAGCAATGGGGAAAGGATTCCCTATTTAATAAATGGTGCTAGGAAAACTGGCTAGCCATATGTAGAAAGCTGAAACTGGATCCCTTCCTTACACCTTATACAAAAATTAATTCAAGATGGATTAAAGACTTACATGTTAGACCTAAAACCATAAAAACCCTAGAAGAAAACCTAGACATTACCATTCAGGACATAGGCATGGGCAAGGACTTCATGTCTAAAACACCAAAAGCAATGGCAACCAAAGCCAAAATTGACAAATGGGATCTAATTAAATTAAAGAGCTTCTGCACAGCAAAAGCAACTACCATCAGAGTGAACAGGCAACCTACAGAGTGGGAGAAAATTTTTGCAATCTACCCATCTGACAAAGGGCTAATATCTAGAATCTACAAAGAACTTAAACAAATTTACAAGAAAAAAACAACACCATCAAAAAGTGGGCAAAGGATATGAACAGACACTTTTCAAAAGAAGACATTTATGCAGCCAACAGACACATGAAAAAATGCTCATCATCACTGGCCATCAAAGAAATGCAAATCAAAACCACAATGAGATACCATCTCACACCAGTTAGAATGGCAATCATTAAAAAGGCAGGAGACAGCAGATGCTGGAGAGGATGTGGAGAAATAGGAACACTTTTACACTGGTTGGTGGGACTGTAAACTTGTTCAACCATTTCAACCATTGTGGAAGACAGGGATCTAGAACTAGAAATGCCATTTGACCCAGCCATCCCATTACTGGGTATATACCCAAAGGATTATAAATCATGCTACTATAAAGACACATGCATACATATGTTTACTGCAGCACTATTCACAATAGCAAAAACTTGCAACCAAGCCAAATGTCCATCAATGATAGACTGGATTAAGAAAATGTGGCACATATACACCATGGAATACTATGCAACCATAAAAAAGGATGAGTTCATGTCCTTTGCAGGGACATGGATGAAGCTGGAAACCATCATTCTGAGGAAACTATCACAAGGACAGAAAACCAAACACCACATGTTCTCACTCATAGGTGGGAATTGAACAATGAGAACACTTGGACACCAGGCGGGGAACGTCACACATGGGGGCCTGTCATGGGGTGGAGGGCTGGTGGAGGGATAGCATTAGGAGAAATACCTAATGTAAATGGCGAGTTCATGGGTGCAACAAACCAACATGGCACATGTATACCTATGTAACAAACCTGCACGTTGTGCACGTGTACCCTAGAACTTAAAGTATAATAAAAAATAAAAATTAAAATTAAATTAAAATAAAAAAATAATAAACACGTTTAAGAGAGTGGTTCTAAGTGATTGCCCAGGTCAAAAATCAAAACTGATGAGCCTGGGTAATAGGATATAAAATCTAGGAACTATGACTAAAAATGTTTTCCTTTCTTAAAACCAACTTGACACTACAAATAGCATCCTTGAGAAACCAATATGCATGTTTAATAATTTTTGTTTTCCCACTGCGTACCTATTGATTAGTCTTTCCTGTATGTAGCTCTGAAGGAAGCCTCACTTCTTTCCTGGCATAGGGAGTTCCTTAAACAAGAGTCAGGGACTCTGGATGCCCATTTCCTCTTAACATATCTATTATTCTGGGATAGCAAACAGAGGAAAGATTTTTAATAGAAGTTGTTTACTAACTTCAGGAAATTGCCCCTTCAGGGTTTGAACAATCTTTCTAATGTTAGAGAAGGCTTTTCACCCTCAAAGTAACACGTGAATAAAAGTAAACACACCACACACACACACACACACACAAACACATACTCAGGCAGAGAAACATATGAGAGGTGGGGAAGAACTTAACGGTTTGAAACAAAAATCTATCCATTTTCCTCTAGCAAATGAAGAAAATAGGCTACAGGTTCAAATTAGAAAAGACAGTAAAGGAAGAGTCTTGTCTTTTTTCTGATTTTCCAACTTAAGGAAGGGTAGTTTTAAATACTTATTCCCTTTTGTTGCTGTTATCATCTGTTTGTATATGTTACACACACATGCACACGCACACACACACAAACATGACTACAGGAGAACAAGTTACCCACATTTTCTCAAACTACTCCCTTTGTGAAAGAGATACAAATCACCCCCAAGTTTTCTTATTTAAAAAGCAACCAAAATACCCACAATAAAATAAAAGTAACCTTCATGCCTGTCTACATCTATCTGCAGTCATGTGGCTACATTTGAGGGTCTGAGGGTGAATAAATTTATGAATTCGAAGATTTACTGTGGGCCTATCTGCTAGGCACTATTCTACGTGCTCTTGGATAAAAATATAAATCACAGCCGGGCACAGTGGCTCACACTTGTAATCCCAGCAGTTTGGGAGACAGAGGTGGGTGGACCACTTGAGGTCGAGTTCGAGACCAGCCTGGCCAACATGGTGAAATCTCATCTCTACTAAAAATACAAAAATTAGCCGGGCATGGTGGTACATGCATATAATCCCAGATACTCAGGAGGCTGAGGCAGGAGAATCGCTTGGACCTGGGAGGCAGAGGTTGCAGTGAGCCGAGATTGCATCACTGCACTCCAGCCTGGGTGACAGAGCGAGACTTTGCCTCAACGACAAAAAATATGTATATTATATATATACTTATATATTATACATATTATATACATTCATATAATATATAAATGACTGGGGTGGGTGGGGAAAAATATATATAAATGACTTTGTCCTCTAAGTGTTTGAAAGAAGATATCAGATTCATATATAAATAATTAAATAACTATAATAAGATAGAGTTTAGTAAATGTCATATAAGGGTGAGAAAACAAAGAACTCAGAAAACACTATATTACTTCCAGCTATAGTAAAAGGTGAGGGGGCAGAGAATACTCCATAGCATAGGTGGTATTTGAGTGAGCCTTACGGGGTTTGGACATGAAAGGGTGGGGAAGAAGGGGTTTCCATGAAGCAGAAACAATGCAAACAGACATGAAAAAGAGATGTCATTGGATATGATTACAGAAATATTAGTATTACATTTTCCTCTAGTGGCCATTCTCGAAAGGAGATAAGTATGACAGTAAGCACAGAAAAGTCAGTTGGAGTGAGATTAGTAGACAGTGATTTAATAGTCACCAGAAATTGCTGAGCAGAGTAGTAATGTGATCAGGATTTCTTTTAGGAAAATTAATTTGGCAGTAGCATATATGCTCAATTGTAGGAAAAAGAGATGGGAAGCAGTAAAAACATTTTAGATGTCCATTTTAATATCTCAATTTAAAGACATTGAGACAATGAAGACCAAAACTGGGTGATGGCAACTAATGCAGTGGATGTTGTGCTGAAAAGGGATAAATGTGAGAGAGATTGTGGCAAGCAGAATTGGTAGAATTTGATAACTGATTGAAGGTGGGAATGTAGAGAAGACAGAAGAAAGAACAGATTTGTGGAGGTGAATGCCAATATGTAATTCACTGGAATTTGAGGAGCCATCTGCATATAGCTAATATCCACACCACAGAATTTGCTAAGGAAGAATCTAGAGAAAGAGAAGAGGGTAAAAGTTATAACCTGGGAAAATGCTTACACTCAGGAAAGAGTGAAGTAAACAAGAGGCAAAAGAGAAGCCAGATAAGTAAGAAAAGATATAAGAGGACGAGAGTGAGAAAAATATACTGTAGAGAAGGCCAGGGAGTTTCACAGAAATGATAAACAGACTGAAATGTTAACAACAAGTTCAAAATGAGTAAGAATTTAGAAAAGACCACTGGAATTTGCTAATGAAGAAATTCTTACCAGTGATCTTAGGGAGTAATTTCAGAAGGAAAAAAGATGATTTACAGTATATCTTATTGTACTACAATATGATCTGTATTAAAGCTATTTGAATATGAACAATATGAATTAGGTAGTATGTGTAATTCACCTCTTCATCCTCCATGGTTCCTTGGACAAACAGAAGGTGCTCAATAAACATTTATTGAATTAAATTGGGTCAAATCAAATTAAATTGAATTGGATTATATTGCATTATATTATATTACTCTACCATAAGAACTGATAATGAAGAGTGAGAAAGGCAACACATACAGAGGATTATTTTTATAATATGGGGTTAATGTAAAAGGAGAAAAATGATAGGAAAAGAGAGTCAAGATGAGTTTTGTTCATTTAAAGCTATTAAAGATTTGCTCCTGCTTCTAGTTGAAGGAAAAGACTCTGGTTCTCTGGGAGAATTTGAAGGCAAGAGAGGGGAATAGTGAGGGTACAGAGACCCTAGGGAGAGTGATCTAGGTGATGGTGATACATACATAAAAACTGATCAAGGTGTACAGTTAAGGCTTTTGAATTTGTGTACTTTATGTAAGTTATATCCCAATAAAAATAAATTAAAAACAATAATAAATACATCAAGAAGGATTGATTTGAGAGCACAAGTAGAGGTTGTTAAATTTTCTCTGAATTAACCAGGAAACAATTGCTCACCAAATCCTGTAACTGTACTTCTTCAATCTTAAAGGAAGTTATTTTTAAAATAAATAAAAGTGGTATGTCATGTATATGAATCTTTATTCTACAACTGAATAAATAGATTATGGCTTGCACTTTTTATTCTGCAAGTAGTGCCAATCTCCTATCTAGATAAACTTGGTGACTACTACTACATATGTAGCAAATGTAGATCTCAGCTACTCACCCACCATTCCTCTCCCAAGTCAAGAAACTGTTCAGTACTGTGTTATGTCTATAGATATATATTAGGTGCTGATTAAACACTTATAGAATAATGAACATATATCGGCCAAAGTAAGCTATAAACCATTGTTTACTAAAGAGAATTCCTTGGAACACTGGGTCCACAAAATATCCAGAAAAAATATTCCATAGTCAAACTGGTTTGGGAAACACTACATACTACAACCTTCTATGGAGATTTTATAGTTCATATTAGCGTATTTAAGGCTATAAGAAGTCATGCAGTAAGGGAACATTTTTAGCTTTGCTCAGCCTAACAGTTTCCAAACTTGTTTGACCACAAGAGCTTTATTTTCCCACATAACTTATTATATTTTATAGTTTTGAACAGAATGCCCTTTGAGAAATGCTCATTTAGACAAATCTATGGATGACAGGTCCATAGAAAATAATTGGGCAGGGGATAACCACGATCCATTTCTAAGCTTATCAGTTTAATGTTATAGGGGACAATTATAACATTATACCATGTTATATCTCTTGGTGCTGTGTTCAGGGACTTAAAAGATACTGAACTGAATGAACCAATAGTCTAACTCATGAAAATATTAGATTCATAAGAAGGAAACTACAAAAGACATTAGAGAAGAGAAATAGATGGTAAAAGAGCTGAAAAGAGACACTCATAAGAAGATCCTAAAGGAGGTGGGATAACTCAATCTGGAGAAGAGATGGAGAAAGTATCAAATAACTACATAAAAGCATCAAAATTTCAATTTTTTTTTTTTTTTGAGACAGAGTCTTTTTCTGTTGCCCAGGCTGGAGTGCAGTGGCATGATCTTGGCTCACTGCAACCTCTGCCTCCCATATTCAAGCAACTCTCCTGCCTCAGCCTCCCAAGTAGCTGGGATTACAGGTGCCCGCCACCATGCCTGGCCAATTTTTGTATTTTTAGTAGAGACGGGGTTTCACCATGTTAGCCAGGCTAGTCTCAAACTCCTCACCTCAGGCAATCTGCCCGCCTCGGCCTCCCAAAGTGCTGGGATTACAGGCGTGAGCCACCGCACCTGGCTAAAATTAGAAATTTGCTGGTGGATAGTGCTGTCTATCTCCAACAAGATCAGAGCAAGATTTAATATTAAACTATGGAATGGAAGGTTAAAATTAGTTTTAAGGAACAAAAGATACCGCAACTGAAGAGGATGTAAACACATTGGAAAAATTGATAATGAAAAGAATAGCCTTTCCTTGTTACCACAGAGATTCTTTTTTTTTAAATTTCCCACACTACACAGATGTACAGAGATTCTTATTTTTCACGCATGACATAGGTATGTTCTTACTCAGAAGCAAGAGGCTAGAAGTGATAGCCTTCTGCACAACCTGTGAAACTTGTAGGGATGTGACCTCCCATCTTCCTTACTTGAATTTTCCCAACCACGAGTCAGCAATGGCTGCTCCCAGGATGGGAGTAAAATAACAGAGGCTGCTGAAGGCATGGTATATAGATGTGGAGGTATCTTCATTCCAGTGCAGGAAATACAGGAAATACAGGATCAGCACAGCTGTAGTGGGAAAAAAAAGGAGGCGTGGGGAGACAAAACAAGATAGATGCATTAAAGTGACTTATGGAAAAAAATATTTAATCTCTGGTCTTTATAATGTGATTTTGGCCTTCAGCACTCCTATCAGTGACATGACTGAGAAGTGACTGCCAGGCAGTAGAAGCAGGGCCCCATGGGAGTTGTGGGAGTGAATGGGACTATGTTGAATGTACAAATATAATACTCCTCCCTTCAGTCTATGTGCACCCCTAGCATCATTTAGGCCAACCATGAACATAACATGGTGCTTCCAATATCCCTTCCCTCTCCTCTCCTTCCCAGCAACAAGATGATAAGACCTCTTATCTGAATTCCATTCTTCATACCTGTTCCTCAGGTATGAGCCCTTAGCCAAGAGCTGTTAGCTCATACCTGAGGAACAGGTATGAAAAATGTAACTGAGATAATGAGAGCTTTCCCTCCCCCCCCTTTTTTTTTTTTTTTTTTGGAGATGAGTTCTTGCTATGTTGCCCAGGCTGGAGTGCAGTGGCCATTCACTGGCACAATTACAGGTGCCTGATAACCTTGAACTCCTGGGCCCAAGCAATCCTCCTGCTTCAGCCTCCCAAGTAGTGGCGACTACAGGCACATGCCATCATGCCCAGCTCCACCCACTTACCCATTCTCAAAGTCTATGTTCTGGTTTGTCTCAGGCCTTTCTGATCTTGGCCTACATATTAGGTGAAATCCTATGAGAGATTTATTGGAAGTCTTGGCCAAAGTAAAGGACCAATTTGGACCAAGGCAGAAAGAGTGGACTCGGGAAATAAGTGCATATAAAGAGACCAGGCTGTCACAAACATGGGGTGAGGGTGGGTGGAGGAGAGTAGGTAGGACTCTTGGACACAAAATTACCTTTCATTCCATAATAGGAAAAGCGCTCGCAGAATTCATTCACCACAATGAAGGCAATGCTCAGTGGATAGTTGGAGCCACAGATTGTCTATTCAACAAGAAGGCAATGATTCAAGCATGAGCTGTTTTTCCCTGTTTCAACAATTAGATTTCTTCAAAACTGAAAAATTCATTTATTTCAAATCATCTTGGTAGGTAATGGAGCAATGGTCTCTACTCTTCATGACACACCTATTAGGTAACACTAAAAGTGCTTATATTACTGATTTAGAAATAATAGAAGCTACTCTGAATATTATTTTGTTTCTTATTTATTTTACATGGACTTGCTCAAATATTCCTTGGACCTGCTCATCTTCCCACAACTACTAAATGAAAAGCCTAGGGCTCTGGGGCAGAAGAATGGTGATATTTACTTCCTAGGAACAGAATAAAGAGGTAGCCTATGGAATACCTGATATCCAAGCAGTGAGATTCAGATGTCAGTCTCTGCTTAGCCCCACTATGGGGACTCTTGTCCCCAGCTGTTCTGTTTGCCATGCTGGGAGGAATCCTGGCAATATGATAGCTTCTACTTCAGAGGCTGCTGGAGTCAGGCACAGAGCCCAACATGGAGGACAGAGATTCCTAAGGGTAAGCTAATTGATCACCTTGACTTTAGGCAGAGTTCTTAAATCCTGTAAAATTAAATGTCTACTCTTCCTACTAAAGAGATTCTATAACATTTTCATGATAATCCTACTGGACATTAAAAGAATTATGCTTTTCATGTAATATATCAGTCAGAATATAAGGAATGTTATGTTTTATTTTAATTCCCTATCTATTACAATAGACCAACTAACATGAGAAGAGACATAGAGGTATCTGTCCTCAGTACAGTCAAATCTTGTAAGATTTATATTGCCTCATTTCATGAGAAGTATATACATCTTTGCAAGTAGCCCTAAATTCTTTGGGACCAGAAGAGATATCATTAACTAAAAAAATAGGCAAAATAATAAAGTAATGTATTATTCTTTTAACCCTAGGGATATATATAAATGATCCTCCTAAATATTAATATATTTTAATGTTTTATAATAGCTTGTTTGAAACATACAATGAACTGGGCTTCTTACCTTTGCAGCTCACAGCTTGAGAATTATGCAATCTGGAGTTTAGCCGACACACTGTTAGCTAGTTAGGCAACACTGCCACTGGCTGTGTTAACATACTGATACTGGCATTGTCACTACACCTGTCTCAAAACCTCTGTTCTGTTATTCCAAAGAAATGAGAATAACATCACCTTTTGGCCCACTGTAAGAACTCAGTAAATTTTGGCTATCATTACTATATCCTCCCCACTTACAGAATTTTAGTGTAAGAATTGACTGAGATGATGAGTTTAGAAGTGCTTTAGCGAGTATATAAATGCAAAACATTACTATTCTCTGTTTCTCTGTCCTATCTCCCACAGTAAACTGGGAACACATAGTAACAGAAATTGGATCTATTCTGAAACTTCCATTGGTGTTCAGCAGAAGACTCTGCACACAGGGAGAACTAAGGGCAGAGTTTTTATATTGGTAAAGAAAGAACAATCACACACAGTTCTTCAGACAAGAATGCTTGCCAAGTTTCCCTGGACATTCGAATTGCTTTTTTCCCCCAGGGAAACAGAATATGCAATGAAATTCAGCAAGTCCCTGGATCCCAACTGAAGAACTTTGACTACCTCTTCCTGCTGCTTTGTCTTCTTATGTAAAGGAAGCTTCTGTTTAGATTTGGTTTCAGGTGAATTCTAAATCCAAGAGAGAAGCATTTTAATACCCTAATACAGCTCAGCTGGAAGCTCCAGAGCCCAAGGAAGAGAGCCAAAAGAGGGAGGCCATTCCTCTCAGAGGCAGGATTGAATCTAAGGACTCACCGGAGATGGCTTCTTTGGAGGGCTAGGTGGTCGAGGTGGTACCTCTTCAATGGAGACAGGTGAAAAAAGAGTTTCCTTGGACTCATTTTTCTGGAAAGGATTCATGGCTGGCTCCTTACTCTCTCTCTCTCCTCAAGCATTTGGCTTTAGTAGGCAGTTAGGACAGCTGCCAGCCTACTCTGAAAAGAAGGACTGGGAGGGGGAGCTGGTGGCTTCAGCAACTCAGTTTAACTCTGTGGGTGTCAGCTTCAATAGCTTCCTGATCCAGAGCAAAGCAGGAAGCTATAGTTAAAAAGAATGTGTAAAAGTACAGCACAGCAAAGTGAAAACATGCCAAAGACAGAATGAAACAATGCTAGAGAACTGATTAGAAAGTCTATGTTTAAGAAAGATTATCTTTGCAAAGGAGTAGAAGATAGTTAAGAACACAACACCTCGAGCACAGATTGAAAAACTGATTCCATGGTCAGGCGCGGTGGTTCACGCATATAATCCTAGCACTTTGGAAGGCCCAGGCAGGCGGATCGTTTTAGGTCAGCAGCCTGGCCCACATGGTGAAACCCCGTCTCTACTAAAAATACAAAAAAAAAATTAGCTGGGTGTGGTGGCGGGCGCCTATAATCCCAGCTACTCAGGAGGCTAAGGCAGAAGAATCACTTGAACCTGGGAGGCGGAGGTTGCGGTGAGCTGAGATTGCACCATTGCACTCCAGCCTGGGCAACAAGAGCGAAACTCCATTTCCAAAAAAAAAAAAAAAGAAAAACTGATTTCAGGGTAACAATAGCTGTAATTTATTGAACATCTACTATTGAAAGGTTAATATATATGAATTACATCTATGTTGTATATCTATAACATATATATTTATTCTAATTCATATTACTATCCCCATTTTATAGAAAGTAATGTTCCCAGAGGTTAAGAAATTTGTTCAAAGTACCTGTCCACTAAGTGGCAGATCTGGAATTTTCACTATGCCATGACAGCTGGGAAAAGTGGAGTTAGTGTCAGTCATTATTCAGGTATGGAGGTTACATAAATGGAATGTAGGAATGCAGAGGATTAAAATGCATTGGAGAAGGAAAGTCATCATAAAACTGAGTTTGGAAGATAAGAAAGATGGTGAGTTTTGGCTGGGTGCAGAGGCTTACGCCTGTAATCCCAACACTTTGGGAGGCCGAGGTGGGCTGATCACAGCTCAGGAGTTCAAGATTAGCCTGGCCAACATAGTGAAACCCCATCTCTACTAAAAATACAAAAATTAGCTGGGTGTGGTGGCACGCGCCTGTAGTCCCAGCTACTCAGGAGGCTGAGGCAGGAGAATCGTTTGAACCCAAGAGGCAGAGGTTGCAGTGAGCCGAGACCCCACCACTGCACTCCAGCCTGGGCGACGGAGCAAGACTTGAAAGAAAGAAAGAAAAGAAGGGAAAGAAAGGAAAGAAAGAAAGAAAAGAAGGGAAAGAAAGGAAAGAAAGAAAAGAAAAGAAAGGAAGGAAGGAAGGAGACTTTTGTTTTCAACATCATAAAAGTTCAGCTAGAAATAGCCTATAAGCAATTAAAGAGGTGGGGCTAAAGAAAATGAGAGAAAAGGATTGGTGATATACATTTGGGAACCATTGTTCTTCTTTGCTAAAGTCACTCCTTATATTTTCATTTTCTCACTTCAAGATTAATCTATTCTTTCATTTAATAAATAAAATTTAATTTGAGCAAAAATTGTGAACCAGTTACTTTCTAGGTACTGTTGTGAACACCATTTTCCTTAATTATACATTTAGTCCTTATCAGAAGAGGAACAAGAACAAACATCATAATGCTAGGTGCATTTTATGCTGTGTTATTTTTGTCAAGCCAAAGAAGTAAAAGGATAAGAAAAGAGCATGGTGCCCCTCTAGTTGTTTGTCAAAAGAAAAGGGAAAAGAAAGGCTAGAGAGCTATAAAAGAAATAAGAAAAATGAAGACTAAATCAACAAGGTCAGGCAACATCAGAATGAATTATTTTATTTGAAAATACAAGAGAGAAAACCTATAACTCTATCCCTCACAAAATTTTTACTTTAACTATTCAAATAATTTATTGACAAATAGGGCCAGGATAAACTGTCTTTTCCTCTCTAAACTTTAACTCAGACTTTGACCATATCTTCTCAGCTTCTATTACACCCCTCATTTCTACTGTCTCCCACCAACCTTTACCCAAAGAAGAGTCCAGCTTCATTTCTGACTGTGGCATTAATAATTAAGGTATAGTTATTCTTTCAGGAAGCACTGCCATTTCTGAATTGGTTTGGTTAATGACTTTGGCTGGAAAATAAATGGTCAGAAGTTACTAGTCAAGTTAACTAGCAGAGGCACAGATGCCTTGAAGATCCACTTATGTTGTGGCTTTCCTTGATCTGGCAGAGTAGATGGAATAGCACCTGTATGCAATGTACCAATTTATTTGTGCTCATAGGTATCCCAAATACTAAACTTTGGAGTATTGGCAGTGGTTTTCTGACACTCCTTTGTTTAGACAAAATTCTTCTTTTGATTATGGCAGTATAATGATAGTATTCACAGAATCGAATAATATCAGAGATGGAAGGAATCTTAATCTTGTCCTATGTGAGTGAAACTTCCCTGAGGATAAGAATCATTTTCCTTTGGAAATTCCAATTCAGTAGATCTCGGTAGGGATCTAAGAATCTTTGTTTTCAACGAGCACCTCTAGCAATTCTTACGCTAGGAATTTGGGAAACACTGGTCATAAATTCTCTCCTATTCTATTTCAGAGGAACTCAGAAGGGACAAAGCAAGGACTGGAACCCTAGGCTCCCAAGGCATAGTCTTGAGCCATTTATATAATATTAAGATGGCTCTTAAATCCTATTATTTTGCTAACATCAGATAGAAGGAGAAAGAGAAGAGATAAAAAGAAAGCACCTCCCAGACAGAAATGAGCACCAACTATTCTGAGACAAACAATAAAAGTGAAAGAATCTAAGTATCAGTGATGAGTAAAGAATATTTGTGTCCTTAGTGATTACAACATCAGAAAACATTTATTATGACATATGATAAAGTTTTAGTTATATATACACAAAAGTAGACTGCTGCTCTAAGTTAATAGAATCTAATATAGTCAGAGAGAAGAGGAAAATATGAAATTAAAAGGGAACATATATTTAACAAGTTCTCTAAATTAAAATACACAAAAATAAATTGTATCAAACATCAGTCACAAAGAAATAGAAAAGGGAAATCTAAGGAATACATTTATATATTTATTTATATAAATAGATTTAGGAATAAATCTAACAAAAGATCTTCTAGACCTCAATATTAAAAACTATAAAATTTTACTGAAAGAAATTGAAGAAGATCTAAATAAATGGAAACATACCATGCTTATGAATTGGAAGGCTCATATTGTAAAGATGTCAACATTTCTCAAAACATTCTACAGTTCTAAAACAAAATCCCAGCAGGTTTTGTGAGTATAGAAAATGACAAGATGACTTTTTAAAGTCAACTTGGAAGTGCAAAGAGCCAAGGATAGCAAAGTCAATCTTAAAGAATAATGGTGGAGGATTGTATTACCCAATCTAAGACCTATTTTAAAGATAGTTATTATATCAGAGTGGAATTGACACAGATAACATAGGGCAACCAATGAAACAACACAGCGTTCAGAAAGTGATTCACACACATAATGTATATAACAAAGATGATGCTGTAATACAGTGAAGGAAATGATGTTGATTTCAATAAATAAACACCATTTGAATATCCATACCCCCTAAATTATTTTGACCCTTATTTTACAACATACACAAAAATAATTTCTATATAGATTGCCTATCTAAATGTTAAAGTAAAAAAAAATGTCTTTAGAGGAAAACATAAGAGAACATCTTTATGATTGTGGAGTAAGTCAGCATTTCTTTTTTTTCTTTCTTTTTTTTTTTGAGACGGAGTCTCTGCTCTGTCGCCCAGGCTGGAATGCAGTGGCATGATCTCACTGCAACCTCCGCCTCCCGGGTTCAAGCTATTCTCCTGCCTCAGCCTCCTGAGTAGCTGGGATTACAGGCACGCGCCACCACGCCTGGCTAATTTTTGTATTTTTAGTAGAGACGGGATTTCACCATGTTGGTCAGGCTGGTCTCAAACTCCTGACCTCGTGATCAGCCCACCTCGGTCTCCCAAAGTGCTGGAATTACAGGCATGAGCCACTGTACCTGGCCAGCATTTCTTAAATAAGATATAAAATATGGTAACCATGAAAGAAAAAAAAGAGATGTTGGACAATATTAAAATTAAGAACTTTTGTTGACCACTCTGCAAATTGTCAAAAGACAATTTACAGAGGGGAAGAAAATATTTGTGTTACATATATCTGTCAAAGGATTTGTGTCCAGATTATATAAGTAACTGCATAAATCAATAACAAAAAGATTAATAGGTAAATGGAAAAATATTCTTTTGCCTGGGCGACAGAGCAGAGACTCCGTCTCAAAAAAAAAAAAAAGAAAGAAAGAAAAATAGTCTCCACCTTTCTGGACGGAACTAATGTATTTCTTACATATATTGATTGATGTCTCATATCTCCCTAAAATGTAAAAAACCAGCTATGTCCCAACCACCTTGGGCACAAGTCATCAGAACTTCCTGAGGCTGTGTCACCAGCTAGTCCTCAGCCTTGGTAAAACAAACTTTCTAAATTAACTGAGACTGCCAGGCCTGTAATCCCAGTACTTTGGGAGGCTGAGGGGGGAGGATCACTTGAGGTCAGCAGTTTGAGATCAGCTTGACCAACATGGTGAAACCTCATTTCTACTAAAAATACGAAAACTGGCCAGGCGTGGTGGCCGGCGCCTGTAATCCCAGCTACTCTGGAGGCTGAGGCAGGAGAATCGCTTGAACTGGGGAGGCGGAGGTTGCAGTGAGCCCAGACCCCGCCATTGCATTCCAGCCTGGGCAACAAGAGCGAAACTTCGTCTCAAATAAATAAATAAATTAATTAATTAACTAAGACATGTCTCAAATTTTCAGGGTTCACAGTCTTTTTCTATTATAAGTAATACTGCAATAATAATATTGCACAGAAGTTAAATATATGTGTAGGATAAATTTCCAGAAGTGAGAATGCCGAGCCAAAATATATGCTTTTATAATTTTTGGAACTGCCTATTCATTTTCTTTGCCCATTTTTCTAGAGTCGTGTGTCCCCTTCTTGTAAATTTGTAAGGTCAATTTAAACATTATTGATATTAATGTTCTGCCATCCTCTATATTGCAATATTTTTCCTATTGATTTTATTTATGGACTTTTAAAATTAAATGTACTTGAAGTAAAATGCACAAATCTTAAGTGTACAGCTCTGTTAATTTTTATATATGTGTAACTCACACAAGCACTACCTAGATAATGTTAAAAAAATTTCTAGCACGTCAATGCCAAAAGTTCTTCAGAGATAATACCACTGCCTCCCTTCTGCCTCCCAGTCAAACCTTCCTCCCTCAAGGTCACTGTTCTACAAAATGGTACTCTGAGTGGCCAAAGACTGGACAAATATCATATCCAAACCACTTTGAGCCAACAAGACTTTGTCCTTTGCTAATGGATCTGTATGTGTAAGGGAATACATTCAAAGAACATGTTATTTTCAAGTCTTCCCAAGTTCTATTTTTCATCAGGCCCTTTTGCGTTTACTATGCACATGCCTCAGGGTTGGTCAGGAGTGTGTGAATAGTTTAGGCCATCTCTAGTCTCTGCTGCACATGTACCCAGTCTCAGCCTGAAACATGATTGCCCCAACTAGGATTGCAGCCTCAGGGCCATAGGGTGAATAAGCTCTTGGCCTTCTCTCCCTAGTCAGCATCCCAGAAGTCACTTTCCCTTAAAATGTTTCTGGGCATGAGTGTCAACTACCCCTTCAAACTGAGTGAGTTTCCTTCAGGAGACAGAGAAGTTGCCAGTCCTGAAAATATTAGTTATCAATCTTTTCATAATATATTTTTATTATACTTCTTTTCCATTCTTGAGTTCCTAATTTTGGTTCATCTCTTAATAAATTAGAAATTACTACAATAATTATTATAGGAATGGTATATGAATGATAGAATTCCTGAATTCTTATATGTCTGAGAATACCTTCTTACCAAACTATGGATGACATCTGATGAATACATAATTCATAGGTCACATTAATACCCTTGCACAGATGCAGCTTTATTACCTTTAGATTTTAGTCTTATAGAATAATTCAAAGTCCTTTGATTTTTGTTCTTTTGTAGCCAACTTACTTTTTCTGCTTGCATGCTTACATTACCATCAGTATTTTTTTTTTTTTTTTTGAGACGGAGTCTCACTCTGTCACCCAGGCTGGAGTGCAGTGGCGAGATCTCTGCTCACTGTAAGCTCCACCTCCTGAGTTCACGCCATTCTCCTGCCTCAGCCTCCCGAGTAGCTGGGACTACAGGCGCCTGCCACCACACGCGGCTAATTTTTTTTTTTTGTATTTTTAGTAGAGACAGGGTTTCACCATGTTAGCCAGGATGGTCTCGATCTCCTGACCTCATGATCCGCCCGCCTCGGCCTCCCAAAGTGCTGGGATTACAGGTATGAGCCACCATGCCCAGCCTACCATCAGTTTAATCAAACCATTCAGTATGGATCAAACCAAAAGTGTGTATGTTTAGAATCACATCAGGATCATCAGTTGTTTCTGGCAGAGAACCTTTTATCTGAGAACTTATCTAATCCACTAGCTCCCTACATTTTGGTATCTGAAAACACATCAAATAAGGAGATACAAAAGCATGGGAGATACTATTTCATTCTTCTCTCTCTGAGGTACTTATATATACCCTTGAGTGGTATAAAGAATGATATACTATGTATTCGATCCATAAAAACAGGTCTTTAAGAATGTTTCACTTATGAGGGATATAATAAGGAGGGGAAATGATGTACTGAAGATGTACTGTTCAGCTTGCCGGAAGTTTGAAAACATAATGCATGTTATACAGCCAGCTTTATCAGCTCATATCACCATGTAACCAATTCTGGTAGTGTTAACACCAAAAAGAAAACTCAGCATAACAACTTTCAGTAAAAACCATTATAATTACTATATTAAAATAAGCATTTTACTAGCCACTTTGAATTATGAGCTTGCTTATTAATTATGAGTTAAGTAATAAA